>NC_000024.10:1426351-1726351 GCF_000001405.40 Homo sapiens | reverse complement strand
CTGGGTCTCAGACCTTCAAACTCACAAGCCGTCCCTTGCAGGGAAAAAAAAAAAAAAATCCACATTCTACAGAGAATCCCCTTTCCCCTGCCTTTTTTTCTCCTTCCTTTCCAGGACCAGCAGATAATCAACTAAGAGCCAGGCACCCTTTTAGGTCCGATAAGAAACATTTTACAGCCAGGCACAGTGTTTCATACCTGTAATCCCAGCACTTTAGGAGGCTGAGGTGGGTGGATCACTTGAGGTCAGGAGTTCGACACCAGCCAACATGGTGAAATCCCGTCACTGTTAAAAAATAAATATATATAAATTAGCCAGCCATGGTGATGGGTGTCTGTAGTCCTAGCAACTCAAGCGGCTGGGGCAGAAGAATCGCTTGAACCCGGAAGGCAGAGGTTGCAAAGAGCCAACATCTCGCCACTGCACTCCAGCCTGGGAATCATAGTGAGACTCTGTCTTAAATAAACAAACAAAGACACACACACAAATGTAGTATCTGATAGTTTCGGAGATCAAAAGTGCAGTGGACTGAAACTGAGGTGTCAGCAGGGCTATGCTGCCCTCAAAACTCGAGGGGAAAATCTTGCCGATTCCATTTCTAGAAGCCACCTGTATCCAGTGGCCCCTTCCTCCATCAGCAAAGCCAGCCACGAGTGCTCTTTCTCACTCTGCAGTCCCTCTCGTTCTGTCTCCCCTGCCTCCCTTTTCCACTGATAATGATGTCTGTGATGACATTAGGCTCTCCCCAGAGAATCAGGATAATCTATTTTAAGATTGCCTAATTAGAAACCTTAATTCCATCTGCCACCTTCATTCGTCTTTGCCACGTCACGTCCTTGCAGATTCCAGGGATGAAGATGCAGACTGTTTTGAGAGGGTATGGGGGAGCACTATTCTGCACCTCACAATCAGTAACTTTATTGTCTTCTAATTTATGGAAAGGCAAATAAGAATGTATTGATCTCTGCAATATATTCAAACCCTCTTCCATTTAAAAGTCCCCAAAAAAATCACCTCTGGTAAAAAATAAATTAACTTCAGAAATATATCTTCTTTCATTAAGTGCTCTGGAGCAATAGAGTTCTAATATTCTGACTTAGAGATACTTTCTTCAGTGAGCCAGTCATATAGCAGCCAGATTTCAGCTACTGGTTACTTTGAAAATCATTAATTAATTGTAACTTTTATCTACCAGAGAGAGAAAGAGAGGCAGGCAGGCAGGGTAAGTGGATGGATTAATGGATGGATGTATGGATAGACAGATATGCACATACATACATACATACATAGATACATAGACAGGCAGGTAGGGTGGGTGGGTAGATGAATGGATAGACTGATGAGCTTGAATAGAGATGGAGAGAGAGAGTGAGTGGATGGATGGATGGATGGACAGACAGACGTATGGATGGTTGATTGGATGGGTGGGCAGATGGATAGATTAGATAGCTAGATAACTAGATAGATACATACATACATACACATACATCAGTAGATAGATAGCAGGGTGAGTAGATGGATAAATGGATGGTTGGATGGATGGATGGATAAATAGATAGATAGTCAAGGTAGGTAGATGGATGAGATTGCATAGACAAGGTGGGTAGATGAATAAATGGATGGATGGATGGATACATGAATGGATGGATGGTTGAATGGATAGATCGATGGATGGATGGAAGGATGGATGAATAGATGGATGGGATAGATAGATGATTATGACAGATATATATATAGATAGATACCTCATCTACCATATACAGTCATTACAGACATGTCATGGGTCACTTGGATAGATTCTACGAAATGCATGATGACATGATTTCATTCTTGTATGTGCATCAGAGAGTGCACTTACACAAACCTAGATAGTACAGCCTACTCTACACCTAGGCTACACAATATGGCCTATTGCTCCTAGGTTGCAAACCTGGGCAGCATGTGACTGTATTGAATACTGTAGGCAATTGTAACACAACAATAAGTAATTATGTATCTAAACATACCTAGACATAGAACAGGGTACAGGAAAACTACCATATTGTAATGTTATGGGACTACCATTGTATATGTTGTCCATCATGGACTGAAATGTTATTATGTGGTGCATGACTACATATGTGTGCAGATGGATGGAGGGACGGATGGATTGGTGGATGGATGAGAACATAGATACATAGAAATATAGATAGACACGTCATCTATCATTTATCTATAGCTGTCTATGTATGTATGTATGCATGTATGTATCATCATCTATGTATCCATCTATCATCTATTGATCTATGTATGTATCTATCATCCATCTATAAGTCCATCTATGTATCTATCTATTCATCCGTCTATTATCTACCTATCATCTACCCACCAATATCTGTCATCTATCTATCATCTATGTATCCATCTATCATCTATCTATTCATCTATGTATGTATCTATCATCCTATAAGTCCATCTATCTATGTATGTATCTATCTATTCATCCATCTATTATCTACCTATCATCTACTCACCCATATCTACCTACCTATCATCATCTATGTATCCATCTATCATCTATCTATTCATCCATGTATCTATCATCCATCTATAAGTCCATCTATGTATGTATGTATCTATCTATTCATCCATCTATTAGCTACCTATCATCTATCCACCCATATCTATTTATCTATATATCTATCTACCTATCATCTATCCACCCATCTATCATCTATTCACCTGTGTATGTATCTATTATCCATCTATAAGTCCATCTATGTATGTATCTAGTCATCCATCTATTATCTACCTATCATCTACCTACCCATATCTATCTACCTACCTATCATCATCTGTCTATCTATCATCTATCTATTCATCTATGTATGTATCTATCATCCATCTATACGTCCATCTATGTATGTACCTATCTATTCATCTATCTATTATCTACCTATCATCTGCCCACCCATACCTATTATCTATCTATCTATCTACCATCTGTCTATACACACACACATAGACATACATGGAGAGAGAGAGATGGACAGAGAGACACCATCTAACAAACCTACCACATACTCCATCCACTATATGGGTTTGTATATGTGTGCATATATACATAAATAAAATAGATGAAGGTTATTATTAATTAATGATTGCCCAAGTCAACCAGTAGCTAACATCTGGCTGCCACATAACCAATTTACTGAAGAAACTATCTCTACAAATGTTAGAACTCTATAGCCCCATTGCAGAGAAGTCAATGAAAGACTCGCAGTCCCTGGAAACCAGGGATCTTTTGACTGTCCCCATCATTCTGCATTTTCCAGAATGTCATGGAGTTGGAATGCTACAGTAGGTAGCCTTTTCAGATTGACTTATTTCCCTGAGTAATATGCACTCACAGTTCCTGCGTGCTTATTCATGGCTTGATAGCTCATTTCACTTTAGCACTGAAAATCATTCCATTGTCTGGAGGCAGGTTTTACTTATTTATTTATTATTTGTTTTTATTATTATTATTTTTTGAGACACAGTCTTGCTCTCTCCCCAGGCTGGAGTGCAGTGGCGCCATCTCAGCTCACCGCAACCTCCACCTCCCAGATTCAAGCGATTCTCCTGCCTCAGCCTCCCCAGTAGCTCAGATTACAGGCGCATGCCACCACGCCTGGCTAGTTTTTGTATTTTTAGTGCAGACGGGGTTTAACCATGTTAACCAGGCTGGTTTCGATCTCTTGACCTCATGATCCGCTCACCTCGGCCTCCCAAAGTGCTGGGATTACAGGCGTGAGCCACCGTGCCCGGCCTATTTATTTATTTTAAGGACACATTTGCAGGTTTCATTGCAATGAATGGTGAGAGTCAAATTTTTTAAATCTAAGCATTTTGAAAAGAGAACAACCATTTGACCCAGCCATCCCATGACTGGGTCTATAACCAGAGGAATATAAATCATTCTATTATAAAGACACGTGCAAGGCCGGGCATGGTTTTGGAAGGCTGAGCCAGGCAGGTCACGAGGTCAGGAGATCAAGGCCATCTGGACAACATGGTAAAACCCCATTTCTACTAAAAATACAAAAATTAGCCAGGCGTGGTCATGGGCGCCTGTAATCCCAGCTACTCAGGAGGCAGAAGCAAAAGAATCGCTTGAACCCGGGAGGCAGAGGTTGCAGTGAGCTGAGATCACACCACAAGACTCTGTCTAAAAAACAAAAAAAAGACACGTGCATGCATAGGTTCACTGCAGCACTACTCACAATAGCAAAGACATGGAATACACCTAAATGCCCATCAATGATAGACTGCACAAAGCAAATGTGGCACATATACACCATGGAATACTATACAGCCATAAAAAAGGATGAGATCATGTCCTTTGCAGGAACACAGATGAAGCTGGAAACCATCATTCTCAGCAAACTATCGCAAGGACAAAAAACCAAACACCGCATGTTCTCACTCATAGGTGGGAGTTGAACAATGAGAACACATGGACACAGGAAGGGGAATATCACACACCAGGGCCTGTCGTGGGGTGGAAGGAGGGGGGAGGGATAGCATTAGGAGAAATACCTAATGTAAATGACCAGTTAATGGGTGCAGCACACCAACATGGCACATGTATACATATGTAACAAACCTGCACATTGTGCACAGGTACCCTAGAACTTAACGTATAATCATAAAAAAATAAAAAAAATTAAAAAAAGAAAATGTAGCACATAGACACCATGGAATACTATGCAGCCATAAAAAAGGATGAGTTCATGTCCTTTGCAGGAACATGGTTGGAGCTGGAGGCCATTATCCTAAGCAAACTAATGTAAGAGCAGAAAACCAAATACTACATGTTCTCACTTATAAGTGGGAGGTAAATGATGAGAACTTCTTCACACGAAGAATGAAAGTAGGGTCCACTTGAAGGTAGAGGGTGGGAGAAGGGAGATGAGCAGAAAAGATAACTATTGGGTACTGGTGGCTAATACCTGGGTAAAGAAATAATCTATACAACAAACCCCCATGATAAACTTTCACATGGTCCCTTGTACCTCAAATAAAAATTTAAAAAAAGAAAAACTTTTAAATAAAGGTAAATTTTGACTTTCAAAAAACAAAGTAAATAAAAATAAGCATGGGTTCTCTGACATATAAGCTTCAGTTGAACCACAAAATCATTATAATGAATGCATTGCTGATATTTTACTTCAGAATCCTCATGCTTTTTGCAGGCTAAAGCAATGTAAGACTTCACTTTGCAATAGGCACAATTTGCGGTTGATGACACTTTATTGCTTCTCAGTGGTTTAGAAACATAAATCACTTAGGGGAAAAAAGAATGGCTGCAGTATGATTAAAAAAAGAGAGAGAGAGTATGAAATGTTTAACGACCTCAGCAGCTTTGACAATCCTTGTACATTCTCACACAAAGCTGACAGTGTCAGTTCCAGATGCAGGCCTTTAGACTCAGACTAGAAATCACACTCTCAGCTCTCCTGGGTCTCGGGTCTTCAGATTCACACTGGAACTCACACCCTCAGCTCTCCTGGGTCTCAGGCCTTCAGACTCAGACTGGAACTCACACCCTCGGCTCTCCTGGGTCTCAGGCTTTCAGTCTGGATCTTATACTACATTCACACAGGCATAGACACACACATAGACACACACAACTAAAGAGAGAAATATAGCAGCGGCTCAAATGCGGCGTGCAATGGAGACGGCTATGTTTTTCTTTCCCGATTGATGACTGTTTTCTCAGGCATCTTCCTGGACAGATGGGCATCTTTTTCTCTTAGGAGGAAAGAGCATTTTGCCAGCATTATTCCAGAGAATGTCTGCCACATCCCAGCCACCCACATGGCATCCATTACTGTACACTCTTTGCAAAGGAAGACCCTAAAGAGTAAACCATATAATTGACCAACCTGCATTAAATGCATAGTTGCCCCTAACCCAAGCTCAATTGCGTAGACACCCCAGCCAAGGAAAGACAGCTACCGGCTGGGTGCAGGGGCTCACACCTGTCATCCCAGCACTTTGGGAGGCCAAGGCGGGTGGATCACCTGAGGTCAGGGGTTCGAGACCAGCCTGACCAACATGGTGAAACTGCATCTCTACTAAAAATACAAAAAAAAAAAAAATTAGCCGGCTGTGGTGGCGGACACCTGTAATCACAGCTACTCGGGAGGCTGAGGCAGAATTATCACTTGAACCTAGGAGGCAGAGGTTGCAGTGAGCTGAGATTGCACCACTGCAGTCCAGTCTGGGCGACAGAGCAAGACAAGAGGAAGGACGAAAGGAAGGAAGGAGGGAGGGAGGGAGGGAGGGAAGGAAGAAGGGAGGGAAGGAGGGAGGGAGGGAAAGAAGGGAGGGAGGGAAGGGAAAGAAGGAAGGAAGGAAGCAAAGAAGGAAAGAAGGAAGGAAGGAAGAGAGAGGGAGGGAGGGAGGGAGGGAAAGAAGGAAGGGAAAGAAGGAAAGAAGGAAGGAAGGGAAAGAAGGAAGGAAGGAAGAGAGGGAGGGAGGGAAAGAAGGACTCCACAAGGGAATGAACACTTGCAATGCGTGATTCCAGGTAAACAGGAATGAAAGCAACTCTAGACTCTCCTGACTTCTGGGACCAGGATGCCCCACCAAGGAGGCTGCTTTTGAGGTCCGGTGATGTCGTGCTGCAGAGGGGATGCCTGTGACATTTTTCAGCAATGCAACCTAACAGCCCACTTGCTTGTTTTTTGTCATTCAGAGGCTATTGAGGCAAGAATGGCATCAGGATGGCCAAGCCCCACCTCCTCCTGGACCCCTCCTGGTACCCTGCGTGGCCCTGAAAAGGACCATTCTCTGATGGTAGATCAAAGTCCAGGCAGGCAAAGGGGAGGAAGAGATACTGGTGTTTTTTAAAATTCCCCCGCCCAACTTAGGAGTCACCCAGCTGGAATGCAGTCTCCTGATAGCTTCTGAGATACCTCCTCTTCCTCCACTCTCATCTCTGAAACCCAAGGCCACCAGCATGAAGGAGGAAATAATTAGGGAATGGACTTGATTCATCTTTCAATAAGAATGATTTCATTATTCTTTCTACCTTGGCCCAGAAATAAACACAAATTCACACAATCACATGCAAATGTACCAGGCTTGATAAACTCAGAAGTGTGACGACATTGAAAATACAGCTGAGAACAATAATCTCAATATGGACAAATGGATTTTAAAAGCACTGAAAAAGCTCTCTGATTGAGCTGAAAGATCAGGCCTTCAGACTCAGACTGGAACTCACACCCTCAGCTCTCCTGGGTCTCAGGCCTTCAGACTCACACTAGAACTCACACCCTCAGCTCTCCTGGGTCTCAAGTCTTCAGACTCAGACTGGAGCTGACACCCTCAGCTCTCCTGGGTCTCAGGCCTTCAGACTCAGACTGGAACTCACACCCTCGGCTAAGGAAAATGCCTGCTCTTGAGTTATATGTTCCTTAGCCTTAACCACAACCTAGACAAGATGTTCAGCTTATGGCCATGAACAGAAAATCCCACATTAAAAGGAAAACCATGCAGTAACTATTCAACCTGCTCATGGCCACATCAGTAAGAATACAAGATATATATATATATACATATATATATATATTTTTTTTTTGAGACAGCCTTGCTGTGTTGCCCAGGCTGGAGTACAGTGGCACAATCTTGGCTCACTGCAAGCTCCGCCTTCCAGGTTCAAGCCATTCTTTTGCCTCATCCTCCTGAGTAGCTGGGACTACAGGCATCCGCAACCACACCTAGCTAATTTTGTGTATTTTTAGTAGAGACAGGGTTTCACCGTGTTAGCCAGGATGGTGTCGATCTCCTGACCTTTTGATCCACCCGCCTCAGCCTCCCAAAGTGCTGGGATTACAGGTGTGAGCCACCGCACCCGGCTAAGATATATTTTAAGGACTAATAATGACCATTTATTTGTATAGTTTGACCTCCTGTGTATCAATCAATCAATCAATCAATCAATGTAGAAAAGGTCTCAGAATTGATGAATGCTAGAGGCTCAAAATATACACCATTGACATTCATCATGATCTTTCCAAGTTCTGCTTATGTTGAAAATTATTTAAGGAGAAATTCAGAAACAATATGCACAATTGATTTAACAACTAGACAGAGAACAGTTAAAGAAAAATCATCTTTTGGCTGGGTGCGGTGGCTCACGCCCATAATCCCAGCAGTTTGGGAGGCCGAGGCTGGCAGATCATGAGGTCAGGAGATTGAGACCATCCTGGCTAACACGGTGAAACCCCGTCTCTACTAAAAATACAAAAAATTAGCCAGGCGTGATGGCGGGCGCCTGTAGTCCCAGCTACTCGGGAGGCTGAGGCAGGAGAATGGCGTGAACCCGGGAGGCGGAGGTTGCAGTGAGCCCAGATCATGCCACTGCACTCCAGCCTGGTGACAGAGCGATATTCCATCTCAAAAAAAAAAAAAAGAAAAAGAAAAATCATCTTTTAAATAAACATTTATTTCTCATCAACCTTTGAATGCTTCTCTGAATATGAAACACATTAGGGGCTTGATTTATTCTCTTTCTCCCTGGGTCAAGGATTTGACATTTCTGGGCTGTTTACAACAGAAAATTTACAACTTTCACTTAAAGAGCCAAGAGGCCAAAGTGCAGACACAAACATCGGTCAGACTCATAAGGATCATGGTGAGCACTGATTTTATTCTGAACCAAATGTGTTCAGAATTCTGACACGGCCGCTACCTTACCTCTAGCACTGAACCAGGACTGAGAAGAGAAAGTTGTCACAAGGTAACAACATTGGCCGTCACGCTTGAAGAAAATCTCTGGCAAACGATGTAATTATATCCCAGAGAACAGGAGATGTAAGAGGAGATTTTACATTTGATGACACAAGCGACTTCCCCAGGAAGGAAGCACTCCCACATCTGGGGCATCTTGAAGAAAAGTCAAGCAGATGTTGAGCATTTATTGGCGGCTGAGCATTTATTGCTGCCGCATATACTCATCACGCACATTCTCTTTGAGCCCGATTCTGTTCTAGGAGGTGAACGGAGCAGTGGTTGAGAACAGCCTGATGCCTTGAAACCTTAGAAAACTTGGCTTTTCCTCTTTTATTAACACCCATCTCTTAAGGAGCACATGGTTGAGTAACACTCTTTCTAGAAGCTTTGAGGTCAGATGTAGGGTATCGGTGCTGGGATCCCAGGCATCATTTCATGCTATCCCTGAAATTCACATTCCAACTGGATTCCTTTGAAGCCCAATGCAGAGGGCGGAGCAAAAAGAAGGGGAGGAGAAAAATTGATAGATAATAAATAAAGACCTAGATATGTAGATAGAGACATAGATAGGTAGGTAGGTAGGTAGATAGATAGATAAATAGGGTAGACACAGACAGATGATGGAGAGAGATGACAGATAGATGATAGAGATGATAGATTGCTACATAACTGATCAATAGACAGATGATAGAATGATAGGTACATAAGATAGATGATAGGTAAATGGCAAGATAAGTAGAAAGAATACATGAACAGATGATAGATGAATATGGATAGGTGATAAGTGATGGGTAGATAAATAGATCTATAAATAAATAGCTGGGTGGATGGATAGATGAGGTAAATGATAGATAATACATTAATAGATAATGATAGGTGATAGATAGATACATAAATACATAGATACACAGATGATAGATGGATAGATGATAGGTAGGTAGATAGAAGAGGTAAATGATAATATATGAATAGACAACGATACATGATAGGTAGATAAATAGGTAGAGATACACAGATGATAGATGGATAGATGATAGATTAGATAGGTAGATAGATAAATAGGTAGACAGAGATACACAGATGATGGATAGATGATAGATTAGATAATGGATAGGTAGATATTAATGAAGGTAGATAATTATGAAGATCTATATAAATAGATGATAAATATTCTTGAATTACAACATCTTACAAAGCAATGACAGCTTTTGCTAAGAATAAAATGGCTGACTTAGACACTACACACAAATCCCCAAAGAAGGGATTATAGAAAATAAATGAAGTGAGCTTGAAATTCATGTAAGATGCAGAGAACTTCTAATAGATGAGTCTGGGATTCAGTTAAAGATCTTTGCGCCACCCAGCTCTTGGAAGGGTTCAAAGTATAAGGCAAACTCCACATGGTTAAGTATACAAACTTTTTTTTTTTTTTTTTGAGACGGAGTCTTGCTCTGTCACCAGGCTGGAGTGCAGTGGCGCAATCTCAGCTCACCACAACTCCACCTCCCGGGTTCAAGCGATTCTCCTGCTTCAGCCTCAAGTAGCTGGGACTACAGGCATGCGCCACCACGCCCGACTAATTTTTGTATTTTTTTTTTATTTTAGTAGAGACGGGGTTTCACCATGTTGGTCAGGATGGTCTCGATCTCCTGACCTCATGATCTGCCCACCTCAGCCTCCCCAAGTGCTGGGATAAGTTCTGGAATACATGTGTAGAACGTGCAGGTTTGTTACATAGGTATACAATAGGTATACATGTGCCATGGTGGTTTGCTGCACCTGTCAACCCGTCATCTAGATTGTAAGTCCCGGATGCGTTAGGTATTTGTTCTAATGCTCTCACTCCCCTTGTCCCCCAGCCCCCAACAGGCTCTGGTGTGTGATGTTCCCCTCCCTGTGTCCATGTGTTCTCATTGTTCAACTCCCACTTAATGAGTGAGAACATGCGGTGTTTGGTTTTCTGTTCCTGAGTTAGTTGGCTGAGCAGGATGGCTTCCAGCTTCATCCATGTCCCTGCAAAGGACATGAACTCATCCTTTTTTTTTTTTTTTTTTTTTTTTTTTGGAGACAGAGTTTTGCTCTTGTTGCCCAGGCTGGAGTGCAGTGGTGAGACTTCCACTCACTGCAATCTCTGCCTCCCGGGTTCAAGCGATTCTCCTGCCTCAGCCTCCTGAGTAGCTCGGATTACTGGTGCCCACCACCACGTCCAGCTAATTTTTTTTTTTTGGAATTTTTGGTAGAGACAGGGTTTCATCATGTTGGCCAGGCTGGTCTTGAACTCCTGACCTAAGGTGAGCCGCCTGCCTCGGCCTCCCAAAGTGCTGGGATTACAAGTGTGAGCCACGGCACCCGGCCAATCCCATTCTTTTTCATGGCTGTGTAGTATTCCATGGTGTCTATGTGCCACATTTTCTTTATAGACATATGTACACGTATGTTTATTGCAGCACTATTTACAATAGCAAAGACTTGGAACCAACCCAAATGCCCATCAGTAATAGACTGGATAAACTATATAAGCTTTTTGTTGTTGTTTTGAGATGGAGTCTCCCTCTGTGGCCCAGGCTGGAGTGCAATGGCACGATCTTGGCTCACCAAACCTCTGCCTCCCAGGTTGAAGCGATTCTCCTGCCTCAGCCTCTCAAGTAGCTGGGGTTACAGGCATGGGCCACTATGCCCAGCTAATTTTGTATTTTCAGTAGAGACAGGGTTTCTCCATGTTGGTCAGGCTGGTCTCAAACTCCCAACCTCAGGTGACCTGCTTGCCTTGGCCTCCCAAAGTGCTGGGATTAAATATACAAACTTTTTACTTTCCTTTTTTCTTTTTTTGAGACGGAATCTCGCTCTGTCGCCCAGGCTGGAGTGCAGTGGCACAAATCTCGGCTCACTGCAACCTCTGCCTCCTGGGTTCAAGTGATTCTCCTGCCTCAGCCTCCCGAGTAGCTGGGACTACAGGCACATGCAACCACGCCCGGCTAATTTTTGTATTTTTAGTAGAGACAGGGTTTCACCATGTTGGCCCGGATGGTCTTGATCACCTGACCTGGTAATCTGCCCGCCTCGGCCTCCCAAAGTGCTGGGATTACAGGCGTGAGCCACTGCACCCGGCCAAGTATATAAACTTTTGATGGACCTTTTTGGTGGTTGAGAAACAGGCACACCCAGTTCCCGTCTCTTGTCTTTCCCCCGATGCCCTAATACAGGTGGAAAAGGCTGGATACTCCCAGCCACCCCCCATCAGCGAGGGCTGATGAGGAAGACACAGCTCTGAAGACCAGATACAGGATGAAGTATGCAGGGTGTGGGGAGGTTGGGGAAACACGCCTCCCTGACCGAAATGCGATAATCCCCCAAGGAGATGGCTGTTTCTGCAACAATGATGGGAAGGCTGAAAAATCAGAGCTGCCGTCCAGCTCCCAAACCCTAAATGGACGTGCTCACCTGGCCCTGAATCTGTCCCCTGCATCCTTCACAAGTGAACAATCTCCAGGTCCTTGCTGCCAAAGGCACCACTGAAGCTGAAGATTGAGGCTCCTCCTCCTCTGCAGATGGAGTAATTCCAATATGTAGGACATGTGCCATGACAAAACGCAGCAGAACTGCCAGCCGAGAAAACATTGCCCTGTGCCTTGGAATTGTCTTAGTGTCTCATCAGCATTTGCTTCTCCTAGTTTGAGAGATGGGAGGCGCGAATCTTGACATATTCATCACCAGCATTCCGTCACTAGGACCATATATAAAAAGAGAACTCTACCAGCCTCAGCAACAAAGCGAGACCCCATCTCTAGTAATCAAAAACTAGTAATCAAAAACTAGTAATCAAAAATCTAGTAATCATCAAAAACTAAAATAATTAGCAGACCTTGTAGACATGTGCCTGTAGTCTCAGCTACTCAGGAGGCTGAAGCAGGAGGATCCCTTGAGCCTGGGAGGTAGAGGCTGCAGTGAGCTATGATGGTACCACTGCACTCCAGCCTGGGCAACAGAGGGAGACCTTGTCTCAAAAAACAAACAAACAAAAAATAACAACAACAACAAAACTAGCAGCCAGAAACATTATGCAAATGATGGGGTTGACTGCATTTCAATAAAACTTTATTTACAAAAAAACAAGTGGTGGGCCGTATGTAATAGCACGTCACACACAGGCTGTAATGTGAAAAAAGAGAGAACTCTGATCCATTCCCTCTGCAGCAATTGGCCCCCAGTGGCCAAGGCTTCATTAATACCTGAAAGCTTTCCTAATTCTTCTTCCCATTTCCAATTTAAGTCCAACAAGAGGAAGTCAAATATGCCCCCTAACCACTCACCCAGGACGCCACCATGCTTCCAGTGAGCTGCCTCCAGCTTCCCTGGAGGACAAAGCCTTTCTTCAGGGCACACCTGAGCCTCCCTTTTTCCACGATAAAGCTTTTCCCCTCCTCTGTCTGTCTTTGAGTTTCTGTGATGGTGGCGGACCCCTGCTACAGCAAGCACTGAATAAGTAGCCTTTGCTTGTTCTCTTTTGTGGGGGTCTTTATCTCATTTCCACATTCTGGCAAGGAAATAAGAAACTCAATACTCCTTGAACAGAAATATGGCCAGGCACAGTGGCTGACACTTGTAATCCCAGCACTTTCGGAGGCCAAGGCGGGTGGATCACTTGAGGTCAGGAGTTCGAGACCAGCCTGGCCAACATGGTGAAACCTCATCTCTACTAAAAATACAAAAATTAGCCAGGCGTAGTGGTGGGCACCTGTATTCCCAGCTACTTGGGAGGCTGAGGCAAGAGAATCCCTTGAACCGAGGAGGTGGAGGTTGCAGTGAGCTGAGACCACGCCACTGCACTCCAGCCTGGGTGACAGAGCGAGACTCTGTCTGAAAAAAAAAAAGAAAAGAGAGAGAGATGAAAGAAAGAGAGAGAAAAAGAGAGAGCAAGACAGAAAAAGAGAGAGCAAGAGAAAAAGAGAGAGAGAAAAAGAGAAAGAAAAAGAGAAAAAGAAAGAGAAAGAAACAGAGAAAGAAGAAAGAAAAAAGGACTGATGTGTTATGTATGTATTTATAATCCAACCACATCTGTTGATTCATCTTCCTGCCCCTTCTACACTCTGAATAAATATCAAAAATCTCTTATTCACTGTGAATGTTAAAATTACTGATGAAGAGGTTTAAGAAGAAATAGGGCTGGGCACGGTGGTTCACACCATAATCCCATCACTTTGGGAGGCTGAGACTGGAGGATCGCTTGAGATCAGGAGTTTAAGACCAGCTTAGACAGTATAGCAAGACCCTGTCTCTACAAAAAAAAAAAAAAAAAAAAAAAAAAAAAAAATTAGCTGGGCATGGTGGCATGCACCTGTGGTCCCAGAGACCTGAGAGGCTGAGAGGTGGGAGGATTGCTTGAGCCTCGGAGGTCAAGGCTGCAGCGAGCCGAGATTGGGCCACAGCACTACAGCCTGGGTGGTGACAGAGAGAGCCCTATCTCAAAAAAAAAATAAGAAGAGACGGGTGTGAGGGGAAGAAAGAGAAAGAAAGAAAAAGAGAGACAGAAAGAGAGAAAGAGAGAGAGAAAGAGAAGGAGAGAGAGAGAGAGAGAGAAAGGAAGGGAGGGAGGGAGGGGAAGGCCAGGCACAGTGGCTCACGCCTATAATCCCAGCACTTTGGGAGGCCGAGGTGTGTGGATCACCTGAGGTCAGGAGTTTGAGACCAGCCTGGCCAACATTGTGAAACCGTCTCTACGAAAAATACAAAAATTAGCCAGGTGTGGTGGCACAGGCCTGTAATCCCAGCTACTTGGGAGGCTGAGGTAGGAAAATCGCTTGAACCAGGGAGACGGAGGTTTGCAGTGAGCTGAGATCATCCCATTGCACTCCAGCCTGGGCGACAGAGCAAAACTCGTTTTCAAAAAAAAAAAAAAAAAAAAGAAAGAAAAGAAAAGAAAAAGAAACAGGACATTTGCATATAGTCTTCAAGTCTATACCCCCCAACCCATTGATTATTTCCAGCACATACCACCTTCACCATCAAGATTAACATCACTAGAAACAAGATGTCAAGATGTGTAGACAGGGCCAGGTGCGGTGGATCACGCCTGTAGTCCCAGCACTTTGGGAGGCTGAGGCAGGTGGATCACGAGGTCAGGAGATCAAGACCATCCTGGCTAACACGGTGAAACCCCGTCTCTACTAAAAATACAAAAAATTAGTCGGGTGTGGTGGCGGGCGCCTGTAGTCCCAGCTACTTGGGAGGCTGAGGCAGGAGAATGGCGTGAACCTGGGAGGAGGAGCTTGCAGTGAGCTGAGATTGCGCCACTGCACTCCAGCCTGGGTGACAGAGTGAGACTCCGTCTCCAAAAAAAAAAAAAAAAAAAAAGAGTGTGTAGACATCATGGTAACATCGCCTTACACTGACATCCTAACAAACAGAGGACTTCCAAAAATGCAAAGCCTCCCTCTAACCATGAGAAAACATCAGAAAAACTCAAAATGAGGGACACTGCACAGGTCACAATGCCGCAGCCAGTCTGGAAGATCTTCCCAAGACCAACCAATGGCAAGACTTAAACCATCTGGGCCACAGAGTAAAATAAAAATAAAAATTAAAAATAGCTAAGGATAGTACTGGGTTATAACCCACCACGGAAGGCAATCTCCAGCTAGCTCAAGACATCAGCTCTGTACCTTCCTGTTTGTTAACAGATAGCCATGAGTTTACACTAGTATATATTTACTATACTAATTTAGATGACTTTACACTGATGAGTTTCTACTAACATATTTATATTATAAAAATACTGAGTTTATACTAGTATATATAGGAGTTTATACTATTAATATATAATACAAATTCTAATGAGTTTATACTAGTATATGTGTTTATGAGTTTATAATATATACTAATATACAGATACTGAGTTTATACTAGTATATATGAGTTTATACTAATGAATTTATACCAATTTTTATTGGTATATTTGGTATATTAATTTATCATATTAATATATTATACAAATACTAATGAGTTTATACTACTATATATGTTTATACTAATGAGTTTATAACAATGTATATTTATTATACTAATATTATTATACAAATACTACTGGGTTTATTCTACTATATACATGAGTTTATACTAATGAGTTTACAGTAATATATATTTATGATACTAATATATATTATACAAATACTAATGAGTTTATACTAGTACATATATTAGTTTCTACTAGAGTTTATGTTGATATTTATAATACTAATATGTATTACACTTATACTAATGAGTTTATATTAGCATATATGTTTATACTGAGTTTATACCTATATATTTATTATGCTAATATATATTATACAAATAGTAATGGGTTTATTCTACTATACGAGTTTATACTAATGAGTTTACACTAATGTATATTATACTTATACAAATACTAATGAGTTTATACTAGTATATATATTAGTTTCTGCTAGTTTATGTTGATATTATACTAATATATATTACACTTATACTGAGTTTATATTAGCATATATGTTTATACTAATAAGTTTATACCTATATCTTTATTATACTAATATATATTATACAAATAGTAATGGGTTTTTCTACTATATATGAGCTTATACTAATGAGTTTACACTAATTTATTATACTAATATATATTATACAAATACTAATGAGTTTATACTAGTATATACATGAGTTTATACTAGTATATACATGAGTTTATACTAGTATATACATGAGTTTATACTAGTATATACATGAGTTTATACTAGTATATACATGTTTATACTAGAGTTTACATTAATATATGTTATACAGCCGGAGGAGCCAAGATGGCCGAATAGGAACAGCTCCGGTCTACAGCTCCCAGCATGAGCGACGCAGAAGATGGTGATTTCTGCATTTCCATCTGAGGTACCAGGTTCATCTCACTAGGGAGTGCCAGACAGTGGGCGCAGGTCAGCGGGTGCGCGCACCATGCACGAGCCGAAGCAGGGCGAGGCACTGCCTCACTCCGAAAACGCAAGGGTTCAAGGAGTTCCCTTTCCTAGTCAAAGAAAGGGGTGACAGACGGCACCTGGAAAATTGGGTCACTCCCACCCGAATACTGCGCTTTTCAGACCGGCTTAAAAAACGGCACGCCAGGAGATTATATCCCGCACCTGGCTCGGAGGGTCCCACGCCCATGGAGTCTCGCTGATTGCTAGAACAGCAGTCTGAGATCAAACTGCAAGGCGGCAGCGAGGCTTGGGGAGGGGCGCCCGCCATTGCCCAGGCTTGCTTAGGTAAACAAAGCAGCCGGGAAGCTCGAACTGGGTGGAGCCCACCACAGCTCAAGGAGGCCTGCCTGCCTCTGTAGGCTCCACCTCTGGGGGCAGGGCACAGACAAACAAAAAGACAACAGTAACCTCTGCAGACTTAAATGTCCCTGTCTGACAGCTTTGAAGAGAGCAGTGGTTCTCCCAGTACGCAGCTGGAGATCTGAGAACGGGCAGACTGCCTCCTCAAGTGGGTCCCTGACCCCTGACCCCCGAGCAGCCTAACTGGGAGGCACCCCCCAGCAGGGGCACACTGACACCTGACACGGCCGGGTACTCCAACAGACCTGCAGCTGAGCGTCCTGTCTGTTAGAAGGAAAACTAACAAACAGAAAGGACATCCACACCAAAAACCCATCTGTACATCACCATCATCAAAGACCAAAAGTAGATAAAACCACAAAGATGGGGAAAAAACAGAACAGAAAAACTGGAAACTCTAAAAAGCAGAGAGCTTCTCCTCCTCCAAAGGAATGCAGTTCCTCACCAGCAACGGAACAAAGCTGGACGGAGAATGACTTTGACGAGCTGAGAGAAGGCTTCAGACGATCAAATTACTCTGAGCTACGGGAGGACATTCAAATCAAAGGCAAAGAAGTTGAAAACTTTGAAAAAAATTTAGAAGAATGTATAACTAGAATAACCAATACAGAGAAGTGCTTAAAGGAGCTGATGGAGCTGAAAACCAAGGCTCGAGAACTACGTGAAGAATGCAGAAGCCTCAGGAGCCGATGCGATCAACTGGAAGAAAGGGTATCAGCGATGGAAGATGAAATGAATGAAATGAAGCGAGAAGGGAAGTTTACAGAAAAAAGAATAAAAAGAAATGAGCAAAGCCTCCAAGAAATATGGGACTATGTGAAAAGACCAAATCTACGTCTGATTGGTGTACCTGAAAGTGATGGGGAGAATGGAACCAAGTTGGAAAACACTCTGCAGGATATTATCCAGGAGAACTTCCCCAATCTAGCAAGTCAGGCCAACATTCAGATTCAGGAAATACAGAGAACGCCACAAAGATACTCCTCGAGAAGAGCAACTCCAAGACACATAATTGTCAGATTCACCAAAGTTGAAATGAAGGAAAAAATGTTAAGGGCAGCCAGAGAGAAAGGTCAGGTTACCCTCAAAGGGAAGCCCATCAGACTAACAGCAGATCTCTCGGCAGAAATCCTACAAGTCAGAAGAGAGTGGGGGCCAATATTCAACATTCTTAAAGAATTTTCAACCCAGAATTTCATATCCAGCCAAACTAAGCTTCATAAGTGAAGGAGAAATAAAATACTTTACAGACAACCAAATGCTGAGAGATTTTGTCACCACCAGGCCTGCCCTAAAAGAGCTCCTGAAGGAAGCACTAAACATGGAAAGGAACAACCAGTACCAGCCACTGCAAAATCATGCCAAAATGTAAAGACCATCAAGACGAGGAAGAAACTGCATCAACTAACGAGCAAAATAACCAGCTAACATCATAATGACAGGATCAAATTCACACATAACAATATTAATTTTAAATGTAAATGGACTAAATGCTCCAATTAAAAGACACAGACTGGCAAATTGGATAAAGAGTCAAGACCCATCAGTGTGCTGTATTCAGGAAACCCATCTCACGTGTAGAGACACACATAGGCTCAAAATAAAAGGATGGAGGAAAATCTACCAAGCAAATGGAAAACAAAAAAAGGCAGGGGTTGCAATCCTAGTCTCTGATAAAACAGACTTTAAACCAACAAAGATCAAAAGAGACAAAGAAGGCCATTACATAATGGTAAAGGGATCAATTCAACAAGAACAGCTAACTATCCTAAATATATATGCACCCAACACAGGAGCACCCAGATTCATAAAGCAAGTCCTGAGTGACCTACAAGGAGACTTAGACTCCCACACAATAATAATGGGAGACTTTAACACCCCACTGTCAACATTAGACAGATCAACGAGACAGAAAGTCAACAAGGATACCCAGGAATTGAACTCAGCTCTGCACCAAGCGGACCTAATAGACATCTATAGAACTCTCCACCCCAAATCAACAGAATATACATTTTTTTCAGCACCACACCACACCTATTCCAAAATTGACCACATACTTGGAAGTAAAGCTCTCCTCAGCAAATGTAAAAGAACAGAAATTATAACAAACTGTCTCTCAGACCACAGTGCAATCAACTAGAACTCAGGATTAAGAATCTCACTCAAAACCGCTCAACTACATGGAAACTGAACAATCTGCTCCTGAATGACTACTGGGTACATAACGAAATGAAGGCAGAAATAAAGATGTTCTTTGAAACCAACGAGAACAAAGACACAACATACCAGAATCTCTGGGACGCATTCAAAGCAGTGTGTAGAGGGAAATTTATAGCACTAAATGCCCACAAGAGAAAGCAGGAAAGATCCAAAATTGACACCCTAACATCACAATTAAAAGAACTAGAAAAGCAAGAGCAAACACATTCAAAAAGCTAGCACAAGGCAAGAAATAACTAAAATCAGAGCAGAACTGAAGGAAATAGAGACACAAAAAACCCTTCAAAAATTAATGAATCCAGGAGCTGGTTTTTTGAAAGGATCAACAAAATAGACCTCTAGCAAGACTAATAAAGAAAAAAAGAGAGAAGAGTCAAATAGACGCAATAAAAAATGATAAAGGGGATATCACCATCAATCTCACAGAAATACAAACTACCATCAGAGAATACTACAAACACCTCTATGCAAATAAACTAGAAAATCTAGAAGACATGGATAAATTCCTCGACACATACACTCTCCCAAGACTAAACCAGGAAGAAATTGAATCTCTGAATAGACCAATAACAGGATCTGAAATTGTGGCAATAATCAATAACTTACCAACCAAAAAGAGTCCAGGACCAGATGGATTCACAGCCGAATTCTACCAGAGGTACAAGGAGGAACTGGTACCATTCCTTCTGAAACTATTCCAATCAATAGAAAAAGAGGAAATCCTCCCTAACTCATTTTATGAGGCCAGCATCATTCTGATACCAAAGCCGGGCAGAGACACAACCAAAAAAGAGAATTTTAGACCAATATCCTTGATGAACATTGATGCAAAAATCCTCAATAAAATACTGGCAAAACGAATCCAGCAGCACATCAAAAAGCTTATCCACCATGATCAAGTGGGCTTCATCCCTGGGATGCAAGGCTGGTTCAATATACGCAAATCAATAAATGTAATCCAGCATATTAAACAGAGCCAAAGACAAAAACCACATGATTATCTCAATAGATGCAGAAAAGGCCTTTGACAAAATTCAACAACCCTTCATGCTAAAAACTCTCAATAAATTAGGTATTGATGGGACGTATTTCAAAATAATAAGAGCTATCTATGACAAACCCACAGCCAATATCATACTGAATGGGCAAAAACTGGAAGCATTCCCTTTGAAAACTGGCACAAGACAGGGATGCCCTCTCTCACCACTCCTATTCAACATAGTGTTGGAAGTTCTGGCCAGGGCAATTAGGCAGGAGAAGGAAATAAAGGGTATTCAGTTAGGAAAAGAGGAAGTCAAATTGTCCCTGTTTGCAGATGACATGATTGTATATCTACAAAACCCCATTGTCTCAGCCCAAAATCTCCTTAAGCTGATAAGCAACTTCAGCAAAGTCTCAGGATACAAAATCCATGTACAAAAATCACAAGCATCCTTATACACGAACAACAGACAAACAGAGAGCCAAATCATGAGTGAACTCCCATTCACAATTGCTTCAAAGAGAATAAAATACCTAGGAATCCAACTTACAAGGGACGTGAAGGACCTCTTCAAGGAGAACTACAAACCACTGCTCAAGGAAATAAAAGAGGATACAAACAAATGGAAGAACATTCCATGCTCATGGGTAGGAAGAATCAATATTGTGAAAATGGCCATACTGCCCAAAGGTAATTTACAGATTCAGTGCCATCCCCATCAAGCTACCAATGCCTTTCTTCACAGAATTGGAAAAAACTACTTTAAAGTTCATATGGAACCAAAAAAGAGCCCGCATAGCCAAGTCAATCCTAAGCCAAAAGAACAAAGCTGGAGGCATCACACTACCTGACTTCAAACTATACTACAAGGCTACAGTAACCAAAACAGCATGGTACTGGTACCAAAACAGAGATATAGATCAATGGAACAGAACAGAGCCCTCAGAAATAATGCCACATATCTACAACTATCTGATCTTTGACAAACCTAAGAAAAACAAGCAATGGGGAAAGGATTCCCTATTTAATAAATGGTGCTGGGAAAATTGGCTAGCCATATGTAGAAAGCTGAAACTGGATCCCTTCCTTACACCTTATACAAAAATCAATTCAAGATGGATTAAAGACTTAAACGTTAGACCTGAAACCATAAAAATCCTAGAAGAAAACCTAGGCATTACCATTCAGGACATAGGCATGGGCAAGGACTTCATGTCTAAAACACCAAAAGCAATGGCAACAAAAGCCAAAATTGACAAATGGGATCTAATTAAACTAAAGAGCTTCTGCACAGCAAAAGAAACTACCATCAGAGTGAACAGGCAACCTACAAAATGGGAGAAAATTTTCGCAACCTACTCATCTGAGAAAGGGCTAATATCCAGAATCTACAATGAACTCAAACAAATTTACAAGAAAAAAACAAACAACCCCATCAAAAAGTGGGCGAAGGACATGAACAGACACTTCTCAAAAGAAGACATTTATGCAGCCAAAAGACACATAAAAAAAATGCTCATCATCACTGGCCATCAGAGAAATGCAAATCAAAACCACTATGAGATATCATCTCACACCAGTTAGAATGGCAATCATTAAAAAGTCAGGAAACAACAGGTGCTGGAGAGGATGTGGATAAATAGGAACACTTTTATACTGTTGGTGGGAGTGTAAACTAGTTCAACCATTGTGGAAGTCAGTGTGGTGATTCCTCAGGGATCTAGAACTAGAAATACCATTTGACCCAGCCATCCCATTACTGAGTATATACCCAAAGGACTATAAATCATGCTGCTATAAAGACACATGCACACGTATGTTTATTGCGGCATTATTCACAATAGCAAAGACTTGGAACCAACCCAGATGTCCAACAATGATAGACTGGATTAAGAAAATGTAGCACATATACACCATGGAATACTATGCAGCCATAAAAAATGATGAGTTCATGTCCTTTGTAGGGACATGGATGAAATTGGAAATCATCATTCTCAGTAAACTATCGCAAGAACAAAAAACCAAACACAGCATATTCTTACTCATAGGTGGGAATTGAACAATGAGAACACATGGACACAGGAAGGGGAACATCACACTCTGGGGACTGTTGTGGGGTGGGGGGAGGGGGGAGGGATAGCATTGGGAGATATACCTAATGCTAGATGACGAGTTAGTGGGTGCAGCGCACCAGCATGGCACATGTATACATATGTAACTAACCTGCACAATGTGCACATGTACCCTAAAATTTAAATAATAAAAGAAATAAACTTAAAAAATTTAAAAAAAAAGCAATAATTGGGAAAGGTGAATATCTTACTTAAGAATCATTGTATTCTGGGATCTTACCTATTGGAATTCTAATGTTTCCATTTTTATTTGCTATATAATAATGATGACATTTTATTTCACAATTGCTGACGTATTGATCTTTCTTTTAAAGCTCTGACTATGCCCCGTTCTTGCTAAAGGACCTACTTTCAATGCCCCTCATTGCCTACAGAATAAAGTACAAAATTCTTGTCTGATATAAAAAAAATATATATATTATACATATATTACGTATACTAATGAGTTTATACTAGTATGTATTTATACTAATGAATTTATACTAATACATATATTTATACTATTTAAGTAATAATGAGTTTATACTAGTATATATATGACTTAATAGTAATGAGTTTATATTATACCAATGCTGATGAGTTTATTCTACTATATATGAGTTTATACTGAATTCAAATATATATTTATTATGCTAATATATAATACAGAGTTTACAGTAACATATGTTTATTATACTAATATACTTTATACTTATACTAGTGAGTTTATACTAGTATATATATGAATTTATACTGAGATCATATTAATGTTATATATAGATATTTGTATTTCTTGTGTATATGTATATGGCATATTTTATGTGTATTACATATATATATATATACATTATATATACCTTTATAAAAGGATTAACTCAAACATAAACATGGGAGAAGAGCCCAACCTCCCTTACAAAAGAATTCCTATTATTCCACCAGACACTTCCCCACTACTCCAAGCAGGAGAAGTCAAGTAGAATATAATCCCCGGTAAGAGAGAGTTGCTCGGATAGTTTGGCCTGGCTTCCAAGGAGGAAATGATAGAACGAGAAACATAGCAACTTCTCTGTGGAGACACCAGGCAGAGGCCACCTCCGCTGAGTCATCGACGTGGAGACACCTGGCAGAGGCCACCTCCGCTGACTCATCAACCCTGGAGACACCTGAGAGAGGCCACCTCCGCCAAGTCATCAACGTGGAGACACCTGAGAGAGGCCACCTCCGCTGAGTCATCAATGCTGGAGACACCCGAGAGAGGCCACCTCCACCGAGTCATCAACACTGGAGACACCTGAGAGAGGCCACCTCCGCTGAGTCATCAATGCTGGAGACACCCGAGAGAGGCCACCTCCACCAAGTCATCAATGCTGGAGACACCTGAGAGAGGCCACCTCCGCTGAGTCATCAATGCTGGAGACACCTGGCAGAGGCCACCTCCGCTGAGTCATCAATGCTGGAGACACCTGGCAGAGGCCACCTCCGCTGAGTCATCAATGCTGGAGACACCTGGTAGAGGCTACCTCCGCTGAGTCATCAACACTGGAGACACCTGAGAGAGGCCACCTCCGCTGACTCATCAACCCTGGAGACACCTGAGAGAGGCCACCTCCGCCAAGTCATCAACGTGGAGATACCTGAGAGAGGCCACCTCCGCTGAGTCATCAATGCTGGAGACACCTGGCAGAGGCCACCTCCGCTGAGTCATCAATGCTGGAGACACCTGGCAGAGGCCACCTCCGCTGAGTCATCAATGCTGGAGACACCCGAGAGAGGCCACCTCCGCTGAGTCATCAATGCTGGAGACACCTGAGAGAGGCCACCTCCGCTGAGTCATCAATGCTGGAGACACCTGAGAGAGGCCACCTCCGCTGAGTCATCAATGCTGGAGACACCTGACAGAGGCCACCTCCGCTGAGTCATCAATGCTGGAGACACCCGAGAGAGGCCACCTCCGCTGAGTCATCAATGCTGGAGACACCTGAGATAGGCCACCTCCACTGAGTCATCAATGCTGGAGACACCTGAGAGAGGCCACCTCCGCTGAGTCATCAATGCTGGAGACACCCGAGATAGGCCACCTCTGCTGAGTCATCAATGCTGGAGACACCTGAGAGAGGCCACCTCCGCTGAGTCATCAATGCTGGAGACACCCGAGATAGGCCACCTCTGCTGAGTCATCAATGCTGGAGACACCTGGCAGAGGCTACCTCCGCTGAGTCATCAATGCTGGAGACACCTGGCAGAGGCCACCTGTGCTGAGTCATCAACGCTGGAGACACCTGGCAGAGGCCACTTCCACCAAGTCATCAATGCTGGAGACACCTGTTGGAGGCCACCTCCACGTCGCATGGGCAGGTACAAGATGTCAACGGGACGTCTTCAGCGATACCAGCATTGATGACTCCAGTTCCCTCTGTGGTCCGCTTCCCACCCTCCTCAGCCCCTAGCCTGAACCTGGAAAAACGTGATGGACATTTCTCAGCACACCTGTACCACGACTCTTCAAAATCGTCAAGCTCTTAAAAACAAGGGAATTGGCCAGGCGCGGTGGCTCACGCCTGGAATCCCAGCACTTTGGGAGGCCAAGTAGGGCGGATCACGATGTCAAGAGATCAAGACCATCCTGGCTAAAACGGTGAAACCCCATCCGTACTAAAAATACAAAAAATTAGCAGGGCGTGGTGGCGGGTGCCTGTAGTCCCAGCTACTCAGGAGGCTGAGGCAGGAGAATGGCGTGAACCCGGGAGGTGGAGGTTGCAGTGAGCCGAGAACGCAACACTGCACTCCAGCCTGGGCGATAGAGCAAGACGGCGTCTCAAAAAAAAAAAAAAAAAAAAAACAAGGGGCGTTTGAGGAGCTCTGCAGAGACTGCAGAAAGCCAAGACCAGGCAGTGACTAAGTGCAATATGGCACCCTGGATGGGAACTTGAATCTAAATAAAAGAAAGGACCGGAAAATCTGGCGAAATGCAAACACACTCTGCAGACTTGCTAATCGTGTTGCATCGCCGTTGACGTCTCATTGTGATAAATGCACCCAGGTTATGTAAGATAGCAGAGGAAGCTGACTGAGAGGGGTGCGAAGGACTTTCTGTACTGTTTTTGTAATCCTCCTGTAAGTCTGCAGTTGTTCCAAAATTTAAAAGTGTAGAAGGTGCAGCTATGAAAATGAATGAGATCATGTCCTTTGCAGGGACATGGATGAAGCTGGAAGCCATCGTGCTCAGCAAACTCACACAGGAACAGAAAACCAAACACCGCATGTTCTCACTCAAAAATGGGAGTTGAACATCAAGAACACATGGACACAGGGAGGGAACATTACACACCGGGGCCTGTTGGGGGCTGGGGGGCAAGGGGAGGTATTTGTCCTAATGCATGCAGGGCTTAAAACCTAGATGACAGGATGACAGGTGCAGCAAACCACCATGGCACACGTGTACCTATGTAACAAACCTGCACGTTCTGCACATGTACCCCAGAACTTGAAGTAAAATAAAATAAAATTTTTAAAAGACAGTTTAGAAGGTTGACTTATCAATTTTAAAAACGCAAAGCCAAAGTGGATGACTGGCTTGACATTATCTGCCATTTTCCCATGAATATTCCAGTTAATAATGAGAATTTTGACAGCAAAAGAGAAAAAAAGTCAAGCTTGATTTTATTTCATAAAAGCTATTAGGAATGGCCAACTCATAACTAACATGGTTAGATATTCAGAAGATTCATTATGAGAAACCTGAATTTCTCTACTAATGAATTATGCAAATATAGGAACCCTATAGGAATATAGGAACTGCCTCAGCCTCCCGAGTAGCTGGGATTACAGGCATGCACCAACATGCCTGGCTAATTTTTTGTATTCTTAGTAGAGACGGGGTTTCACCATGTTGGCCAGGCTGGTCTCAAACTCCTGACCTCACGTGATCCACTTGCCTTGGCCTCCCGAAGTGCTGGGATTACAGGTGTGAGCCATTGCACCTGTCCTCCAATTTTTAAAAATGCTTTTCATCTGCATATTTTTCAAATCACATGGCTACTTTAAAACATGCTTATGTTCATATACATAAGACACTTACAAACTAAAAGGTCAATTGATCTCTAATCTTCCATCTGGATCTCTACCTGTTCTCTATACATTGGCATGTAAGGAAATTGGGGTATTTTTCCTAATGAAATCACAGAGAGACCATTCATTGGAAAGGAAAATAGAAAGTGTAGGAAACATGTTAGTTCTTGGCTGTTCCCTAAGAAAAAGAAAAAACTGGGAAGTCATAAACTTCATCATTGTACCTTGACATCTTGTATCTCGAATATTATTCAGCCAAAAAAAGGGAATGAAGTCCTCATCGTATTAGTTACAATAGCTACGATATGGAATAACCCAAGTATCTATGAACATGGAGGAATAGATCATGGTCCACCCATAGAGAAGACTATTACTCAGCCGTGAAAAGGAATAGGAAGTCTTTGTGTTATTCACAATAGCTAAGGTATGGGATAACCCAAGTGCCTATCAACAGATGAATGGAGGAATAGATCATGGTCCACCCATACAGGAGAATGTTACTCAGCCATGAAAAGGAATAAGAAGTCTTTGTGTTATTCACAATAGCTAAGAGGTAGGATAACCTAAGTGTCTATCAATAGATGATTGGAGGAATGGAACATGGTCCACCCATACAGGGGAGTATTACTCAGCTATGAAAAGGAATATGAAGCCTTTGTTATTCACAACAGTTAACGTATAGGATAACCGTAGTGCCCATCAACAGATGAATGGAAGAACAGAACATGTTCCACCCATACAGGGGAATATTACTGAGCCATAAAAAGGGAATGAAGTCCTCACTGCAATAGTTACAATAGGTAAAATATGGGATAACCCAAGTGTCTATCAATAGATGAATGGAGGAACAGAATGTGGTCCACCCATACGGGGAATATTACTCAGCCATGAAAAGGAATAGGAAGGCTTTGTGTTATTCACAACAGCTAAGTTATGGGATAACCCAAGTTCCCATCAACAGATGAATGGAGGAATAGATCATCGTCCACCCATACAGGAGAATATTACTTAGCCATAAAAAGGGAGTGAAGTCCTCACTGTATTAGTTACAATAGCTAAGATATGGGTGTCTATCAATAGAGGAATGGAAGAACAGAAGATGGTCCCCCCATGCAGGGGAATATTACTCAGCCATGAAAAGGAACGTGAAGTCTTGGCATTATTCATAATAGCTAAGTTATGGGATAACCCTAGTGCCCATCAACAGACGAATGGAGGAACAGAACATGGTCCACCCATACAGGGGAATATTACTCAGCCATAAAAAGGAAATGAAGTCCTCACTGCAATAGTTACAATAGGTAAAATATGGGATAACCCAAGTGTCTATCAATAGATGAATGGAGGAACAGAATGTGGTCCACCCATACGGGGAATATTACTCAGCCATGAAAAGGAATAGGAAGTCTTTGTTTTATTCACAACAGTTAAGGTATAGGATAACCCTAGTGCCCATCAACAGATGAATGGAAGAATAGAACATGGTCCACCCATAGAGGGGAATATTACTCAGCCATGAAAAGGGAATGAAGTCCTCACTGCAATAGTTACAATAGGTAAAATATGGGATAACCCAAGTGTCTATCAATAGATGAATGGAGGAACAGAATGTGGTCCACCCATACAGGGAATATTACTCAGCCGTGAAAAGGAATAGGAAGGCTTTGTGTTATTCACAACAGCTAAGTTATGGGATAACCCAAGTTCCCATCAACAGATGAATGGAGGAATAGATCATCGTCCACCCATACAGGAGAATATTACTTAGCCATAAAAAGGGAGTGAAGTCCTCACTGTATTAGTTACAATAGCTAAGATATGGGTGTCTATCAATAGAGGAATGGAAGAACAGAAGATGGTCCCCCCATGCAGGGGAATATTACTCAGCCATGAAAAGGAACGTGAAGTCTTGGCATTATTCATAATAGCTAAGTTATGGGATAACCCTAGTGCCCATCAACAGATGAATGGAGGAACAGAACATGGTCCACCCATACAGGGGAATATTACTCAGCCATAAAAAGGAAATGAAGTCCTCACTGCAATAGTTACAATAGGTAAAATATGGGATAACCCAAGTGTCTATCAATAGATGAATGGAGGAACAGAATGTGGTCCACCCATACGGGGAATATTACTCAGCCATGAAAAGGAATAGGAAGTCTTTGTTTTATTCACAACAGTTAAGGTATAGGATAACCCTAGTGCCCATCAACAGATGAATGGAAGAATAGAACATGGTCCACCCATAGAGGGGAATATTACTCAGCCATGAAAAGCGAATGAAGTCCTCACTGCAATAGTTACAATAGGTAAAATATGGGATAACCCAAGTGTCTATCAATAGATGAATGGAGGAACAGAATGTGGTCCACCCATACGGGGAATATTACTCAGCCGTGAAAAGGAATAGGAAGGCTTTGTGTTATTCACAACAGCTAAGTTATGGGATAACCCAAGTTCCCATCAACAGATGAATGGAGGAATAGATCATCGTCCACCCATACAGGAGAATATTACTTAGCCATAAAAAGGGAGTGAAGTCCTCACTGTATTAGTTACAATAGCTAAGATATGGGTGTCTATCAATAGAGGAATGGAAGAACAGAAGATGGTCCCCCCATGCAGGGGAATATTACTCAGCCATGAAAAGGAACGTGAAGTCTTGGCATTATTCATAATAGCTAAGTTATGGGATAACCCTAGTGCCCATCAACAGACGAATGGAGGAACAGAACATGGTCCACCCATACAGGGGAATATTACTCAGCCATAAAAAGGAAATGAAGTCCTCACTGCAATAGTTACAATAGGTAAAATATGGGATAACCCAAGTGTCTATCAATAGATGAATGGAGGAACAGAATGTGGTCCACCCATACGGGGAATATTACTCAGCCATGAAAAGGAATAGGAAGTCTTTGTTTTATTCACAACAGTTAAGGTATAGGATAACCCTAGTGCCCATGAACAGATGAATGGAAGAATAGAACATGGTCCACCCATAGAGGGGAATATTACTCAGCCATGAAAAGGGAATGAAGTCCTCACTGCAGTAGTTACAATAGGTAAAATATGGGATAACCCAAGTGTCTATCAATAGATGAATGGAGGAACAGAATGTGGTCCACCCATACGGGGAATATTACTCAGCCATGAAAAGGAATAGGAAGTCTGTGTGTTATTCATAATAGCTAAGGTATGGGATAACCCAGGTGCCCATCAACAGATGAATGGAGGAACAGAACATGGTCCACCCATATGGGGAATATTACTCAGCCATGAAAAGGAATATGAAGTATGTGTGTTATTCACAATAGCTAAGGTATGGGATAACGCAGATGCCCATCAACAGATGAACAGATGAAGAAAATGTGGTATATACTCACAGCAGAACACTATTCAGGCTTTAAAAGGAAGACAATCCTGTCATTTTTGACCACGTGGAAATGAACCTGGAGGACATTATGTTGACTGAAATAAGCCAGTCACAGAAAGACAAATACCACATGATCTCACTTCTACATAGAATCAAAAAAATTGAAATTATAGAATCAGAGCATAGAACCATAAATCATAGAATCATAGAATGGTGGTTACCAGGCGCTGGAGAAGGTTGGAAGATGTTGGTCAAAAGATACAACGTGGCCCGGCGCGGTGGCTCACACCTGTAATCCCAGCACTTTGGGAGGTCAAGGCAGGCAGATCACAAGGTCAAGAGATCCAGACCATCCTGGCTAACACGGTAAAACCCTGTCTCTACTAAAAATACAAAAAATTAGCCAGGCGTAGTGGCACACGCCTGTAGTCCCAGTTACTTGGGAGGCTGAGGCAGGAGAATCACTTGAACCCGGGAGGCGGAGCTTGCAGTGAGCCAAGATTGCACCACTGCATTCTAGCCCGGGTGACAGAGTGAGACTCCATCTCAAAAAAAAAAAAAAAAAAAAGATACAAAGTTTAGTTAGAACGTATACATTAAAAAGCTCTATTGTACATCATGGTGACTAGAGTTTATAATGATGCATTATTATTATTATTATTATTTTTTGAGACAGAGTCTCGCTCTGTCACCCAGGCTGGAGTGCAGTGGTGCGATCTCAGGTCAATGCAACCTCCACCTCCCGGGTTCAAGCAATTCTCCTGCCTCAGCCTCCTGAGTAGCTGGGATTACAGGCACATGCCATCCACGCCTGGCTAATTTTTGTATTTTTTGTAAAGACAGGGTTTCAGCATAGCGGCCAGGCTGGTCTTGAACTCTTGGACTCAATCGACCCACCCACCTCAGCCTCCCAAAGTGCCGGGATTACAGGCGTGAGAGCCACTGCGCGCAGCCACCATGTATTATATTCCTGAAAATCACTAATAGAGTACGTTTCAAGAGTTCTCTCACAAAAATAGTAAGTATGTGAGGTTATGCAAATGTTATTTTGCTCAATTTAGCCATTTCACGATGTATACATATTTCAAAACATCATGCTGTATATAGTACATCTGTACAATTGTCTGTCAATTAAAAAGTTAAATCATAAATAGGCTGAGTGCAGTGGCTGACACCTGTAATCCCAGCACTTTGTGAGGCCAACACAGGTGGATCACCTGAGGTCAGGAGTTGGAGACCAGCCTGGCCAACATGGTGAAACCCTGCCTCTACTAAAAATACAAAAATTAGCCCTTGTAGTGGTGTGTGCCTGTAGTCCCAGCTACTGGGGAGACTGAGGCAGGAGAATCACTTGAACCCGGGAGGCGGAGGTTGCAGTGAGCTGAGATTGCATCACTGCACTCCAGCCTGGGAGACAGATTGAGACTGTGTCTCAAAAAAATAAATATATAAAAATACATCAGAAATAAACCTTTGAAAATATTCCAGATCATTCTGCAAATATAAAAATAGTAATACCTCCATATAAAATTTTTTAAAGAAAGATTTTAAAAAGTCCTGATATAGGAAACAACGGGAATGAACCTTGAAGATATCATGGCCAGTGAAAGACACCAGACACAGAAGGCCACAGAGTGTCTGATTCCATTTCTCTGAAACGTCCAGAAAAGACAAATCCATAGAGCTAGAAAATGGATTCGTGCTTCCTCGGGGCTGAGGGCAGGAGAATGGGAGCAAATGATTAATGGATAAAAGAGTTTCCCTTTGGGGGGATGAAAATATTTTGAAAGTAGAAAGCAACAGTGGTTGTACAACATTGTATTTGCTTGTTTGTTTTGAGATGGAGTCTCGCTCTGTCGCCCAGGCTAGAGTGCAGTGGCACAATATCAGCTCACTGCACCCTCTACCTCCCAGGTTTAAGCGATCCTCCTGCCTCAGCCTCCTGAGTAGCTGGGACTACAGGGTTCCACCACCATGCCCAGCTAAATTTTTTGTTTTTTTTGTTTGTTTGTTTTCAGAGATGGAGTCTCGCTCTATCACCCAGGCTGGAGTGCAGTGGCGTGATCTCAGCTCACTGCAACCTCCGCCTTCTAGGTTCAAGCGATTCTCCTGTCTCAGCCTCCAGAGTAGCTGGAATTACAGGCGCCCACCACCATGCCCAGCTAATTTTTGTATTGTTAGTAGAGACAGGGTTACCCACATGGGCTATGCCTGTCTCGAACTCCTGACCTCAGGTCATCCGCCACCCCCACCCCCAACCCCAGGTGCTAGGATTACAGGTGTGAGCCACTGCACCTGGCTAATTTTTGTATTTTTAGTAGAGACAGGGTTTCTCCATGTTGGTCAGGCTGGTCAAGAACTCCTGACCTCAGGTGATCCACCCGCCTTGGCCTCCCAAAGTGCTGGGATTACAGGCGTGAGCCACCGCGCCCGGCCTGTGCTTTTGTTCCCTGGTACTCACGGTGAATTTTGTGATGTGTATTTCACAATTAATTTTTACAAAACCACAACAGACAAACTTATGCAGGCCTGACACGCCGGCTTTTCCACTGTGGTTGTAGTTCAGCTTTCAAGAACATCGCTCGAGGGAGAGGCGATTGCTGGTGAGAAATATTATAAAATAAGCCAGATATGGTGGTGTGTGCCCGTAGCTCCATTTACTCAGGAGGCTGAGGTAGGAGGATCGCTTGAACCTGGGAGGTGGAGACTGCGGTGAGCTATGATTGTGCCACCGCACTTCAGCCTGAGCCACAGAGTGAGACACCATCTCTAAGAGAAAAAGAAAAAGGGCCGGGCATGATGGCTCATGCCTGTCATCCCAGCACTTTGGGAGGCCGAGGCGGGCGGATCACGAGGTCAGGAGATCGAGACCATCCTGGCTAACACGGTGAAACCCCGTCTCTACTAAAAATACAAAAAAATTAGCCGGGCGTGGTGGCGGGCGCCTGTAGTCCCAGCTACTTGGGAGGCTGAGGCAGGAGAATCGTTTGAACCCGGGAGGCGGAGGTTGCAGTGAGCCAAGATTGTGCCACTGCACTCCAGCCTGGGCCACAGAGCGAGACTCCATCTCAAAAAAAAAAAAGAAGAAAAAAGTCAACATGTATTCTTGCAGAATTCTTTTGCTTGCTTCACTTAGTGAAGGATGGTGCAGGGGAGTCAAAAATCTCTTAGGAAAAAAGAGCAAAATGCTGACTTTCTTTTTCTCTTTCAACATTTTTAGAGATGGGGTCAGACTATGTTGCTCAGACTGATCTCGAACACCTGGTCTCAAGCGAGCCTATGGCCTCAGCCTCCCAAAGTGCTGGGACTACAGACACAACCACACATAGCTAATTAAAAGAAAAAAAAAAAGGCCGGGCGCGGTGGCTCACACCTGTAATCCCAGCGCTTTGGGAGGCCGAGGCGGGTGGATCACGAGGTCAGGAGATCGCGACCATCCTGGCTAACATGGTGAAACCCCGTCTCTACTTAAAATACAAAAAAATTAGCTGGGTGTGGTGGCGGGCGCCTGTAGTCGCAGCTACATGGGAGGCTGAGACAGGACAATGGCATGAACCCAGGAGGTGGAGCTTGCAGTGAGCTGAGATCGCACCACTGCCCTCCAGCCTGGGAGACACAGCAAGACTCGTCTCAAAAAAAAAAAAAAAAAAAAATTGGGGCCGGGTACAGTGGCTCCCGCCTGTAATCCCAGTACTTTGGGAGGCCAAGGTGGGTTAATCACCTAAGGTCAGGAGTTTGAGACCAGCCTGGCCAACATGGTGAAACTCCGTCTCTACTAATAATATAAAAACTAGCCAGCCACAGTGGCAGGCACCTGTAATCCCAGCTACTCAGGAGGCTGAGGCAGAAGAATCGCTTGAACCCAGGAGGCAGAGGTTGCGGTGAGCCAAGATTTTGTATGAACACTTCTATTTTTTTTTTTTGGAGTTAATTTTTTTTTTAATTATACTTCTAAGTTCTGGGGTACGTGTGCAGAACGTGCAGGTTTGTTACATAGGTATCCACGTGCCATAGTGGTCTGCTGCACCCATCAACCCATCATCTACCTTATGTATTTGTCCTAATGCTATCCCTCCCCTAGCCCCCCGACTGGCCCCAGTGTGTGACATTCCCCTCCCTGTGTCCATGTGTTCTCATTGTTCAACTCACACTTATGAGAACATGCCGTGTTTGGTTATTTTTTTACTTTTTTTGAGACAGAGTCTCGTTCTGTTGCCCAAGCTGGAGTGCAGCGGTGTGATCTCAGCTCACTGCAACCTCCGCCTCCCGGGTTCAAGCAATTCTCCTGCCTCAGCCTCCCAAGTAGCTGGGATTACAGGCACATGCCACCACACCTGGCTAATTTTTGTATTTTTTGTAGAGACAGGGTTTCAACATAGTGGCCAGGCTGGTCTTGAACTCTTGAACTCAATCAACCCACCCACCTCAGCCTCCCAAAGTGCTGGGATGACAGGCGTGAGCCACCGCGCCCAGCCACCGTGTATTATATTCCTGAAAATCACTAACAGAGTACATTTCAAGGGTTCTCTCACAAAAATGATAAATATGTGAGGTTATGCGAATGTTATTTTGCTCAATTTAGCCATTTCACGATGTATACATATTTCAAAACATCATGCTATACATGGTACATCTGTACAATTATTTGTCAATTAAGTTAAATCATAAATAGGCTGGGCGCAGTGGCTGACACCTGTAATCCCAGCAGTTTGGGAGGCCGACGCAGTGTGTTAGTTTGCTGAGAATGATGGTTTCCAGCTTCATCCATGTCCCTGCAAAGGACATGAACTCATCCTTTTTTATGGCTGCATAGTATTCCATGGTGTGTATGTGCCACATTTTCTTTATCCAGTCTATCATTGATGGACATTTGGGTTGGTGCCAAGTCTCTGCTATTGTGAATAGTGCCGCAATGAACATACGTGTGCCTGTGTCTTTATAGTAGCATGATTTATAGTCCTTTGGGTATATACCCAGTAACGGTGACAAACGTTGCCATTTTAAGTTCCTGCTCCCTTGCTAACCTCATGCATTTCAAGAAAATCTCTTCTAACAACAAGCAGCCAGAAAAAGCAAACTGTAAAACACAAATAAAACAGCTCGGGCACAAAGGGAGGGAGAAGAATTTCTTGCTTAACCACCAAACTTCAAACTCATACAATGGGCCCTAATAAGCACATTCCTTTCCTTTTAGGTGCACTAAAATAGAAAAGCCGAAGGGAAACTTGGGGGTGGGTATGCCTGCAGCTGCAGGAAAAAAACAAATTAAAAAAGGAAAAAAACAAACACAGGCCAGGGGCAGTGACTCACGCCTGTAATCCCAGCACTTTCGGATCACCTGAGGTCAGGAGTTCGAGACCAGCCTGGCCATCATGGAGAAACCCCGTCTCTACTAAAAATACAAAATTAGCCGGGCGTAGTGGCGGGTGCCCGTAATTCCAGCTACTCGGGAGGCTGAGGCAGGAGAATCGCTTGAACCCGGGAGGCGGAGGTTGCAGTAAGCTGAGATCAGGCCACTGCACTCTAGCCTGGGCAACAAGAGCAAAACTCCGTCTCAAAAAATAAATAAATAAATAAATAAATAAATAAATAATACAAAAATTAGCCAGGCGTGGTGGTGCATGCCTGTAATCCCAGCTACTCAGGAGGCTGAGGCAGGAGAATCACTTGAACCCGTGAGGTGGAGGTTGCAGTGAGCCAAGATCGTGCCACTGCACTCCAGCCTGGGCAACAAGAGTGAAACTCCGTCTCCAAAAAAAAAAAAAAAAAAACAAACACACACAAAACTCTCCCTCCCAAATAAGCAAAACAAAAAAACCCACAAAAACATTCCAAGCCTGTAATAAGCTCACCCACCCTAAACCCTTAAGAACTCTTAGGTCTGTTTAAAAAAAACTGCTCCTAACCAAAATTGGCCCAAATCGTCTCTCAGGTTTATTTACCAAAATAAACCTGTCTTTAACTGTTAAGCCGCTTTTCCTATTTCTTTCCTCTTTCTTTAACTCTTACAGCCAGGGGCTGTGGGAGGGGAATGAGGAGGGACTGTTTTTTTGTTGTTGTTGTTTGTTTGATTGCAGAGGGAGTCTCACTCCGTCACCCAGACTGGAGTGCAGTGTCGTGATCTCGGCTCACTGCAAGCTCCTCTTCCCGGGTTCAGACCATTCTCCTGCCTCAGCCTCCCGAGTAGCTGAGATTACAGACGTGCGCCACCACGCCGGGCTGATTTTTGTATTTTTAGTAGAGACGGGGTTTCTCCATGTTGGCCAGGCTGGTCTTGAACTCCTGACCTCAGGTGATCCACAGGCCTCGGCCTCCCAAAGTGCTGGGATGACAGGCGTGAGCCACCGCGCCCGGCCCTGAGAGTGTTTCATGAGGACATAGTTTCAGTTGCGGAAGATAAACAAGCTTGGGAAGTGCAGGGTGGTGAAAACTGCACAATAATGAGAATGTCCTTAATGCTACTGAACTGTACATTTAAAAAAGGTTAAAAACAGGAGTTCAAGAGCAGCCTGGCCAACATGGTGAAAACTCATCTCTACTAAAAATGCAAAAATTAGCCGGGCACGGCAGCACACGCCTGTAGTCCCAGCTACTCAGGAGGCTGAGGCAGGAGAATCACTTGAACCCAGGAGGCGGAGGTTGTAGTGAGCCGAGATCGCGCCACTGCACTCCAGCCTCGGTGACAGAGCCAGACTCCTTCTCAAAAAATAAATAAATAACAGGAAGGGGAATATCACACTCTGGGGACTGTGGTGGGGTGGGGGGAGGGGGGAGGGATAGCATTAGGAGATATACCTAATGTTAAATGACGAGTTAATGGGTGCAGCACACCAGCATGGCACATGTATACATATGTAACTAACCTGCACAATGTGCACATGTACCCTAAAACTTAAAGTATAATAAAGAAAAAAAAAATTAAAAAAAATAAATAAAAAATAAATAAAAAATAAATTACCTTAGGGAAAACTGAAAAATAAATAAATAAATAAATAAATGGCCGGGCACAGTGGCTGATGCCTGTAATCCCAGTACTTTGGCAGGCCAAGATGGGCGGATCACAAGGTCAGGAGATCGAGACCATCCTGGCCAACATGGTGAAACCCCATCTGTGCCTCTGGTCCCAGCTACTCAGGAGGCTGAGGCAGGAGAGTCACTTGAACTCAGGAGGCGGAGGTTGTAGTGAGCAGAGATTACGCCACTGCACTCCAGCCTGGGTGACAGAGCGAGACTCCTTCTCAAAATAAATAAATAAGTAACTAAAAATGGTTAAACAGGTAAATTTTTTTTTTTTTTTTTGGAGCTGGAGTCTCACTCTGTTGCCCAGGCTGGAGTGCAGGGGCGTGATCTCGGCTCACTGCAAGCTCCGCCTCCCGGGTTCAAGCGATTCTCCTGCCTCAGCCTCCCGAGTAGCTGGGACTACAGGCGTCCGCCACCATGCCCAGCTAATTTTTTGTATTTTTAGTAGAGACGGGGTTTCACCGCGTTAGCCAGGATGGTCTCGATCTCCTGACCTCGTGATCCACCCGCCTTGGCCTCCCAAAGTACTGGGATTACAGGCGTGAGCCACCGCGCCCAGCCAAAACAGGTAAATTTTAGGTTACGTATACCTTACCCCCGTAAGAAACTCATTCAAGAATTTCAAAAAATTCAGAACTAAGCACTCTGTACCACCTCCTTTGTTAACTCCATGTCACTATCTCCTGACCCGCATTCCTGCAACCATCTCCTATCCTACCGGCTTACACAGTTGTTCCCCACAATTTACTTTCCCCCCTCCCCTCCCCCCGAGACAGAGTCTCACTCTGTCACTCGGGCTGGAGTGCAGTGGCACCATCTCGGCTCACTGCAACCTCCGCCTGTTGGGTTCAAGCAATTCTTCTGCCTCAGCCTCCCGAGTAGCTGAAATTACAGGTGCGCACCACCTCACCTCACCTGGCTAATTTTTGTATTTTTAGTAGAGACGGGGTGTCACCATGTTGGCCAGGCTGGTCTCGAACTCCAAACCTCAGGTGATCTGCCTGCCTCAGCCTCCCACAGTGCTGGGATTACAGGTGCGCACCACCACACCTGGCTAATTTTTGTATTTTTAGTAAAGATGGGGTTTCACCTTGTTGGCCAGGATGGTCTCGAACTCCCGACCTCAAGTGATCCGCCCGCCTCGGCCTCCCAGAGTGCTGGGATCACAGGCGTGAGCCACCGCACCTGGCTTATAATTTACTCTTGACACCGCTGTAAAGGGATCTTTTAAAAACCTTAGTGAAACGCATGTGAGTGCCCTACTCAAAAATCTACAATCTGTCCATCGAGAGAAGAGTGAAGTAACAAAATATAATTCATTCACATACGACTTCGAGTAACTCTATGTACCTCCCAAAGTCCTCATCTTCAAATATCATCACATTGGATGTTACGGCTCCACAAACGAATTTGGGGAGCAGTACAATTCAGTCCATTCAACGGTGTCTCCTCAAAAAGATATGAGTATGGCTTAACCCCCTAGAACCTGAGAATGGGACCGCGTTTGGTATAAGACTCTTTGCAGAAGTAATCTAGTTAAGGAGTTAGGGATGAGAACATCATGGATTAGGGTGAGCCCCAAGTCCACTATTTGTGTCTTTTTTTAAGACACGGAGTTTCACTCTTGTCCCCCAGTTGGGGTGCAGTGGCACGATCTCGGCTTACTGCAACCTGGCCTCCTGGGTTCAAGCAATTCTCCTGCCTCAGCCTCCCAAGTAGCTGGGACTACAGGCACCTGCCACCATGCCCAGCTAATGTTTGTGTTTTTAGTAAAGACAGAGATTCACCACATTGGCCAGGCTGGTCTCGAATGCCCGACCTCAAGTGATTCACCTGCCTCAGCCTCCCAAGGTGCCACCGCACCTGGGTTTTTTTTTTTTTTTTTTTGAGATGGAGTCTCTCTCTGTCACCAGGCTGGGGTGCAATGGCACGATCTTGGCTCACTGCATCCTCTGCCTCCTGGGTTCAAGTGATTCTCCTGCCTCAGCCTCCTGAGTAGCTGGGATTACAGGTGCCCATCACCACGCCTGACTAATTTTTGTACTATTAGTAGAGAGAGATTCACCATTTGGCCAGGCTGGTCTCGAACTCCTGACCTCGTGATCTGCCTGCCTCGGCCTCCCAAACTGCTGGGATTACAGGCATAAGCCACCATGTCCAGCCTTTTTTTTTTTTTTTTTTAAGAGATAGAGTTTCCCTCTTGTCGCCTACCTGGAGTGCAGTGGTGTGATCTCGGCTCACTGCAACCTGGCCTCCAAAGTTCAAGCAATTCTCTTGCCTCAGCCTCCCGAGTAGCTGGGACTACAGGCACCCACCACCATGCCCGGCTAATTTTTGTATTTTTAGTAGAGACAAGGTTTCTCCATGTTTGCCTGGCTGGTCTCGAACTCCTGCCCTTGGGTGATCTGCCTACCTCGGACTCTTAAAGTGCTGGGATTCCAGGCATGAGCCTATAAAGAGCTGGGATTACAGGCAGCTGATTGTACCTGTATCACTTAGATTTTAACTAGGAAAGCAAAGTCTGTTCAGTGCTTGTCTGAGTATATATTAATACATCTAGAATTCCATGCATTGCCTAAGTCTTTATCATCAAAGAAAATAGCTGTCCAAGAGCAGAAACCACTGATGAATTTGTGAGATGCTTTAGGAATATTTTGCCCAGCTGGCATTCACAGGAGGAGGCAATAGCTTCTTCCGGAGAACACCCGACCAAAACAATCACATTCTTTCTGATTTGTTTAGCTCTGATGTTGTTCAAAACTAGAGCAGATTTTCAGGCAAGACTGAAGTGGAGATAATAAGTCCTCCTTTGTGGGCTGGTGGTCCCTGCTGTCCCAGGAGAAGAGTTAAATCCACTCTTGGGAAGTGCCAAGAAAGCTTCGTGTTTTTTTATTTTTATTTTATTATTATTATACTTTAAGTTTTAGGGTACATGTGCACAATGTGCAGGTTAGTTACATATGTATGCAAGTGCCATGTTGGTGTGCTGCACCCATTAACTCGTCATTTAGCATTAGGTATATCTCCTAATGCTATCCCTCCCCCCTCCCCCCACCCCACAACAGTACCCAGTGTGTGATGCTCCCCACCCTGTGTCCATATGATCTCATGGTTCAATTCCCACCTATGAGTGAGAACATGCGGTGTCTGGTTTTTTGTCCTTGCGATAGTTTGCTGAGAATGATGGTTTCCAGCTTCATCCATGTCCCTACAAAGGACATGAACTCATCATTTTTTATGACTGCATAGTATTCCATGGTGTATATGTGCCACATTTTCTTAATCCAGTCCATGATTGTTGGACATTCGTGTTCTATGCTGCTCTGAATAGTTCCACCGTTAAATAAAAGAGGCAGGGAAAATACACTCCCTCGAGTTTTTTGTAAACCCCAAAATCCCTGGAGAAATAACACACCCCAAGAATAATTCTAAAAATTGGCACGTGCCATGGTGTTACTGTAGCGGAAATCTCAAATGCTCAAAAACAAAGTGGACAATGAAAGAAGGTAATTATGTGGAAATAGAGCCCAGACAAAGAATGCAATACTGTCCCAGAATAAACCGTCACCCATGACTCACACCGGGCGTTCAAGATGTCCACAGACGTGTGGGAAAATGAAACCCAGCCGTCTGCCTTCTCTTCTTTCTTTGAAATCTCTCATCCATCAGCAGCTCTGTTGGGCCATCCCTCCCAAGGCAGGCACCTTTTATCTGAGTGAACTCTCTGGGGCTTTTGCTAGACAAGGGATCAACAGGGCTTTGTCCTCATTCAGAAATGATGAATGTGGCTTTCAGGATTCCTTGGAAAGTAGCAAAAGTGTCAATAGGACTACCTCAAATTAGGCATGATACATGATGCTGTATAGCTTGATTCAAGTTTGCATCAATGACAGGGACACATTATAGATACATCTACAGTACCAGCCCAAAATGAAACAGTCACCGAATACCCTACATAGCTCTGTGATGGGCTAAGACCTGAGACAGACTAGAAAAAGCAGACTGTGAACATACTCTGAGGGAAAAACTACTACAGAAACCTCCTCTCTCTAGTACCTTCCTGGGGCCACTGTAATAATTTAACAAAACTAGAGGCTTAAGACCAGGCGTGGTGGCTCACGCCTGTAATCCCAGCACTTTGGGAGGCTGAGGCGGGTGGATCACAAGGTCAGGAGATCGAGACCATCCTGGCCAACATGGTGAAATCCCGTCTTTACTAAAAATACAAAAATTAGCCGGGCATGGCTAATTTTTTATCTGAGTTCACTCAGATAAAAGGTGCCTGCCTTGGGAGGGATGGCCCAACAGAGCTGCTGATGGATGAGAGATTTCAAAGAAAGAAGAGAAGGCAGACGGCTGGGTTTCATTTTCCCACACGTCTGTGGACATCTTGAACGCCCGGTGTGAGTCATGGGTGACGGTTTATTCTGGGACAGTATTGCATTCTTTGTCTGGGCTCTATTTCCACATAATTACCTTCTTTCATTGTCCACTTTGTTTTTGAGCATTTGAGATTTCCTCTACAGTAACACCATGGCACGTGCCAATTTTTAGAATTATTCTTGGGGTGTGTTATTTCTCCAGGGATTTTGGGGTTTACAAAAAACTCGAGGGAGTGTATTTTCCCTGCCTCTTTTATTTAACGGTGGAACTATTCATAGCAGCATAGACACATAGTAGCTGTAGTCCCAGCTACTGGGGAGGCTGAGGCAGGAGAGTAGCTTGAGCTAGGGAGGCGGAGGTTGCAGTGAGCCGAGATCGGGCCACTGCACTCCAGCCTGGCCACAGAGTGAGACTCTGTCTCAACAACAACAACAAAAAAACTGGAGGCTTAAAACAGTAAGAATTTCTCTCCTCCCAGTTCTGGAGGCAGAAATCTGAGATCAAGGTGTGAGCAGGACCATGCTTCCTCCGGAGGCTCTAGGGGAGGCCCCTTCCTGCCTCTCCCAGCTCCTGGGGACTCCAGGCATCCCTGGGCTTGTGGCCGCATCACTCTACTCTCTGCCTCCATCTCCACGTGGCCTTCTCCTCTGTGTCTGAGTCTCCTTTTCTGTCTCTTACAAAGACACCTGTCATTGTATTTAGGTATATCTGCAAATGCTAAGGTCCCCTTCACAGGCTCTAGAGAGATTAGGACGTGGACATGTATTTTAGGAGAAAATAATTAATCTCATTACACCTTCTAATCATCATATTTTACCCACAGAATTGGCTGATAAATTAAAGGTGTCTTACAGTGTCTACAGCAGCAAAAAACTGTCTGTATATAAGATGGACAAGAATCCCTCCAACACCCCAGAGCAGAAATTAATCTGAGAAATACACCTGCAACTTAATTCAAATATTCATAGAATTCATAAGTTCCTGATTAGGTGAAATCTCTCTTCAAGCTGGTATGTCAAGATATTTATTTTTAATAAATCTCCAAACCCATATCAGAGGTAACAAATTTCCCTTTCCAAATAATACACTTCAGCATCTCCATATATAAATAACATTCGTTATTCAGGAGCATGAAAATAGCAGCAGGGATGAAATAATTCAAACTGGAACATCAAAAGAGAAGAAAATGAAAAACACAGGTTTCAAAGTTTAGAAACTGAAAAAAAAAAAAAAATGAATTGATATATTCCAACCAGAAAAGAAATCGAGAAGGAAGACACATCTGATGATGAGTGTCCACCATCTCTTGAAGTGAACATCAGAATAGCAGAAACTATGCAGCTGCGTGTGAAGCTTATGAGAGGATCAGGTGAGAAGAAGACAAGCCTCCACCCCCACTGGCTGCCTGACAGGGGGTGGGAGGGCAGCCTCTTTGACTATCTAACCCTTCCCTGGATGATACGTGAACTGGGAATTGGCTATAGAGATGGATGCCTGACATTCATTGTCATATGTAGAAAGCTGAAACTGGATCCCTTCCTTACACCTTATACAAAAATTAAGTCAAGATGGATTAAAGACTTAAATGTAAGACCTAAAACCATAAAAACCCTAGAAGAAAATCTAGGCAATACCATTCAGGACATAGGCATGGGCAAAGATTTCATGTCTAAAACACCAAAAGCAATGGCAACAAAAGCCAAAATTGACAAATGGGATCTAGTTAAACTAAAGAGCTCCTGCACAGCAAAAGAAACCATGATCAAAGTGAACAGGCAACCTACAGAATGGGAGAAAAATTTTATAATCTATCCATCTGACCAAGGGCTAATATCCAGAATCTACAAATAACGTAAACAGATTAACAAGAAAAAAACAACCCCATCAAAAAATGGGTAAAGGATATGAACAGACACTTCTCAAAAGAAGACATTTATGCAGCCAACAAACATATGAAAAAAAGCTCCTCCTCACTGTTCACTAGAGAAATGCAAATCAAAACCACAATGAGATACCATCTCACACCAGTTAGAATGGGAATGGCGATCATTAAAAAGTCAGGAAACAACAGATGCTGGAGAGAATTGGAGAAATAGGAATGCTTTTACACTGTGGGTGAGAGAGTAAATTAGTTCAACCATTGTGGAAGACAGTGTGGTGATTTCTCAAGGATCTGGAACCAGAAATACCATTTGACCCCGCAATCCTATTACTGGGTATATACACAAAGGATTATAAATCATACTATAAAGACACATGCACACATATGTTTATTGCTGCACTGTTCACAATAGCAAAGACTTGGAACCAACCCAAATGCCCATAAATGATAGACTGGATAAAGAAAATGTGGCACATAGACACTATGGAATACTATGCAGCCAGAAAAAAGAATAAGCTCATGTCCTTTGCAGGGACATGAACGAAGCTGGAAACCATCATTCTCAGCGAACTAACACAAGAACAGAAAACCAAACACTGCATGTTCTCACTCATAAGTGGGAGTTGAACAATGAGAACACATGGACACAGGGAGGGGAACATCACACACCGGGGCCTGTCAGGGGCTGGGGGTTAGGGAAGGGACAGCTTTAGGACAAATACGTAATGTAGATGACGGGTCAATGGGTGCAGCAAATCACCATGGCACGTGTATACCTATGTAACAAACCTGCACGTTCTGCACATGTACCCCAGGACTTAAAGTACAATGAAAGAAAGAGAGAGAGAAAGAGAGAAAGAGAGAAAGAAAGAGAGAAAGAGAGAGAGAGAAAGAGAAAGAGGAAGAGAGAGAGAAAGAGAGAAAGAAAGAGAAAGAGAGAGAGAGAAAAAGAGGAAGAGAGAGAGAAAGAGAAAGAGAGAGAGAAAGAGAGAAAGAGAGAGAGAAAGAGAAACAGAGAAAGAGAAACAGAGAAAGAGAAACAGAGAAAGAGAAACAGAGAAAGAGAAACAGAGAAAGAGAAACAGAGAGAAAGAGAAAGAGAAACAGAGAGAAAGAGAAAGAGAAACAGAGAGAAAGAGAAACAGAGAGAAAGAGAAAGAGAAACAGAGAGAAAGAGAAAGAGAAACAGAGAGAAAGGGGGAGGGGGAGAGGGAGGGAGAGGGAGGGAGAGGGAGAGAGAGGGAGAGAAAGAGAGAAAGAGAGAGGAGAGAAAGAGAGAGAGAAAGAGAGAGAGAGAGAGAAAGAGAGAAAGAGAGAGAGAAAGAGAGAAAGAGAGAGAGAGAGAAAGAGAAAGAAAAGAGAGAAAAAGAGAAAGAGAGAGAGAGAGAAAGAGAAAGAGAGAAAGAGAGAAAGAGAGAGAAAGAGAGAGAAAGAGAGAGAGAAAGAGAGAGAGAAAGAGAAAGAGAGAGAAAGAGAGAAAGAGAGAGAGGGAGAGAGAGAGAGGGAGAGAAAGAGAGAAAGAGAGGAGAGAAAGAGAGAGGAGAGAGAAAGAGGAGAGAGAGAGACAAAGAGAGAGACAGAGAGACAGAGAGACAGAGAGACAAAGAGAGACAAAGAGAAAGAGAGAGAAAGAGAAAGAGAGAGAGAAAGAGAAAGAAAAAGAGAGAAAGAGAAAGAGAGCAAGAGAAAGAGAGAAAGAGAAAGAGAGAGAAAGAGAGAAAGAAAGCTAGCTTCAATTGGAAAAAAAAAGGATATACCAATTATTATTTTTTTTTCTTCCAGCTCCTAAACGTTGAAACCTGAATCTTTCATGTTCTCCTCTTTTGGTGTCTCTGTTTGAATTAATTCCATCTGTGCTGCTATTTTCCCTCTCCTGAGTAAGGAAAGTTATTTCCATATTGAAATGCTGAAGCGTATTATTTGGAAACTCCTAGGTTTGCTGACTTTCTAGAAGCATTCGCAGAAGACAGCGTGTAGTCACACTCACAGCTACGATTTATTTATTTATTTATTATTTATTTATTTATGTATTTATTTAGAGACGGAGTCTCGCTCTGTCCTCCAGGCTGGAGTGCAGGGTGTGATCTCAGCTCACTGCACACTCCACCTCCCGGGTTCACACCATTCTCCTGCCTCAGCCTCCCGAGTAGCTGGGACTACAGGCACCTGCCACTATGCCTGGCTAATTTTTTTGTATTTTTAGTAGAGATGGGGTTTCACCCTATTAGCCAGGATGGTCTCGATCTCCTGACCTCGTGATCCGCCCGCCTCGGCCTCCCAAAGTGCTGGGATGACAGGCGTGAGCCACCGCGCCCGGCCAGCTATGATTTATTATAGCCAAAGCACACAGAACAAAATGAACAAAGGGAAGATGCACATTGAGAAAAGTTTGGGAAAAGCAAGGGTCAAGCTTCAGAGTCTCCAAGTGGAATCACACACGATATACCCAGTTCTCCGAGCAACAGGTCCTGATCACACATGTCAGTCAAATGCTGTCGACCACAGAAACTCATTGGAGACTCAGCCTAATTGGGGGCTGTTTACTAGGGGCTGGTCCCATAGGCAACCACCCCCAAGTACCTCCCCAAATTCCAGGGTCCCACCCAGAAGGAAAGCAGGTGTTTGGCATAAATCACATTATGAAGAGGCTTTACACAGTGAGGCACCCTTGTCATTTAGGATGGTGAAACTTCTACACGCAAGTTCCCAGACGCCAGCCAGGAGCCAAAGTACCATGCTACCTTATCTAAAGAGAGCAGGATTTTTTTGTTGTTTGTTTGTTTGTTGTTTTTTTGAGACGGAATCTCGCTCTGTCACCAAGCTGGAGTGCAGTGGCACGATCTCAGCTCACTGCAGTCTCCGCCTCCCAGGTTCGAATGATTCTCCTGCCTCGGCCTCCCGAGTAGCTGGGATGACAGGCGCGCACGAGCACGCCTGGCTAATTTTTGCATTTTTAGTAGTGGTGGGGTTTCACCACGTTGGCCAGACTGGTCTCGATCTCTTGACTTCGTGATCCGCCCGCCTCGGCCTCCCAAAGTGCTGGGATTACAGGCGTGAGCCACGAGCCTGGTCTAAAGAGAACAGTTTTCTATATTAATTATTTCTTTATTTTTTGAGACAAGACTGATCAAAGAGACCCTTTCTACCAATAAGATACCAAATTCCCACCTAATTCTGGTATGGCATCAAAGGACAGATAGCAGGCCCTGAAGGAATCAGCATATTTTTCTGCAAAATATATTGTCTTTCACTTATCTTGGCACATCTCCGCAAAGCCATCTCTTGTGGGGGAAATTTGCATTCTGTAAAGAATCCCTATACAAAAATCAGCCGGGCGCGGTGGCAGGTGCCTGTAATCCCAGCTACCTGGGAGGCTGAGGCAGGAGAATCTCTTGAACCCCGGTGGCAGAGGTTGCAGTGAGCCGAGATCCAGCCACTACACTCCAGCCTGGGCGACAGAGTCACACTCCATCTCAAAAAAAAAAAAAGGAAAGAAGGGAAAGATTCCCTGTATTAGTCTGTTCTGATTCTGCTAATAAAGACATGGCTGAGACTGGGTCATTTATAAAGGAAAGAGCTTTAACGGACTCACCATTTCACATGGCTGCAGGAGGCCTCACAATCATGGTGGAAGATGAACACAGAGCAAAGGGACGTCTCCCGTGGTGGCAGGCAAGACGCGGTTTGGTTAGGGAAACTCCCCTTTATAAAACCACAAGATCTCGGGAGACTTAGTCACTCATTAGAACAGCATGGAAAAAACCTGCACCATGATTCAATTACCTCCCACCACGTCCCTCCCAAGACATGTAGGAATTATGGGAGCTATAATTCAGGGTAAGATTTGTGTGGGGACACAGCCAAACCATATCAATCCTCTTCTCTCATCACGTCTTCCCTGGAGAGTCCGACAGCTTTTAACCTCTGATGTGAGACATTTACCCCAGCCTGGCCAACATGGTGAAACCCCATCTCTACTAAAAATACAAAAATTAGCCCGGCTGGGTGGCAGGTGCCTGTAATTCCAGCTACTTGGGAGGCTGAGGCAGGAGAATTGCTTGAACCTGGGAGGCGGAGGTTGCAGAGAGTGGAGATTGTGCCACTGCACTCCAGCCTGGTGATAGAGCGAGACTCTGTCTCAAAACAAGAACAAAACAAAACAGAGAGACATTTACCATCCATTCTTTCTAAGCCTGCTACCTGCTGGCTTCATCTACATCACAAAAACCTTGTCTTCCACAACCCCCATCATGTAAACTGAGGCATTTCTTTCTGCTAAATTGAACGGCATATCAGAAAATCCTTGAATCCACATATGACCCCGAGGCGCCCACGTAGAGATGTCCTACCTTTCTGGCCCAAACCAATGTACGCCTTCCATGTATGGATGTATGTGTTTGTTGCAACGTCTGTCTCCCTAAAATGTGTAAAATCAAGCTGTAACCCAACCACCTTGGGCAATTCTCCAAACCTCCTGAGGCCGTGTCACGGGCCACGGTCCTTAACCTTGGCACAATAAATGTCCATATTGATGAGATCTGTCTCACATAGTTTTTGATTTACAGTTTGCAGATGGCTGCCTTCTCCCTATATCTTGATAGGATTATCCCTCTGTGTGTGTCTGTGTCCCAATATCTTTTTTTTTTTTTTTGAGACAGAGTTTTCACTCTTGTTGCCCAGGCTGGAGTGCAGTGGCACGATCTCAGCTCACTGCAACCTCTGCCTCCCGGGTTCGAGCAATTCTCCTGCCTCAGCCTCTCGAGTAGCTGGGGTTACAGGCATGCACCACCATGCCGGACAAATTTTTGTATTTTTAGTAGAGACGGGGTTTCACCATGTTGGCCAGGATGGTCTCAATCTCTTGACCTCGTGATCCACCCACCTCGGCCTCCCAAAGTGCTGGAATTACATGCGTGAGCCACCGCGCCCGGCCGTTTTTTTTTTTTTTTCGAGACAGAATCTCGCTCTGTTGCTCAGGCTGAAGTGCAATGGCACAATCTCGGCTCACTGCAACCTCCGCCTCCCCGGTTCAAGCAGTTCACCTGCCTCAGCCTTCTGAGTAGCTGGGATTACAGGCACCTGCCACCATGCCAGGCTAATTTTTGTATTTTTAGTAGAGACAGGGTTTTGCCATGTTGGCAAGGCTGGTCTTGAACTCCTGACCTCAGGTGATCCACCCACCTCGGCCTCTCAAAGTGCTGGGATTATAGGCGTGAGCCACCGTCTCCATTCCCAATGTCCTCTTACAAGAACGTCAGTCTTACTGGATCAGGGTCCACCTTAGTAACCTCATTTTACTTTAATAACCTCATTTTACCTTAATAACCTCATTTTACCTTAATTACCTCTTTACATACCCTACCTCCAAATACAGCCACATTCTGAGGCCCTGGGGTTAGGGCTTCAACCTAGGAATTTTAGAGGGGACACAGTTTAGCCCATAAAAAAAGGATCGGCCGGGCACGATGGCTCACGCCTGTAATCCCAGCACTTTGGGAAGCTGAGACGCGCAGATCACGAGGTCAGGAGTTCGAGACCAGCCGGACCAACATGGGGAAACCCCATCTTTACTGAAAATACAAAAAGTTAGCCAGGCATGGTGGTGGGCACCTGTAGTCCCAGCTGCTCAGGAGGCTGAGGCAGGAGAATCAGTTGAACCCGGGAGGCAGAGATTGCAGTAAGCCGAGATCGTGCCATTGAACTCCAGCCTGGGAGGCAGAGTGAGACTCCATCTCAAAAAAAAAAAAAAAAAAAAGAGGCTCACTCTTCTTTATCATTGAGTCGCCTGAATCAGTGAGCAATCCCTGGTCACACCCTTTGGAACTCACCCACAGACTCCTGAGCTGGATTCTCCTGGGCAGGCCTGGGACTCTGCATTGGAACATCTCTCTCTCTAGAGGGTGATTCTCCTGGAGTTAACCCAGCCCCAGCCTGAGGACCACTGCTCTAGAATCTTGCACCCTCCACCCACAGGGGCAAGACTGACACTCAGGGCCCACAGGTTCTGATATCTTCCCGGACTTTCACCCACAGTGCAGAAAAACGCTGAGTGCCAAGGCTCACTGCTACCACGGCACCTGCCGTGATTGGCGCTGATGCTTAGAGACGAGGATATGCTTCTCCTCGTCCTTTTGTGTGCTGGGTCGGGGGTACAGAGGCAGTTGGAAGCTCCTGGCCTCCCACTGGAGGGAAACTCCGATGATTCCACCCTGTCCTTCTTCCCTGAGTCCTCCCGTCCCCTCCCGGAATCCAGGCACCCACAGGTCATCTGTGACTCTCTCAGTCACCCCGCAAACCCACGAGGACCCCTTATTCTCTCTCCTTCGGTGGTGTATCAGACAGGGAAACAGAACCAATAAGATGGAGAAAATCAATAGGAGGTAGATATGATTTTTTTTTTTTTTTTTTGAGATGGAGTCTCACTCTGTGGCCCAGGCTGGAGTGCAGTGGTGCGATCTCGGCTCACTGCAGCCTCCGCCTCCCACGTTCAAATGATTCTCCCGCCTCAGCCTCCCGAGTAGCTGGGACTACAGGTGCCAACCACCATGCCCGACTAATGTTTCTTTTTATTTTTAATAGAGACAGGGTTTCACCATGTTGGCCAGGCTGGTCTCGAACTCCTGACCTCGTGATCCACCCTCCTTGGCCTCCCAAAGTGCTGGGATGACAGGTGTGAGCCACTGCGCCCAGCCTGGAGGTAGATGTTTTATACATACTTATGGACAGACATGTAAACACACATGTAGATAGGTTACAGAGAGATTTTAAGAAATTGGCTACTGGTTTTATACATATAGATATTACATATATATATATATATATATATATATACACACACACACATACACATGCAAAGAGAAATGTTAAGGAATTGTCTATATAGAAGGAATTGTCTATATAGGAAATACATATTGGCTTTAATCACACTTATATAGACACAGGTAGATAGATAGATAGATAATATATATAGAGAGAGAGAGACAAAGAGATTTTAAGGAATTGTCTGTGTAGGAGGTATATGTTGGTTTTTTACATACATATAGATATATAATGTCTATGTAGCTATTTATCTATATATAAATATACACAAAGACAGAGATGTTAAGAAATTCTCAATATTAGGATGTACATATTGGCTTTATCCATACATATCTATATAGAGATATATAATAGCTACATATCTATATGTAGGCCTGGCACGGTGGCTTACGCCTGTCATCCCAGCACTTTGGGAGGCCGAGGCGGGCAGATCACCTGAGGTCAGGAGTTTGAGACCAGCCTGGCCAACACGGTGAAACCCCGTCTCTACTAAAAATACAAAAAATTAGCTGGGCATGGTAGTGGGCACCTGTAGTACCAGCTACTCAGGAGGCAGAGGTGGGAGAATTGCTTGAACCCGGGAGGTGGAGGTTGCAGTGAGCCAAGATCACACCATTGCACTCCAGCCTGGGCAACAGAGCAAGACTCCGTCTCAAAAAAAAAAAAAAGAGGCGGGTGGGGGAGAGAGAGAGAGAGGCAAAGAGATTTTAAGGAATTTCTATGTAGGAGGTATATGTTGGTTTTTTACATGCATATATATATATATATATATACAATATATGTCTATATATACAATATATATCTATATATACTATATATCTATATATATATACAATATATATCTATATAGATACAATATATATCTATATATAAATATACACAGACAGAGACTATCTATACATCTATATATAAAATACACAGAGAGAGAGAGATGTTAAGGAATTATCAGTATAGGAGGTACATATTGGCTTTGTCCATACATATCAATATATAGATATATAATAGCTATATATCTCTATCTAGGCCGAGTACGGTGGCTCACGCCTGTAATCTCAGCACTTTGGGAGGCCGAGACGGGCAGATTACCTAAGGTCAGGAGTTCGAGTCCAGCCTGGCCAACATGGTGAAACCCCGTGTCTAGTAAAAATGCAAAAAATTAGCCAGGCGTGGTGGTGGGCACCTGTAACCCCAGCTACTTGGGAGACTGAGGCAGGAGCATCGCTTGAACCCGGGAGGTGAAGGTTGCAGTGAGCCAAGAACACACCATTGCACTCCAGCCTGGGTGACAGAGCAAGACTCGGTCTCAAAAAAGAGACAGAGAGAGAGGCAAAGAGATTTTAAGGAATTGTCTATGTAGGAGGTATATGTTGGTTTTTACATACATATAGATATATAATGTCTATATATCTATATATAGGTATACACAGAGAGAGAGATGTTAAGGAATTGTCAATATAGAAGGTACCTATTGGCTTTATCCATACAGATCTATATATAGATATATCTATATATATACATACAGAGAGAAAGGAAAGATTTTAAGGATTTGTATACATAATAGGTACATATTGGCTTTATTCATGCATAGCTATATGTAGACATATAATATCTCTATATCTATGTCTATATAAATCTATATACACAGAGAGCGACTTTAAGAAATTAACTATGAAGGAAGTATATGTTGGTTTTATACATACATATAGATATTTGAAGGAGAGACATTTTAAGGAATTGGCTACGTAGGAAGTATATATTGGTTTTATACAGACATCTATAGGTCTTGAGAGAAAGGGAAAGAAATTTGAAGGAATTGTCTAAGTAGGAGGTATATGTTGGTTTCATATATACATGTATTGATATTTGAGAGAGATTTTAAGAAATTGGCTAAGGCCGGGCGTGGTGGCTCACGCCTGTAATCCCAGCACTTTGGGAGGCTGAGGCGGGCGGATCACGAGGTCAGGAGTTTGAGACCAGCCTGGCCAACATGGTGAAACCCTTTCTCTACTAAAAATACAAAAATCAGCCAGATGTGGTGGTGGGCACCTGTAATTCCAGCTACTCGGGAGGCTGAAGCACGAGAATTGCGTGAACCTGGGAGATGGAGGTTGCTGTGAGCCGAGATCGTGCCACTGCACTCCAGCCTGGGCAACAGAGCAAGACTCTGTCTCAAAAAAAAAAAAAAAGAAAGAAATTGGCTAAGTAGGAGGTTTATGTTGATTTTATGCATGCATATATAGATATTTGAGCGAGAGATTTTAAGGAATTGTCTAAGTAGGAGGCATATGTTGGTTTTACACATACATATATAAATATCTAAGAGAGATTTTTAAGGGATTGGCCATGTAGGAGGTATAGCCATGTAGGAGGTATATGTTGGTTATATGCATGCATATAGATATTTGAGAGAGATTTTAAGGAATTGGCTATGAAGGCGGTGTATGTTGGTTTTACGCATGCATATAGATATTTGAGAGAGAGAGATTTTAAGGAATTGGCTATGAAGGCGTTATATGTTGGTTTTATGCATGTGTATACAGATACCTAAGAAAGGAAGATTTTAAGGAATTGGCTCAATGATTCTGGAGGGGAAACACTAAATTCTTCAGGTAGACCAGCAGGCTGCAGAACTCAGGAAGAGTTAATGCTGCAGCTGGAACCCGAATCCCGGGAGGCAGAATCCTTTTGTCCTTGGAAAACATTGGTCTTTGCACTTAAGACCTTCAACTGATGGGACGAGGCCCACCCTCATCGTGCGTGGTCCCTGGCTTCATTCAGACTCTGAACAAAATGTTCATCTCATCTGAAAGATACCTTCACAGCACCATGTAGCCCAGTATCTGACCACATACCAGGTACTGTGGATACAAAATTCACCATTTCAGGCAGTTCACGCTTCAAGACAGCTTGTGTGGATGGTGCCTCACCACCGCCTCCTGGTGTTCATTGAGAATATTACACCCAGGAATGCACCTCTCCCCTTCATACCTTTATGAGTTTTGTTTTTTGTTTTTGTTTGTTTTTGTTGTTGTTTTGGTTTTTTGTTTGTTTGTTTTCTGAGAAGGAGTCTCGCTCTGTCCCCCAGGCTGGAGTGCAGTGGTGAGATCTCAGCTCACTGCAACCTCCGCCTCCCAGGTTCAAGAGATTCTCCTGCCTCAGCCTCCTGAGTAGCTGGGATTACAGGCGCGCACCACTACGCCCAGATAATTTTTGCATTTTTAGTAGAGACAGGGTTTCATCAGGTTAGCCAGGCTGGTCTCGAACTCCTGACCTCGTGATCTGCCTGCCTCAGCCTCCCAAAGTGCTGGGATTACAGGCGTGAACCACCATGCCCGACCCTTTTCATATCTTTTCAAAGCATTTGCAAGTCCCCAGACGAGCTGAATCTCATCTCAGCCTGAGCTCAAACCCTGGAATGGAGATTGTGAATTCCCTTTGGACACAAAGTGAGGGGAGAGGTAAGGCAATTCTGCGGTAGGCAGCATTCTACTAAGAAGTATTCTTATGAAAGGCCAGGCGTGGTGCCTCACGCCTGTAATCCCAGCACTTTGGGAGGCTGAGGTGGGCGGATTACTTGAGGTCAGGAGTTTGAGACCAGCCTGGCCAACATGGCGAAACCCTGTCTCTACTAAAAATACAAGAAATAAGCTGGGCGTGGTGGTGCACGCCTGTAACCCCAGCTACTCAGGAGGCTGAGGCAGGAGAATCACTTGAACCCGGGAGGCAGAGGTTGCAGTGAGCTGAGATGGTGCCATTGCACTCCAGCCTGGGCGACAGAGCGAGACGCCATCTCACACACACACACACACACAGACACACACACAGACACACACACACACACACTGGGCGACAGAGAGAGACTCCATCACACACACACAGACACAAAAGAATTGTTTTTATGAAAGTTAAGACTCAGGGCCAGCATGGTGGCTCACACCCGTAATCTCAGCACTTTGGGAGGCCAAGGTGGGAGGCTCACTTGAAGTCCAGAAGTTTGAGACCAGCCTGAGCAACATACTGACATCCTGTCTATAAAGAAATGATTTTATTTATTTTATTGAAATTTCATTTCAGACAGGGTCTCAGTCTGTCACCCAGGCTGCAATGCCACGATCTTGGCTCAATGCAGCCTCGATGTCCCGGACTCAGGAGATCCTCCCACCTCGGCCTCCCAAAGTGCTGGGATTACAGGAATGAGCCACTGCACCCAGCCAAAAAAATTTTAAAAACACCTAGCCAAGCATGGTGGCACAGGCCTATAATCCTAGCTACTCACATGGCTGAGGCAGGAGGATTGCCTGAGCCCAGGAGTTTGAGACTGCAGTCAGCTAGGATTACACTACTACACTCCAGCCGGGGCAACAGAGCAAGATCCTGTGTCTAAAATAAATAAATGAATAAAAGTTAGACATCAGTGCTTGCAAGAAATTTAGCGTCTTCATTCATTCATTGATTTTCCCACAGTTATCAAATGTCTCCTCTGAGCTAGGGTCCACTCTAACGGGGCCCGATACAGTAACAACCAGTGTTCACAGAAATAGCAAGCTCTCAGCTTCCTTCTCTCCTGCCTCTTAATTTCAAAATCTCTTGCTCACACACATCGGTGTCACACGCGTCCGTGTGAAGAGAGTCCGGGCTGAGTCCATAAAAAAGAGTCAGCAAAGGGTGGCGGGATTATCATTAGTTCTTATAGGTTTGGGATAGGCAGTGGAGTTAGGAGCAATTTTTTCTAGGCAGGGAGTGGATGCCACAAAGGACATTCTCAACGGTGGGGAGAATATTACAAAGTACCTTCTTTTTTTTTTTTGAGATGGAGTCTCGCTCTGTCGCCCAGGCCGGACCGCAGTGGCGCGATCTCGGCTCACTGCAACCTCCACCACCCGGGTTCACGCCATTCTCCTGCCTCAGCCTCCCGAGTAGCTGGGACTACAGGCGCCCGCCACCACACTGGGCTAATTTTTTTGTATTTTTAGTAGAGACGGGGTTTCACCGTGTTAGCCAGGATGGTCTCGAACTCCTGACCTCGTGATCCGCCCGCCTCGGCCTCCCAAAGTGCTGGGATTACAGGCGTGAGCCACCGCGCTCGGCCTACAAAGTACCTTCTTAAGGGCGGGGGAGGATATTACAAAGTACCTTTCCAAGGGTGAGGAGGCTGTATCGTACAAAGTACATTCACAAGGACAGGGGAATATCACAAAGTACACGACTGCAAGGGCGGGGAGGGTGTATTGTCCCAAAGTCAACTGATCAGTAAGGGTGGAGCAGGAACAGATCACAATGGTAGAATGTCATCTTCTGTGGTCCTTCAGTTGCTCCAGGCCATCTAGATGTATACATGCAGGTCACAGGGGTGACCTGACAATCAGTCCACAAAGGAGCTGTCCAAGGCTGCGTCAGTGGCGTGGAAAACAATACGTATGGAAATTTTAAAGACCAGTGTTGGGTCTTTGGCTGTCCTAGACACCTGCGGACGCCTGAAAGTCTGGAAATGCACTGTTTGTAAGAAAAGGCCTTTGAGAGGCAAATGCACCCCTAAGCAGTAACATGAAGTTGGAAGAGGATACACAGAGGAGTTTAGGGATGGAAGAAAGCTTAAAGTGGGTGAGAAGAGCCCGGTGCAGTGGCTCACGCCTGTAATCCCAGCATTTTGGGAGGCCGAGGCGGGCGGATCACCTGAAGTCAGGAGTTCGAGACCAGCCTGGCCAACATGGTGAAACCCCGTGTCTACTAAAAATACAAAAAAAAAAAAAAAAAAAAAAAAATAGCTGGACGTGGTGGTGGGCGCCTGCAGTCCCAGCTACTTGGGAGGCTGAGGTAGGAGAATCGCTTGAACCCGGAGGCGGAGGTTGCAGTGAGCCGAGATCACACCATTGCACTCCGCACTGGGCAGCAGAGTGAAACACCATCTCAAAACAGAAACAAAAAAAAACAAATGGCTGAGAAGGACCAGAGACCCCTCCAAAGGTCCTGCCACCCCCCACCTCGAGGCATGGAAATAAAAAGAAAAATTGTGAGTTTCTTCAAGAGACATTCTGGGCAGCTAGCTAGCCCTACAACCATTCGGGGCGTGAATGAATAACACAGTAAACAAGCAAATAGTAACTCAAACAATAGCCACCCCTAGTAAGCCAGACTCATAAGATGTTTGATTCCCCATAGAAATGAAAGAAAACATAATGATATATGTCTCTGAGTTGTTTTTGTTTTTCTTTCTTCTTTGTTTGTTTGTGAGATGGAGTCTCGCTCTGTCGCCCAGGCTGGAGTGCAGTGGCACAATCTCAGCTCACTGCAACCTCCGCCTCCCGGGTTCATGCCATTCTCCTGCCTCAGCCTCCTGAGTAGCTGGGACTACAGGCACCCGCCACCATGCCGGGCTAATTTTTTGTATTTTTAGTAGAGACGGAGATTCACCATGTTGGCCAGGCTGGTCTCAAACTCCTGACCTTGCGATCCGCCTGCCTCAGCTTCCCAAAGTGCTGGGATTACAGGCATGAGCCACCGCGCCTGCCTGTTTGTTTTTGAGACGGAGTTTCACTCTGTCGCCCAGGCTGGAGTGCAGTGGCGCAATCTCGGCTCACTGCAACCTCCGCCTCCCGACTTCAAATGATTCTCCTGCCTCAGCCTCCCAAGTAACTGGGATTACAGGCACACACCACCAAGCCCGGCTAATTTTTATATTTTTAGTAGACACGGAGTTTCACCATGTTGGCCAGGCTGGTCTCAAACTCCTGACCTCAGGTGATCTGCCCGCCTCGGCCTCCGAAGGAGAGCCTGTCCCAAAGACAGGTTATACCTGTCTCAGCCTTTTCCTGCTCACAGGCGAGTGCCCAGAAAGCCTCATGAACGTTGCTGGAAATGAAAATCATCTCTCTTAGCTTCAAAGAAAGAGGAGTCAGAGGGGGTGAAAAGTGAAGTGGCCGGCACGCCCGGCGGGCTGCGGTGAATGAAATGTCAGGTTTCCAGGTGTAAAACGGTCCCCTGCGGACATCAGAAACAACCTTTCCACTCCTCAGCCTGCAAATGCTCAATTAGACAAACGGAACCTTGTGGCAGCTTTTATCTTTCTCTCTAATGGTCATTAAACGTACTGGCCTTTGATTTTAAAAGTCCAGGACCTGTCCGGGCGCGGTGGCTCACGCATGTAATCCCAGCACTTTGGGAGGTCCAGGTGGGTGGATCACAAGGTCAGGAGTTCGAGACCAGCCTGGCCAATATGGCGAAACCCCGTCTCTACTAAAAGTACAAAAAAATTAGCTGGGCGTGGTGGCACATGCCTGTAATCCCAGCTACTCCGGAGGCTGAGGCGGGAGAATTGCTTGAATCTGGGAGGCGGAGGTTGCAGTGAGCCGAGATTGTGCCACTGCACTCCAGCCTGGGCAACAGAGCAAAACTCCATCTCAAAAACAAAGAAACAGCCGGGCGCAGTGGTTCATGCCTGTAATCCCAGCACTGTGGGAGGTCCAGGTGGGTGGATCACAAGGTCAGGAGTTCGAGACCAGCCTGGCCAATATGGCGAAACCCCGTCTCTACTAAAAATACAAAAAAATTAGCTGGGCGTGGTGGCACATGCCTGTAATCCCGGCTACTCGGGAGGCTGAGGCGGGAGAATTGCTTGAATCTGGGAGGCAGAGGTTGCAGTGAGCCGAGACTGTGCCACTGCACTCCAGCCTGGGTGACAGAGTGAGACTCCGTCTCAAAAAAAAAAAAAAAAAAAGTCCAGGACCTGACTTTCATCCCTGGAGATGTCCCAAGCAAGATAAAAATCCTGTAATCCTTACCAGCGAAAGCACGCCAATTCACCGGGCACAGAAATAATGAATTTCTCTAAACTATTATTATTATTATTATTATTATTATTATTATTATTATTATTTGAGATGGAGTTTCCCTCTTGTTGCCCAGGCTGGAGTGCAGTGGCTGGATCTCGGCTCACTGCAACCTCCACCTCCTGGGCTCAAGCGATTCTCCTGCCTCAGCCTCCCGAGTAGCTGTAATTACAGGTGCCCACCACCACACCTGGCTAATTTTGTATTTTTAGTAGAGATGGGGTTTCTCCATGTTGGTCAGGCTGGTCTCGAACTCCTGACTTCAGGTGATCCGCCTGCCTCGGCCTCCCAAAGTCCTGGGATTACAGGCGTGAGCCACCGCGCCCAGCCGAATTTCTCTAAATTATAAAGCACAGAAGGCAGAAACCACTATGGACAGGTTTGTTCAAGAGTTCTCAGAGCTCCACAGTCGGCTCGGGAACATTTTAGAGAATGCTTGATAAACACAAGGAATGAACAATTCATGATTCTATGAATGAAATGAGTTCATTTCCTTCCCTAATCAAGACGCTGTACTGGGTTAAAATGTATCCCCCCTCCAAAACAAATTCACGTCTACCCAGAACCTCAGAGTGTGTCCTTAATTGTAAGTAGGGTCTTTCTACATGTGATATAGTTAAGGATGTTGAAATAGGATCATCTTGCATTTAACTTGGGTCCTAAATCCACTGACAGGTGTCCTTCTAAGAGACAGAAGAGGAGACACGGACACAGAGGAGAAGGCCATGTGGAGACGGAGGCAGAGACTGGAGTCATGCGGCCACAAGCCCAGGGACACTTGGAGCCCGCAGGAGCTGGGAGAAGCAGGAAGGACCCTCCCCAGAGCCTCCGGAGGGAGCTGCATGTAGTTGAAAGATCTGTTCACGTGCTATTGTCCACAAGCTGCAGTGGGACATTATTTGGAAATAGTGTCTTTGTAGATATGATTACTTAAGTATGTAGAGATGAGGTCATATGGAGTTAGGGTGGACCCTAAATGCAATGACAGGTGTCCTTCTGAGAGACAGAAGAGGAGACACAGACACAGAAGAGAAGGCCACGTAGAGATGGAGGCAGAGATTGCAGTGATGCGGCCAGAAGCCCAGAAATGTCTGAAGCCCCCAGGAACTGGGAGAGGCAGGAAGGACCCTCCCCTAGAGCCTCTGGAGGGAACCAGACACAATTGCAAAGACTTGAATGGTGATCCCCAAAAGATCTGTCCATGTCCTAACCCCCAGAATCTGTGAACCGGACCTTATTTGAAAATAAGGTCATTGCAGATGTAATTAGTTAATGATCTTGAGAGGAGATCATCCTGGAGCAGGGTAGGCCGTAAATGCAATGACAGGTGTCCTCCTAAGAGACAGAAGAGGAGACACAGACACAGAGAAGAAGGCCACGTGGAAACAGAGACAGAGACTGCAGTGATGTAGCCACAAGCCCAGGGATGCCTGGAGCCCCCAGGAGCTGGGAGAGGCAGGAAGGACGCTCCACTGCAGCTTCTGGAGGGAGCTGAATACAACTGGAAGAGATTGAGTGGTGTCCCCCAAAAGATGAGTCCACATCAAAACCTGAGAACCTGTAAATGGGACCATATTTGGAAAAAGGGGTCTTTGCAGATGTAGTTATATTAAGGATCTGGAGATGAGATCATCCTGCAATAGGGTGGGCCCTAAATGCAATGACAGGTGTCCTTTTAACAGACAGAAGAGGAGACACAGATGCAGAGGAGGTGGCCACGTGGAGATGGAGGCAGAAACTGGAGTGATGGGGCCACAAGCTCAGGGACACCTGGAGCCCCCAGGAGCTGGCAGAGGCAAGAAGGACCCTCCCCTAGAGCCTCCACAGGGAGTGTGGCCCTGAGACTCCTGGTCTACAGGACTGAGAGAGAATGAGTTTCTGTTGTTTCAATCCCCTAGTACCTATCAGTGAGACTTTATTTGGAAATACGGTTTCTGCAGATATAATTAATTCAAAAGCTCGAGATAAGATCATCCTGGACAACAGTGGACCCTAACTCTAATGACCACAGTCCTCATAAAAGACAGACGAGGAGACACGGACACAGAGGAGAGGGCCATGTGGAGACGGAGGCAGAGACCGGAGTGATGCGGCCACAAGCCCAGGGACACCTGGAGCCCCCAGGAGCTGGGAGAAGCAGAAAGGACCCTCCCCTAGAGCCTCCAGAGGGAGCACGGCCCTAAGACACGTTGTTCTGAGACTTCTGTTCTCTAGGAGTGAGAGAGAATGAGTTTCTGTTGCCTTAAGCCCCTAGTACCTGTCAGTGACACTTTATTTGGAAACAGCGTGTCTGCACACATAATTAATTCAAGGAGCTTGAGATGAGATCATCCTGTAGGAGAGTGGACATAAATCTAATGACCACTGTCCTCACAAGAGACAGAAGAGGAGGCCGGGAGTGGTGGCTCACGCCTCTAATCCCACCACTTAGGGAGGCCGACGCGGGCAGATCACGAGGTCAGGAGATCGAGACCATCCTGGCTAACACGGTGAAACCCCGTCTCTACTAAAAATATAAAAAAATTAGCCGGGCGTGGTGGCGGGTGCCTGTAGTCCCAGCTACTCAGGAGGCTGAGGCAGGAGAATGGCGTGAACCCGGGAGGTGGAACTTGAAATAAGCCGAGATGGCGCCACTGCACTCCAGCCTGGGCGACAGAGTGACACTCAGTCTCAGAAAAAAAAAAAAAAAAAGAGAGACAGAAGAGGAGACACAGACACAGAGGAGAAGGCCACGTGGAGACGGAAGCAGAGACTGCAGCGATGAGGCCACAAGCCCAGGGACACCTGGAGTCCCCAGGGGGTGGGAGAGACACGATGGACCTTCCCCTAGAGCTTTCGAAAGGAACTGGATGCAACTGAAATGGATTGAACTGTAGTCCAGCAAAAGCTACCTGGCAATGCCTCATGCACAGTCCCTCTCTGCATCTTGAAAGCCAGCTGTATAGCCTCTTCCAATCTCTCTGACTCTGCCCATGCTACCTCCTCTTCTGAGAACCCTGTGAAGACACTGGGTCCATCCAAGATGCAGGATCATGTCCCATCTCCAGATCCTTACCTTTATCGCACCTGCAACATTCATTTTGCCACGTGAAGTCACATGTTCACAGGTGCAGGGATCCAGGAATTAGGATGTGGCCATCATCATGGGTGTTATTTTCCCTACCCATATACCCCAATCCGAGGGATGAACGATAGCTCTGAAGTCAGTGATTATAGCAAGATTACCACCTACCCTTGAAAACATCAAATGTATTGACTTTTAGAGGTTGTGAGGGACCATTCCCTCAAGTCCAAAGACACAAAGACACAAAGGGTCCTTGTCTTGACAAACCCCATCATCCTCGTGTTTTGGAGGGTTTTGTTTGTTTGTTTGTTTTATTGAGATGGAGTTTCACTCTTGCTGCCCAGCCAGTGGCGCGATCTCGACTTACCGCAACCTCCACCTCCCGGGTTCCAGCAATTCTCCTGCCTCAGCCTCCCGAGTAGCTGCGATTACAGGCACCTGCCACCACGCCCGGTTAATTTTTGGATTTTTAGTAGGGACGGGGTTTCACCATGTTGACCAGGCTGGTCTTGAATTCCTGACCTCAAGCGATCCACCCACATTGTCCTCTGAAAGTGCTGGGATTGCAGCTGTGAACCACCGTGCCCTGCCAGCTTTAATGTTAATAGCTGTATTTGTGGTATTTGAATATGTGTTTTTGTTAACCTGACCTGCAATTCCCTAGAGCACTTTTTAAAAGCCTGCTTTATCAAATCTGAAGTTGTACGGAGAAAGGTGATCTTTCTGGTACTTGCTGGAGGTGTTCTATTTTTTTTTTTTGTTAATGTCTCTCAAACTGCCACATGAATGCACCACTTTAAAAGGACTGAATAGTCAAATGTTCATCAAAGCAAAATACAGATACTCCTTGACCTAAAATGGCTTACGTCCTGATAAACCCATTGTAAGTTGAAAAGATCCTTGCTTGAAAAGACATTTAATACAGCTAGCCTTCCAAACATCATCGCTTAGCCTGCCTTAAACACAGTACTCACATTTGTCTACAGTTGGGCAAAATCACCTAACGCAAAGACTATTTTAGAATACAGTATTGACTGTCTCATGTAATTTATTAAATACTGTGCATAACATCAATTTTTTGTTTGTTTGTTTTGAGACAAAGCCTTTCTCTGTTGCCCAGGCCACATTGCAGTGGCGTGATCTCGGCTCACCGCAACCTCCACCTCCCGGGTTCAAGCGATTCTCCTGCCTCAGCCTCCTGAGTAGCTGGGATTACAGGTGCCCGCCACCACACCCTGCTAATTTTTGTATTGTTAGTAGACACGGGGTTTCACCATTTTGGCTAGGCTGGTCTCGAACTCCTGACCTCAGGTGATCCGCCTGCCTTTTAAAAATTAAAAAAAAAAAAGACAAAGAGAGTCTGTCTCTGGAGTGCAGTGGCTGGAGTTCAATGGCGCGATCTCAGCTCACTGCAACCTCCGCCTCCCAGATTTAAGTGATTCTCGTGCCTCAGCCTCCTGAGTAACTGGAATGGCAGGCACTTGCTACCACGCCCGGCTAATTTTTTTTGTATTTTTAGTAGAGACAGGGTTTCACTATGTTGGCCAAGCTGGTCTCAAACTCCTGAGCTCAAGTGATCCACCCGCCTCGTCCTCCTTAAGAGTTGGGATTACAGGCATGAGCCACCACACACAGCCTGAATAAAGTTTTGACAGCATTACTGATTACTGTTCTGAGTGACATTTATTATTTTATATTTTTTTCTTCCCGGAGAGCTATTATGTCCATATGAAAACAATTATTAAAGCGTACAAAATTACAGCTAGACACGTGGAATAAACTCTAGTGTTCTAAAGCCCTGTAGAATGATGATAGTTAACAATAATATATTCTACAGTTTCAAATAGTTGGAAGGAGGATATTAAATGTTCCCTACACAAAGAAATGATGGGCATGGTAGCTCATGCCTGTAATCGCAGCACTTTGGGAGGCCGAGGCAGGTGGATCCCCTGAGGTCAGGAGTTCCAGACCAGCCTGGCCAACACGGCAAAACTCTGTCTCTACTAAAAAAACAAAAATTAGCTGGCTGTGGTGGCACATGCCTGTAATCCCAGCTACCTGGTAGGCTGAGGCAGGAGAATTGCTCAAACCCTGGATGTGGAGGTTGCAGTGAGCCGAGATCATGCCATTGCACTGCAGCCTGGATGAGAGAGCGAGAGAAGAAAGAAAGACAGAAAGAAAGAGAGAGAGAGACCAAAAGAGAGAAAGTGAGACAGAGAGACAGAAAAAGAAAGAGAGAAAGAAAGGGGAGAGAGAGAGAGAGAGAGAACGGAAGGAAGGAAGGAACAAAGGAAGGAAGGAAAGGCAGTTCGACGTGATGGACATGCTATCAATCATCTCATTATAGATTATATGGATCTGATCATTAATTATACATTGATCATTATATGCTATAAGGATCTGATAATTACACACTATATGGATAGAAACATCACTATGTATCCCGTGAATATGTGCCATTTTTCTCAATTAAAAAGAATAAAATAAGGCCGGGTGCGGTGGCTCACGCCTGCAATCCCAGCACTTTTGGGAGGCCGGGTGGATCACGAGGTCAAGAGTTCGAGATCAGTCTGACCAACATGGTAAAACCCCGTCTCTACTAAAAAATATATATATATATATATATATATATATACAAAAAAATTAGCCGGGTGTGGTTGCGCTTGCCTGTAATCCCAGCTACTGAGGAGGCTGAGGCAGGAGAATCGCTTGAACTCGGGAGGTGGAGGTTGCAGTGAGCTGAGATCGCACCACTGTGCTCCAGCCTGGGAGGCAGAGTGAGACTGTCTCAAAAAATAAAAAATTTTTTAAAAAAAGAATAAAAATTTTAAAAAGCACAGAATTTGTATAACTCATTCTGACAAATAAAAGTCACTTGTTCTTTTTTAATCGAATAAATGGATACGAGGTTTTGCTATGTTGCCCACGTTGGTCTCAAATTCCTGGGCTCAAGTGATTCTCCCACCTCGGCCTCCCAGAGTGCTGGGATTACAGGCGTGAGCCACTGTATACGACCTAAAAGTCACTTTTTTTTTTTTTTAATACGGAGTCTTGCTCTGTTGCCCAAGCTGGAGTGCAGTGGCTCGATCTCGGCTCACTGCAAGCTCCGCCTCCCAGGCTCAAGTGATTCTCCTGCCTCAGCCTCCCAAGTAGCTGGGATTACAGGCACCCCCCACCACGCCAGGCTAATTTTTGTATTTTTATTATAGACAGGGTTTCACCATGTTGGCCAGGCTGGTCTCGAACTCCTGACCTCAGGTGATCCTCCCACCTTGGCCTCCCAAAGTGCTGGGGTTACAGGCGTGAGCCACTGCGTACGGCGTAAAAGTCACCTATTTTTAAACAAAAAACAAAAGAACAATGTGACCGAAGAGAACAGCAGTAAATGACACAGAACTCACTCTGCTGCTTTCACAAACCCTCCATGCCCCGCATCTCACCGGATCCCCGGAAGCTGGTGGCCCCAGATGAATTTGTAAGCTTCCTTCCTGCCAATGCTTCGTGCAAGTGCACGCCGGGGCAAGCCCATCGAGAAGCCGAATTGCTTCTGCCGCTTCCCCTCTAAGCGCTGTTGAAACTTGGCAGCAACGTGCCAGGGGGGACCCCTTCCCACTGTGCAGGCGCTGACGTGATTCACAGGGTTCGCTAGATTCGCACTCAACCCAACTCTGGGCTGTGGTGGGCCCTGTGTGATTGACAGCTGCCTGGCTCTATAGCGGGGTGACTTCAGCTAGACTCAGCCAATGGGGAGCAGGTGCAGGGGCTAGGGGGCGGGAAGAGAGAGAGAGAGAGAAGGCCCTGTGTAATTGACATCTGCCTGGCTCTGCTTGACATCACCTGGCTGGGTGACTTCATCAGGGTTCAGCCAATGGGGAGCAGATGCAGGGGCTAGGGGGCGGGAAGAGAGAGAAGGCCCTGTGTAATTGACATCTGCCTGGCTCTGATTGACAGCACCTGGCTGGGTGACTTCAGCAGGGCTCAGCCAATGGGGAGCAGGTGCAGGGGCTAGAGGGCGGGAAGAGAAGGCCCTGTGTAATTGACAGCTGCCTGGCTCTCATTGACATCACCTGGCTGGGTGACTGCAGCAGGGCTCAGCCAATGGGGAGCAGGTGCAGGGGCTAGAGGGCGGGAAGAGAAGGCCCTGTGTAATTGACATCTGCCTGGCTCTGATTGACATCACCCTGGCTGGGTGACTTCAGCAGGGCTCAGCCAATGGGGAGCAGGTGCAGGCACTAGGGGGCGGGAAGACAGAGAAGGCCCTGTGTAATTGACATCTGCCTGGCTCTGACTGGCGTCACCCTGGCTGGGTGACTTCAGCAGGGCTCAGCCAATGGGGTCCAGGCGCAGGGGCTAGGGGGCGGGAAGAGAAAGAAGGCAAAGAACGGATTCCTTCTCCTCTACCTTTAGCCCTGGGCGTCAGGACTTGATAGAACAGCCCCTCCCTTGCTCCTTGAGGTCTGGGATTTGCATCAGCCTCCCTGGCGTTTTCTTCTCATTTGACCCGCCCCCCCTTCTCAGTGACCCTCCTTTTCTCCAAGGCTCTGACGCCACGGAGCAAGAAGTCAGTTCGCCGCCTGTACACTGACCTATGTAGGCAGATATTATTATTATTATATTATTATTACATTTTTATTATTATATTTATATTTCATTTTACTTTATTTTACTTTTTATCTTATTTTATTTTAGAGACAGAGGCTCGTTGTGTTGCCCAGGCTGTAGCGCAATGGTGCAATCTCGGCTCACTGCAACCCCCAACTCCCGGGTTCAAGCGATTCTCCTGACTCAGCCTCCTGAGTAGCGGGGATTACAGGCATGCGCCACCAACCCTGGCTAATTCTTGTATTTTTCAGTGGAGATGCGGTTTCTCCATGTAGGCCAGTCTGGTCTCGAACTCCTGACCTCAAGCGATCCGCCCGCCTCGGCCCCCCAAAGTGCTAGGATTACAGGCTTAAGGGTCATTTTTAAGAAGACTCCTTGTTCAAAGAAGTCTGCTGAGCAGTGAGTTTGTGCTAAAACAGCTTGCGAAGCTCGGAGAGGAGACTGTTCGCATTCCCGAACTCGTGTTGGGTCACACACGCCGCTGTTGGGAAGACAATGGCACCTGCCGCTCAGACCCATCGAGGCCGGACAGGGGTTTTATCAAGGTCAGCCCCAGGTCGCTTCCCGTCTGTAAATGGAGTCTCGTGGTGCCCGAGGTCGGGGGTGGCGATGCCCGGAGATCGTGCAACGGCTCCTGGGAGGTAGGAAGATCTCTGGTGCCGTCCGGGTGCACTCTGGGTGTGAGCACTAACCAGCGAGCCCCCTGGCCTGCAGAGACGGCCTTTCCTCCACACTCAGGTCACCTGTGAGGAATGTACCTATGGCCCAAGAAGCCGAGATGGCCCAGAGCGCAGGGCTCTCTCGGGGCAGGTTGTGCTTTTTCACACCTCGGACGCTGCCCTGCTGTTCCCTCCGCTACCACATCCACCCAGGGCTGAACGCACCAGGCTCGTTGCCACCAGGCCTCACCTGGGACCACACAGAGAGTGTCTGCCTGTGCCCCTCCTCTCACACACACAAATCAGCATGTGCCTATACACATACGCACTTGCACATACACGCACACACATAGATGCACACATGCAGACACACGTATACACACATGTGCAAATGCTCACATTCACATACACAAATACAAATACAAATGCATACAGACACTAACAGGCATACACACTCATACATATCCATATCTACACACACCCAAATATACACATGCACAAACACATACACACAAATGCATACAGACACCAGCATACACGTGCATACATATCCATATGTACACACACAAAGGCACACATGCACATATGCACACATACACACAAATGCATACAGACACTAATATACATGCTCATACATATCCATATCTACACACGCAAATATACACATGCACATACACACAAATGCATACAGACATTAATATACACGCTCATCCATATCCATATCTACACACACAAATGCACACATGCACATATGCACAAATGCATACACAAACAACTGCACACACACTAGCATGCATATACACACACATGCACACACACAGACACCCAAATATACACATGCAGAAACACACTCATGTGCAAATACATAATACACTTACACAGACATAAATACACAAATATAAACACACACATTCACATGCATACACAAAGAGGCAAACACACACAGACAGCCATACATATACAAACACACATCCACAAAGACACACACATATGTACAGACACAAACATAATCACAAGCAAAGATAACACACAAACACATACACAGACACACGCAGAAACACACACGCATACACACATTCCTGAAGCTCTCCACCTCTACCAGCCACACAACCATATGCACACACATACACATTTCTTAGTTAAGAAAAATAGACCGGGCGCGGTGGCTCACGCCTGTTATCCCAGCACTTTGGGAGGCTGAGGTGGGCGGATCACGAGGTCAGGAGTTCGAGACCATCCTGGCTAACACAGTGAAACCCCGTCTCTACTAAAAATACAAAAAATTAGCCAGGCGTGGTGGCTCATGCCTGTAATCCCAGCACTTTGGGAGGCCGAGGCGGGGAGATCGCGAGGTCAGGAGATCGAGACCATCCTGGCTAACACAGTGAAACCCCGTCTCTACTAAAAATACAAAAAATTAGCCGGGCGTGGTGGCGGGCGCCTGTAGTCCCAGCTATTCGGGAGGCTGAGGCAGGAGAATGGCGTGAACCCGGGAGGCGGAGCTTGCAGTGAGCTGAGATCGCCCCACTGCACTCCAGCCTGGGCGACAGAGTGAGATTCTGTCTCAAAAAAAAAAAAAAAAAGAAAGAAAGAAAGAAAAATAGAAAAACACATCTTTAGAAACTATCACCTGCAAACTGCAAAACAAACAAACAAACAAACAAACAAAAAAGTGTGCTGGGGCTTGGATACCACAACTGACAACCTAAATTATTGAGGTAGCAAACTGCCTAGAAGAGGTAGACATTTGCGGCCCTGAAATCAGGACCCGGCGGTGAGAGACACCGCCTGCGTTGTTTTTACAGTTTTATTAGCCACATCCCTCAGGGAATCTCACCGCAGGTCTCAGGAGCTCTCTCTAATCTTGTTAACCTTCTGCGCCTCTCCTCCCGGAGTACAAACTAATCTTTCTTAATGCAAGAGGACAGGGCAGCTTTGGAAAGGCCGTCACCAGACAGCCAGCGTTCCCCATCCTCACAACTGGACCTTGGAGAGCTTTGGTGTATGGAAACCGGCTCCCCTGGAGGGGGGAGGTGAAACGTTGAAACCCTGACAGACGGTGTCACTGAGCTTAGAGCTCATGTTTCTAGAAAAGGCAACAGATGCAGTGTCTGATGACGAAGCTTAATTTGGGATGTGCTGAGCAGGAATTATTTAAACCAATCCGTTGATGAATTTGTCTTTAAGGAATATGTCCTTTCTCTCGTGAGTCACTCAGGCTCCTGGACACCTGCCTGCCAGCCCTCACTGAATCTCCCCAGAGGCTCTTCATGTCTGCTGCCTGACAATTTTCTCCAGAGTGTACAAAAGCAAAGGAGAGAGCTCCCCTCCCAGACTGCTGGAGGGATGTGGGGACTTACCGCATGGCTGATGCTCTCAGGTTCCAGCCAGACTTAATGTCCTAAAATGCACCCAAGACAGGCAGGCCTGGGTCCAGACGGCCAGCGGGGAGGGCTGCCCGGGCTCGTCTGCAGAGCCCGGAAAAGGAGGAGGAGGTGAACAGAGGAAGGAGGAAGGGTGATGGGGCCTGCAGGGTGTGATATGACGTGAGTTATCACCTCCCTTTGTGCTGCTGCTGTTTCTTACTGTGGGAAAATACCCATCACACACAGTTTGCCATTTTAAAAATTGCACAATGAAGAGACGATTTAGTGCACTGAGCATTTTACACAACCACCGGCCCTAGCTAGTTCCAGAACACCTTCGTAACCCAAAAAAAAACACCCCATACCCATTAAACCGTCACTCCCCAGTCTCCCTGCTCTCAGCCTTAAGCAATCACCCATCTGCTCTCTGACTCTGCAAGCAGTCTTATTCTAGACACTTCATGCAAATGATATTGTGCCATTTTGCACTTTTGTGCCTGGGTGTTTTTTGTTGTGGTGGTGGTGGTGGTTGTTTTGTTGTTTTTGTTTTCACTCCGTTACTTCTACACCAAACTAATACATGATGTATTCAGTCAGAGGCTATCAAGGACTCAAAAGAATACAACCTTTTCTCTTTTTTTTGAGATGGAGTCTCACTCTGTCACCCACGCTGGAGTGCAGTGGCGTGATCTCGGCTCACTGCAACCTCCGCCACCCGGGTTCAAGCGATTCTCCTGCCTCAGCCTCCCGAGTAGCTGGGATTACAGGTAACTGCCACCATGCCCGACTAATTTTTTTTGTATTTTTAGTAGAGATGGGGTTTCACCATGTTGGCCAGGCTGGTCTCAAACTCCCGACCTCAGGCGATCCACCCACCTCGGCCTCCCAAAGTGCTGGGATGACAGGCGTGAGCCACCACACCTGGCCCCCATTTTTATGGTTATTTCTTGATGATATGCTAAACTAGGAGTGGATTATTCATATGGACTCTTTTTAGACCATATACATTGTATTAGTCAGGGTTCCTTAGAGGAATAGAACTAATAGAAGATATATACACACACACGCACACACACACACACATATATATGTATTGTGTGTGTATATATATGTGTGTGTGTATATGTGTGTATATATGTGTGTATGTGTGTATATATGCGTATACACACGTGTATATATGCGTGTACACACGTGTATATATGTGTGTACACACGTGTATATATGCGTGTACACACGTATATATGCGTATACACACGTGTATATATGCGTATATGCACATATGTGTACATGCACATATGTGTGTATACACATGTGCATATACACATATATGTGTATACATGTATATATACACATGTGTGTGTATACACGTGTATATATGTGTGTATATATACACGTGTATATATACACACATATACGTACATATATATGTGTGTGTGCGTGTGTGTGTATCTTCTATTTGTTCTATTCCTCTAAGGAACCCTGACTAATACAATCTATATGGTCTAGAAAGAGTCCACATGAATTATATATATATGAAGGGGAGTTTATTAAGGAGAATTAACTCACAGAGTCACAAGGTGAGGTCCCACCATAGGTCATCTACAAGCTGAGGAGGCAGGAAGCCAGTCTGAGTCCCAAGGATTAAGAACTTGGAGTCCAGTGGTCCAGGGCAGGAAGCATCCAGCAAAGGAGGAAGATGGAGGCTGGGAGGCTAAGCCAGTCTAGCCTTTTCACGCTCCTCTGCCTGCTTTTATTCTGGCCAGACTGGCAGCTGATGAGACGGTGCCCACCCAGATTGAGGGGGGTTCTGCCTCTCCGAGTCCACTGACTCTAGTGTTATTCTCCTTTGGCAACACCCTCACAGACACACCCAGGAACAACGCTTTGATTGGATCTTTCAATCCAATCAAGCTGCCATTCAGTATTAACCATCACGCCCAGGAAACTCACTCACGGGTCACGATATGCGAAGGTCACTCTAAAATCACTCTAGCTATAAGAGATATTACCCGGGCCTGGCGTGGTGGCTCACGCCTGTCATCCCAGGACTTTGGGAGGCCGAGGCTGGTGGATCACTTGAGGTCAGGAGTACAAGACCAGCCTAACCAACATGCTGAAACCCCATCTCTACTAAAAATACAAAATTTAGCCAGGCATGGTGGTGCGCACCTGTAGTCCCAGCTACTCGGGAGGCTGAGGCAGGGGAATCACTTGAACCTGGGAGACGGAGGTTGCAGTGAGGCGAGATCGCGCCATTGCACTCCAGCCTGGGTGACAGAGAAAGACTCTGTCAAAAAAAAAAAAAACAACCATCAGCTGGTCTGCCTTATTCCAGGAGGCCCACAGAAAGTCTTGGGCAAAATGAAACAGCAGACTCTGGTCCCAGCTCTCTGGCTTTACACATCTACAGACCCTGGGTACCCCCAGCAGGCAGCACCCAGCAGGCCTGAATTATCCTGTCTCCCCCTCCTCCCCAGACGCGGTCTTGAGCCATGTCCTGTTTTGGAACTGTGGCTAAGGGGAGCTTGTGGGTATCAAGTCTCCAGGTATCAGCAGCTCCTCTCATAAACCAAAAATAGGCCGGGCGTGGTGGCTCATGCCTGTGATCCCAGCACTTTAGGAGGCTGAGGCAGACGGATCACGAGGTCAGGAGTTCAAGACCAGCCTGACCAACATGGTGAAGCCCCATCTCTACTAAAAATTAAAAAATTAGCCAGGCATGGTGGCGGGCGCCTGTAGTCCCAGCTGCTTGGGAGGCTGAGGCAGGGGAATCGCTTGAACCCGGCAGGCGGAGGTTGCAGTGAGCCGAGTTGGGGCCACTGCACTCCAGCCTGGGCAACAGAGCGAGACTCCTTCTCAAAAAAATAAAAAATAAATAAATAAAGCAAAAATAAAAATCTGAATGGACTCCCTCCTTGGCCAGGACACTCTAAAATTTAACATGAAATTATTTCAATTTCAATTTAAAGTTCATGCCATGTTGGGAAGTGGAGGTTGGCCAGGCCTCGCCACACCCCTCTGTTACCAGAAAGGGGTCCTCATCCAGATCCCAAGAGAGGGTTCTAGGATCTCATGCAAGAAAGAATTGAGGGCAAGTCCATAGACCAAAGGGAAAGCGAGTTTATTGGGAAAGTAAAGGAATAAAAGAATGGCTACTCCGTAGACAGAGCAGTCCCCAAGGTTGCTGGTTACCCATTTTTATGGTTCGTTCTTTCTTTTCTTTCTTTCTTTCTTTTTTTTTTTTTTTTTTTTTTTGATTTTGAGACGGAGTCTTGCTCTGTCACCCAGGCTGGAGTGCAGTGGCATGATCTCGGCTCATCGCAACCTCTGCCTCCCAGGTTCAAGCGATTCTTCTGCCTCAGCCTCCCGAGTAGCTGGGACTACAGGCATGCACCACCACGCTGGGCTGATTTTTGTATTTTTAGTACAGATGGGGTTTTGCCATGTTGGTCAGGCTGGTGTCAAACTCCTGACCTCGTGATGCGCCCGCCTCGGCCTCCCAAAGTGCTGGGATGACAGGCGTGAGTCACCGCACCTGGCCTTTATGGTTATTTCTTGAAGATATGCTAAACAAGGGGCGGATTATTCATGCCTCCCCTTTTTAGACCATATAAGGTAACTTCCTGACGTTGCCATGGCATTTGAAAACTGTCATGGTGTTGGTGGGAGTATAGCAGTGAGGACGACCAGAGGTCACTGTTGTGGCCATCTTGGTTTTGGCGTGTTTTGGCTGGCTTCTTTACTGCAACCTGTTTTATCAGCAAGGTCTTTATGACCTGTACCTTGTACCAACCTCCTATCTCATCCTGTGACTTAGAATGCCTTAACCATCTCGGAATGCAGCCCAGTAAGTCTCAGCCTCATTTTACCCAGCCTCTATTCAAGGTGGAGTCGTTCTGGTTCAAACACCTCTGATATTTTCAGCATGAACATCAACACAGACCTTAAGTCTGGTAAGAAACATCTGGAGTCTCTGGTCGGGTGCGGTGGCTCACGCCTGTCATCCCAGCACTTTGGGAGGCCGAGGCGGGCAGATCATGAGGTCAAGAGATTGAGACCATCCTGGCCAACATGGTGAAACCCCGTCTCTACTAAAAATACAAGAATTAGCTGGTCATGGTGGTGCATGCCTGTAATCCCAGCTACTCGGGAGGCTGAGATAGGAGAATCACTTGAACCTGGGAGTCGGAGGTTGCAATGAACCAAGATTGCGCCACTGCACTCCAGCCTGGATGACAAGAGTGAAACTCCGTTAAAAAAAAAAAAAAAAAAAGAAAAGAAAAAGAAAAGAAAAAAAAAACATTTGCAGTCTCTTCTCTCAGAAGCCTGCTACCTGGGAAGCTTCATCTGCATAATAAAACCTCGGTCTCTACAACACCATCATAAGCCAGACATTCCTTACTACGGATAATAACTCTTTCAACCAATTGCCAATAAGTATGTTTTTGTTTGTTTGTTTGTTTGTTTTGAGACAGAGTATCCATGTGTCGCCCAGGCTGGAGTGCAGTGGCGTGATCTCGGTTCACTGCAACCTCCACCTCCCAGGTTCAAGCAATTCTCATGCCTCAGCCTCCCTAGCAGCTGAGATTACAAGCATGTGCCACCACGCTGTGCTGATTTTTTTGTATTTTTAGTAGAAACCGGGTTTCGCCATGTTGGCCAAGCTGATCTCAAACTCCTGGCCTCAAGTGTTCAAGCGATTCTCCTGCCTCAGCCTCCCAAGTAGCTGAGATTACAGGTTCACACCACCACACCCAGCTAATTTTTTTTTTTTTGACAGAGTCTCGCTCTGTCTCCCAGGCTGGAGTGCAGTGGCGCAATCTCGGCTCACTGCAAACTCCTGCCTCAGCCTCCTGAGTAGCTGGGACTACAGGCACCCGCCACCACATCAGGCTAATTTTTTTTTTGTATTTTTAGTACAGACGGGGTTTCACCGTGTTGGCCAAGATGGCCTCGATCTCCTGACCTCGTGATCTGCCCGCTTCGGCCTCCCAAAGTACTGGGATGACAGGTGTGAGCCACTGCGCCCGGCCTGATTTTGTATTTTTAGTACAGACAGGGTGTCACCATGTTGGCCAGGATGGTCTCGAACTCCTGACCTCAGGTGACCCACCCACCTCGGCCTCCCAAAGTGCTAGGACGACAGGTGTGAGCCACCGCGCCCGGCCCTGAATATGTTTAAGTGTAACCCCGCTTTGAGTCACCCTGCCGTTCGAGATAGAACCAACGTACATCTTACATGTATTGACTGATGCTTCAAGTCTTCCTAAAATGTATAAAAGCAAGCTACACCCCAACCACCTTGGGCCCACGTCATCAAGACCTCCTGAGGTTATGTCGTGGTGTCCTCCACCCTGGCAAAGTCAACTTCCTCAATTATGGACACCTGGCCTCAGATCCTTCTCGCCTTACAATTCGAAGAGAGAAAACGATGCTTCCTCCCCCTAGTGGCCATCAGGACAATTGCTTCCATTCAAGGCAAAGTTCTTCCAGAGAAATCTCTTCTGGATGTGGCTTACCAGGATCCATACTAGAAAAAAATGCAGAAACAGCGCCTCGGTAATTTCTGACATTAGAGTTCATGGTGACCGGGTGTGGTGGCTCACACCTGTCATCGCAGCACTTTGGGAGGCTGAGGCGGGTGGATCACGAGGTCAGGAGTTCGAGACCATCCTGGCTAACATGGAGAATCCCTGTCTCTACTAAAAATATAAAATTAGCTGGGTGTGCTGGCACATGCCTGTAGTCCCAGCACTTTGGGAGGCCGAGGCAGGCGGATCATGAGGTCAGGAGTTCGAGACCAGCCTGGGCAACATGGTGAAACCCTGTCTCTATTAAAAATACAAAAATTAGCCAGGTGTGGTGGCACATGCCTGTAGTCCCAGCACTTTGGGAGGCCGAGGCAGGCGGATCATGAGGTCAGGAGTTTGAGACCAGCCTGGGCAACATGGTGAAACCCTGTCTCTATTAAAAATACAAAAATTAGCCGGGTGTGGTGGCACATGCCTGTAGTCCCAGCACCTTGGGAGGCCGAGGCGGGCAGATCACGAAGTCAGGAGTTCCAGACCAGCCTGGGCAACATGGTGAAACCCTGTCTCTATTAAAAATACAAAAATTAGCCGGGCATGGTGGTGTGTGCCTGTAATCCCAGCTCTTTGGCAGGCTGAGGCAGGAGAATCGCTTGAAACCGGAAGGCAGAGGTTGCAGTGAGCTGAGATCACACCATTGCACTCCAGCCTGGGCAACAAGAGCGAAACTCTATCTCAAAAATAACAATAATAATAGAGTTCACGGTCCAACAGTGAAGTGTGATAGAAAAGGAAACGGTACAGTCCCATCTTGAAGTCCACTTTTAAATAATAAGGTGCTCATTGGAAGGCAATCGAATCAAAACATAAGGCTGAGATGAGGAACAGCCCAAGCCATACATGTTCAAGGTGTTAAGGAAATAGAATTAAAAAGCAAAATCTCTACCAGGAGTGGTGGCTCATGCCTGTCACCCCAGCACTTTGGGAGGACGAGGCGGGCGGACCACTTGAGGTCAGGTGTTCGAGACCAGCCTGAGCAACATGATCAAACCCCATCTCTACTAAAAAATACAAAATTAGCCAGGCCTGTAATCTCAGCTACTCAGGAGGCTGAGGCAGGAGAATCGCTTGAATCCTGGAGGCAGAGGTTGCAGTGAGCCGAGATCAGCCACGACACCCCAGACTGAGTGACAGGGACTCTGTCTCAAAAAAAAAAAAAAAAAAACAACCAAAGGCCAGGTGCAGTGGCTCACACCTCTCATCCCAGCACATTGGGAGGCCAAGGTGGGCAGATCACTTCAGGTCAGGAGTTCGAGACCAGCCTGACCAACATGGAGAAACCCTGTCTCTACCAAAAAAATACAAAAATTGGCCGGGTACGGTGGTTCACGCCTGTAATTGCAGCACTTTGGGAGGCCAAGGCAGGTGGATCACCTGAGGTCCGGAGTTCGAGACCAGCCTGGCCAACATGGTGAAACCCGTCTCTACTAAAAATACAAAAATTAGCTGGGCGTGGTGGCACATGCCTGTAATCCCAGCTATTAGGGAAGCTGAGGCAGGAGAATCGCTTGAACCTGAGAGGCGGAGGTTGTGGTGAGCTGAGATCACGCCATTGCACTCCAGTCTGGGCAACAAGAGAGAAATTCTATCTCAAAAAAAAAAAATACAAAAATTAGCCAGAGATGATGGTGCACAACTGTAATTCCAGCTACTCGAGAGGCTGAGGCAGGAGAATCGCTTGAACCGTGGAGGCGGAGGTTGCAGTGAGCCGAGATCTTCCAGGGCACTCCAGACTGAGTCACAGGGACTCTGTCTCAAAAAAAAAAAAAAAAAAAAAAAAAAAAAGCAAAAAAATCTCCTCCCGATCCAGGAACTCCTTCCTTAACCCCTCTCCTCAAGGGTAGAAGAAAAAGAAAACCATTTTTCTACAGAACAAGCATTCAATTCAAATGTGATATACACCCCAGGCCATCCGTGAAAGGGATCAGAAACACAGAAAGAAATCTCACCCTTTTATGGGCCGGGTGTGGTGGCTCACGCCTGTCATCCCAGCACTTTGGGAGGCCGAGGCAGGTGGATCACCTGAGGTCGGGAGTTCGAAACCAGCCTGACCAACATGGAGAAACTTTGTGTCCACTAAAAATACAAAAAATTAGCCGGGCATGGTGGTGCGTGCCTGCAATCCCAGCTACTCGGGAGGCTGAGGCAGGAGAATCGCTTGAACCCGGGAGGGAGAGGTATCCGTGAGCCAAGATCGCACCACTGCACTCCAGCCTGGGTAACAAGAGCAGAACTCCGTCTCAAAAAAAAAAAGAAAAGGAAAAAAAGAAAGAAATCTCATCCTTTTACGCAGCAAAGTGGAGACAGCCCTTTCCTTTCGTTTTCTGAAACTAAACAAGGACTCATTTTGACTGGAGGTGTAGGCTTTGCAATTTGGAGTGAGGTGACAGATTAAATTAAGCTCTTCTCCTCTGTGGACCCCGGGGGATGAGGCTTTTTTTCCTCCCCCTTGGGGATCACATTTCAAAGAGATTCCTCCCAGACACTGCAGGAAACATTCTTGAGCTATGGTGCCGCTTTCTTTAAAAGATTTACACACATTTGAAAAAGGCCGACAAAGAACTTGCAGCTACCAGTTTGCTGGGGAGGGGGGCGGGGCGGAAAGTGGGAAAATATCCCTCTCCTCATTTTTCAACAAGAGAAAATGTAAGCCTCCGATTTTTTTTTTTTTTTTTTTTTTGAGACCGAGTTTTGCTCTTGTTGCCCAGGCTGGAGGGCAGTGGCGCGATCTCGGCTCACTGCAACCTCCACCTCCCGGGTTCAAACGATTCTCCTGCCTCAGTCTCCCGAGTAGCTGGAATTACAGGCGCCCACCACCACGCCCAGCTAATTTTGTGCTTTTTAGTAGAGATAGGGTTTCACCATGTTGGCCAGGATGGTCTCGAACTCCTGACCTCAACTGATACACCCCCTTCGGCCTCCCAAAGTGCTGGGATTACAGGCATGAGCCACTGCGCCAGGCCAGCCTCTGAAGTTTTAGTGTATCTGCCCTTGATGGGGGAAAATAATGAAAAAATCCTTTTGGATGTGGGATTGTTTTTAGTGAAAACCAACATTTAAAACAGCAAAGCAGACTGGGCACGGTGGCTCACGCCTGTAATCCCAACACTTTGGGAGGCCGAGGCGGGCGGGTCACGAGGTCAGGAGTTCGAGACCAGCCTGGCCAACATGGTGAAACCCCGTCTCTACTAAAAATACAAAAAAAAAAATTAGCCGGGCGTGGTGGCAGGTGCCTATAACCCCAGCTACTTGGGAGGCCAAGGCAGGAGAATCGCTTGAACCCAGGAGGTGGAGGTTGCAGTGAGCCGAGATCTTGCCTTTGCACTCCAGCCCAGGCGACAGTGCGAGACTCCATCTCAAAAAAAAAAAAAGCGGCAAAGCACTAAAGTTGGGGCGGGGGGTTGCTTTTTCCCCATTCATGGTCACCCCAGCCCTGACTGCCTCTGACAGGTGCAATCTTGGAGCGAAGGAAGCCGGGTTACATCAGCTGCCCCATGCTGCCACCTGCTGGCAGGCACCGGTTCTCGCTCTTCCGGAATGGTCCACATGTTGCCATGGCCCCAAGAGGGTTTCCCTGAAGAACTGGGCTGTCCAGATCTAACGTATGTTTGCAAAGAGCATTCAAGCCCAGGCGGGCTACATGCATGAGCCTGAGCCACTTTAGGGGTGGTCACAGTGCTTATAATTTTTTTAGGGGGTGGAGAATCTATATACTCACAGAGGGATGCCCCTTGACTTACAGTGGGGTTACCTCCCCACAAGTCTATCATGGGTCCACATACCTTAACTTAAAAATGCATTTAGTATCTTGATACACTGATCGTAACGCTGAAAAGTTGTAAATCCAACCACTGTAAGCTGGAAACCGTCTGTATATATGAACGTATACACACGCTTTTATTTTACTTATTTATTTATTTTGAGATGGACTCTCGCTCTGTCGACCAGGCTGGAGTGCAGTGGCGCGATCTCGGCTCACTGCAACCTCTGCCTCCCGGGTTCACGACATTCTCCTGCCTCAGCCTCCCTAGTAGCTGGGGCTACAGGCGCCCGCCTCCATGCCTGGCCAATTTTTTGTATTTTTAGTAGAGATGGGGTTTCACCATGTTAGCCAGGATGGTCTCCATCTCCTGACCTTGTGATCCACCTGCCTCAGCCTCCCAAAGTGCTGGGATTACAGGCGTGAGCCACTGCGCCCAGCCAGATGTCCACATCCTAATCCCCATGTGGTAGACAGAATAATGGCCCCAAAGATGTCCACATCCTAATCCCATGTGGGAGACAGAAAATGGCCCCCAAAGATGTCTACATTGCAATCCCATGTGGTAGAAGGAGTAATGGCCCCCAAAGATGTCCACATCCTAATCCCCACGTGGTGGACAGAATAATGACCCTAAAAATGTTATCAACACCCAAATCCCCATGTGATAGACAGAATAATGGCCCCAAAGATTTATACATCCCACTCCCCATATGGTAGAGGAATAATATCCCCCAAAGCTGTCCACATCCCAGTCTCTAGAACCTGTGAATATGTGACCTCACCTGGAAAAACACACTTGGCAACTGTGGTTTAATTAGTGATCCTAAGAGGGGGGCTGTCCTGGATTCTCTGGGTTGGCCATCTGTCATCAGAAGGCTCCTTATGAGAGGGAGGCAAGAGGATCAAAGTTATAGAAGAGGTGACAATGGAAGCAGAGCCCGGAGTGATGTGGGTGTGGGTTTTGCAAGTGGAGGAAGGGACCATGAGCCAAGGAAAGCAGGCAGCTTCTGGAAGCTGGCAAGGCAAGAAAATGCATTCACCTCCAAAGCCTCTAGAATAAAGCAGTCCTGCCAACACTTTTATGTTAGCCTAGGGAAACTGACTTCAGCCTTCTGTTCTTCATAACTGCAAGACAGTTAATTTGTGTTGTTTTCAGCTACCACATTTGTGATAACTTGTTACAGCAGCTACAGGTCACTAATAGCTACAGGTCACTACCCAGCCAAATACAACCACCCAATGAAACTGTCTGCAAGAAGAAAAAGCAGTGACAAATGCTCACGTTTTTTCTTCTTTTTACGACTTAGAGCATTAGATAGATAGAAAATCAGAAAGGGGAAAGAAAGAAAGAAAGGAAGAAAAGAAAGAAAGGAAAGAAAGGAAGAAAGAAAGAAAGAGAGAAATGAAAGGGAAGAAAGGAAGAAAAAGAAGAAAGAGGTAAAGGAGGAAAGAGAAACAAGGAAAGAAAGGAGAGAACAAAAGAGAGAAGAAAGAAGAAAGAAAGAAAGAAGAAAGAGAAAGAAAGAAAGAAAAAGAAAGAAAGAAAGAAAGAAAGAGTGAATCTGGGCGTGATGGCTCATGCCTGTATTCCCAGCACTTTGGGAGGCTGAGGCAGGTGGATCACGAGGTCAGGAGATTGAGACCATCCTGGCTAACATGGTGAAACCCCGTCTCTACTAAAAATGCAAAAAATTAGCCGGGCATGGTGGCAGGTGCCTGTAGTCCCAGCTACTCAGGAGGCTGAGACAGGAGAAAGGCGTGAACCTGGGAGGCGGAGCTTGCAGTGAGCCGAGATCACACCACTGCACTCCAGCTTGGGAGACAGCGAGACTCTGTTAAAAAAAAAAAAAAAGAAAGAAAGAAAGAAAGAGAGAGAGAAAGAAAGAGGGAAGGAAGGAAGGAAGGGAGGAAGGAAGGAGAGGAAGAAATAGGAGGAAAAAATAGATTTTGGTACATTATGTCCTCAATTAACTCACCAGGACTTGGAATTTAAGGACAAAAGGGAAAAAAAATCCCAAATATATACACCTTCCCACTCCCAGTAACCCCAGCCCAGTGGCATAAGTGACAAAAAACTTTGGGTGGGTGGGAAGGAATTAGCATCTGTCTGAATGCTCTGCCTCAGGAAAGAGAAGCTGGGGTCTCCTCCCAGACAAGAGAAAGAAATCCCAGAAAACCACTCATAAAGATTGAGGGGAGCCTACAAGAAGACAAGAGGAGCTGTCTTTCTCTGCTAAGTTTCTGGTTAGGAAGAAAACTCCCTGTGCCTACTTGACCTGGGGCAAAGAGGGTCCAATGGGGAGTGATGGTATAATGGGCACCTTCTAGAACCCCCTGGCTCCTGAACTTGGAAGAGGAGCCCATGAGGTTCTCATGGTGAATGGAGAGGCAGGACAGTGGTGCTGATGAGGTGGCTCCCAGCCAAGCACAAGGCATGCCCACCCCAGAAATTCTAATGGAGACTCCTTGGCTGTCTCTAAGAGGATCTCTGAATACAAAGGAAGACAGGATGGCAATGAACAATGCCCACCATAGCCATGTCTACCACATGGATGGGGACTTGGAAAACCAGCCAGGCTCCAGCATCAAAAGGGTCAGCCTGGACAGAGACCATTGCCCACCTCCAACCCCTTCAGTAGGGATGGAAGACCCTGCCTGCTCTGGTCCTCCTCTCTGCCCAGAAGGGGAGGCAGTTCCCAAGTCAGACCCTAGCCCTTCCTCCATGGAGCAGCCATCAGGGAGGAATGTCTCAGCACTCACCATGCAGGAAAGTCAGGATCTTAGTTTTAAAAACTGAAGTTTTCTTTAAAGCTGATAGGGGCTTGGGGCTGGGTGCAGTGGCTCACGCCTGTAATCCCAGCACTTTGGGAGGCTGAGGTGGGCAGATCATGAGGTCAGGAGATCGAGACCACAATGAAACCCTGTCTCTACTAAAAATACAAAAAAATTAGCCAGGCGTGGTGGTGGGCACCTGTAGTCCCAGCTACTTGGGAGGCTGAGGCAGGAGAATGGCATGAACCCAAAGGTGGAGCTTGCAGTGACCCGAGATCATGCCACTGCACTCCAGCCTGGGTGACAGAGCGAGATTCTGTCTCAAAAAAAAAAAACACAAAAAAAACCTGATGGGGCTTGGGAACTCCATTCGATCAGATAATTATGGTAATTAATAAAGTTCTGTTACTTGGGTGAAGAAAATTTGACAGGGCATTGATGGGGCAAGAATTAGAAAGATCAAATAGGCCAGGTGCAGTGACTCATGCCAGTAATTCCAGCATTTTGGGAGGCTGAGGCAGGAGACTCACTTGAGACCAGGAGTTTGAGAACAGCCTGGGCAACATAGCAAGATCCTGTCTCTAAAAAAAAAAAAAAAAAAAATCGATTAGTTGAGCCTGTAGTCCCAGCTACTAGGGAGGCTGAGGCAGGAGAATCGCTTGAGCCCATGAGTTGGAGGCTGCAGTGAGCTATCACTGTACCACTGTACTCCAGCCTGGGAAACAGAGCAAGACTTCATCTCTGAAAAATAAATAAGAAGATAAAATCTTCATTCCTTATTAAATAAGCGTTCCCCTATAATTAGTTGCCTGTGCATCACTGAATACCCAGGAAAAGGTCCTATTTGCAGCAGGGCACACAGGGCACTCTGAGGGACTGGACTCCACTACTCTTGGCATGAATAAGGCCTCCATGGACTTGTGGTGAATGCATGTTCTCGGGGATGACCACCAGCTGCAACTCCCAGCAACTGACATAAGCATGTTTTTCGAAAGAGTTCATTTCCAAACTTCAGCTTGAACATTTTGAAATTAGACCGTTTAGTTTATGAGAACTCCTCAACAGAGAATTAAGATGTCCCTGAGTCTCTTTTCTTCCTGTTTAATCTAATTTTAAAAGGTGTCATGCAACTCTGCAAATATTCCCAAATCACACTCTCTGTGAAAGATGCCTTTTAAACAGATTAGACATTGCAAAAAGAAGCAGATTCTCTTGTGCTTTTTCAAACTTAAAATTTGAAATGTGCACACCATTCCTTACCTTTCTTGTAGATGAGTTTGTTAGGACCACCTAACATGGTGAAACCGTGTCTTTACTAAAAATACAAAAAATTAGCTGGGTGTGGTGGCGGGCACCTGTAGTCCCAGCTACTCAGGAGGCTGAGGCAGAATGGCGTGAACCTGGGAGGTGGCGCTTGCAGCGAGCCGAGATCATGCCACTGCACTCCAGCCTGGGCAACAGAGCAAGACTCCATCTCAAAATAATAATAATAATAATAATAATAATAATAATAATAATAATAAACTTGCCCAGTGCTGCAAACTAGAATTCTGAGATCAAGATGTTGCAGAGCTACATTCCCTCCAGAGGCTCTAGGGGAGGACTCTTCCTGCCTCTCCCAGTTCCTGGGGGCTCCAGGTGTCCCTGGGCTTGTGGCCGCATCACTCTAGTCTCTGCCTCTGTCTCCATGTGGCCTTCTCACCTGTGTCTGTGTCCTCATGTGGCATTCTCCCCTCTCTTCTGTGCGTTTCTGTGTCTCTTGTTTTCTTATAAGCACATCAGTCATATTGGATTTAGCGCTCATCCTAATGACCTCATCTGAACTTGATTTCATCAGCAAAGATCTTACTTCTAAATAAGATACCATTCACAGGTTCCAGGGGCCACAGCCTGGACATATCTTTTGGGGAACAGAATTCAACCCACAACAACTTGCTTTGACGATTATTCCATTTTGTTTTGTTTTCTCATCTTTTTAGTTGAAAAAAACAATGTTTAGACTGAGAGTAAAGAAAGTACCAAAATAATCTAAAATGTACACTAGAGGAAAACAAGAAGTAGAAAACCTTGTTGACATTGCGGAAGAGGTCCAGGGAGAAATGGGTATGAGATTGGTAGGAGGGAAATATTTTCCTCTTCTGTAGCATCTGCTGATTTCTCTGTATCCACAGATGTGGCGTGATCTAATCTGGCGGCAAATGCCCGCACTCTCATGGTGGCTACATGAAGAGATTTGAGTACAGATCCATACAGGAGAGACAGATGGGACTGTCTGAGGCAGAGAGAGAGAGACAGAAAGCCTCACCTTTCTCACGGTTGAAATGGCATCACTAATAAGTCACAGAGCTGTGCAAGGCAGCCTGAAAGGAGAACCTCATATTTCATAGACACCTATAGTTGCTACATCCATCACTGGTGCCAAAGTTCTGTTCAGGGTGAAGCTTCTAACAGACACCCCTCAAGGTGAACACTGGAGTCCCACTTTACAGCATGAAGAGGACCAAAACTTTGCTTACAGTCAATATCAAAGCTGAGCTCACACCCCCATCAGCGTGGTCCTCAGTAAAGCCTGGGAAATAATCTACAAAGTAGAAGCAGTCCAACCCTGTCCACAGAAGCCTCCAGTCACTTATCATGTGAACACCAAGAACAAGAAGCCACTGGAGGTACATGTCTTTATTATTATGTCTTGTGTGCTTTGACGTTAGTTCCAGGTCACAAGAAACAGTTATTTCCTGGCTAAAATGGCATCATAAATGGCTCCTGTTTTCTTAAACTGGAAGTCTCTGAAGCCAGCAGAAGAGAGGAGCATGTGGTAGTGGGTGGGGGTCCTCTCCTGCCCTTCCGTCTGCACAAGCATGTTCAGAGAGTAGAGCTGCGTGAGCAGAGGACCTCGCCTGTCTTCATCCAGGAGGCTTTCAATTACCAGAATGCCACCACCTAGAAAGGGAGGGGCACAGTCCACATCACACACAAACACACAGACAGACTGTGCCAAAGTCCCAGTGAACCATAAGGACAGCCAGACCTCAGAGGACAGTCAGGGCACCGTCCCCATCACACACTCAGAGGCTGTGCCCACGTCCTCATCGATCATCAGGATGGGTGAACCTCACAGGACGCTGGGACACTGTCCCCATCACACACATAGAGGCTGTGCCCATGTCCTCATGAACCATCAGGATGGATGGACCTCACAGGAGAACTGGGACACCGTCCCCATCACACACACACAGAGGCTGTGCCCACATCCTCATGGGCCATCAGGATCGATGGACCTCTCAGGACACTGGGACACTGTCCTCATTACACACAGAGGCTGAGCCCACGTCCTCATGAACCATCAGGATGGGTGGACCTCACAGGACACTGGGACACTGTCCCCATTATACACACAGAGGTTGTGCCCATGTCCTCATGGACCATCAGGATGTATGGACCTCACAGGACACTGGGACACTGTCCCCATCACACACACAGAGGCTGTGCCCAAGTCCTCATGAACCATCAAGATGGGTGGACCTCACAGGAGAGCTGGAACACTGTCCTTATCACACACAGAGAGGCTGTGCCCATGTCCTCATGGACCATCAGGATGGGTGGACCTCACAGGAGAACTGGGACACCGTCCCCATCACACACACACACACAGAGGCTGTGCCCACATCCTCATGGGCCATCAGGATGGATGGACCTCACAGGACACTGGGATGCTATCCCCATTACACACAGAGGCTGTGCCCACGTCCTCATGAACCATCGGATGGGTGGACCTCACAGACACTGGGACACTGTCCCCATCACACACAAAGAGGTTGTGCCCACATCCTCATGGACCATCAGGATGGGTGGACCTCACAGGACACTGGGACACTGTCCCCATCACACACATAGAGGCCATGCCCAAGTCCTCATGAACCATCAAGATGGGTGGACCTCACAGGAGAGCTGGAACACTGTCCTTATCACACACAGAGAGGCTGTGTCCATGTACTCATGGACCACCAGGATGGGTGGACCTCACAGGAGAACTGGGACACTGTCCCCATCTCACACAGAGAGGCTGTGTCCATGTACTCATGGACCACCAGGATGGGTGGACCTCACAGGACACTGGGACACTGTCCCCATCACACACACAGAGGCTGTGCCCACATCCTCATGAACCATCAGGATGGGTGGACCTCACAGGAGAACTGGGACACTGTCCCCAACACACACACAGAGGCTGTGCTCACGTCCCCATGAACCATCAGGATGGATGGACCTCACAGGAGAGCTGGGACACTGTCCCCATCACACACAGAGCGGCTGTGTCCACATCCTCATGGACCATCAGGATAGGTGGACCTCACAGGACACTGGGACATGGTCCCTATCACACACACAGAGGCTGTGTCCACATCCTAATGGATCATCAGGATGGGTGGACCTCACAGGAGAGCTGGGACATGGTCCCTATCTCACACACAGAGGCTGTGCCCACATCCTCATGAACCATCAGGAGGGATGGATCTCACAGGACACTGGGACACTGTCCCCATCACACACACAGAGGCTGTGTCCACATCCTCATGGATCATCAGGATGGGTGGACCTCACAGGAGAGCTGGGACATGGTCCCTATCTCACACACAGAGGCTGTGCCCACATCCTCATGAACCATCAGGAGGGATGGACCTCACAGGACACTGGGACACTGTCCCCATCACACACACAGAGGCTGTGTCCACATCCTCATGGATCATCAGGATGGGTGGACCTCACAGGAGAGCTGGGACATGGTCCCTATCTCACACACAGAGGCTGTGCCCACATCCTCATGTGCCATCAGGATGGATGGATCTCACAGGACACTGGGACACTGTCCCCATCACACACACAGAGGCTGTGTCCACATCCTCATGGATCATCAGGATGGGTGGACCTCACAGGAGAGCTGGGACATGGTCCCTATCTCACACACAGAGGCTGTGCCCACATCCTCATGAACCATCAGGAGGGATGGATCTCACAGGACACTGGGACACTGTCCCCATCACACACACAGAGGCTGTGTCCACATCCTCATGGATCATCAGGATGGATGGACCTCACAGGAGAGCTGGGACATGGTCCCTATCTCACACACAGAGGCTGTGCCCACATCCTCATGTGCCATCAGGATGGATGGATCTCACAGGACACTGGGACACTGTCCCCATCATACACAGAGGCTGTGCCCACGTCCTCATGAAGCATCAGGATGGGTGGACCTCACAGGAGAGCTGGGACATGGTCCCTATCTCACACACAGAGGCTGTGCCCACATCCTCATGAACCATCAGGAGGGATGGATCTCACAGGACACTGGGACACTGTCCCCATCACACACACAGAGGCTGTGTCCACATCCTCATGGATCATCAGGATGGGTGGACCTCACAGGAGAGCTGGGACATGGTCCCTATCTCACACACAGAGGCTGTGCCCACATCCTCATGAACCATCAGGAGGGATGGACCTCACAGGACACTGGGACACTGTCCCCATCACACACACAGAGGCTGTGTCCACATCCTCATGGATCATCAGGATGGGTGGACCTCACAGGAGAGCTGGGACATGGTCCCTATCTCACACACAGAGGCTGTGCCCACATCCTCATGTGCCATCAGGATGGATGGATCTCACAGGACACTGGGACACTGTCCCCATCACACACACAGAGGCTGTGTCCACATCCTCATGGATCATCAGGATGGGTGGACCTCACAGGAGAGCTGGGACATGGTCCCTATCTCACACACAGAGGCTGTGCCCACATCCTCATGAACCATCAGGAGGGATGGATCTCACAGGACACTGGGACACTGTCCCCATCACACACACAGAGGCTGTGTCCACATCCTCATGGATCATCAGGATGGATGGACCTCACAGGAGAGCTGGGACATGGTCCCTATCTCACACACAGAGGCTGTGCCCACATCCTCATGTGCCATCAGGATGGATGGATCTCACAGGACACTGGGACACTGTCCCCATCACACACACAGAGGCTGTGTCCACATCCTCATGGATCATCAGGATGGGTGGACCTCACAGGAGAGCTGGGACATGGTCCCTATCTCACACACAGAGGCTGTGCCCACATCCTCATGAACCATCAGGAGGGATGGATCTCACAGGACACTGGGACACTGTCCCCATCACACACACAGAGGCTGTGTCCACATCCTCATGTGCCATCAGGATGGATGGACCTCACAGGACACTGGGACACTGTCCCCATCATACACAGAGGCTGTGCCCACGTCCTCGTGAAGCATCAGGATGGGTGGACCTCACAGGAGAGCTGGGACACAGTCCTTATCTCACACACAGAGGCTGTGCCCACATCCTCATGTGCCATCAGGATGGATGGACCTCACAGGAGAGCTGGGACATGGTCCCTATCTCACACACAGAGGCTGTGCCCACATCCTCATGAACCATCAGGATGGATGGATCTCACAGGACACTGGGACACTGTCCCCATCACACACACAGAGGCTGTGTCCACATCCTCATGGATCATCAGGATGGGTGGACCTCACAGGAGAGCTGGGACATGGTCCCTATCTCACACACAGAGGCTGTGCCCACATCCTCATGAACCATCAGGAGGGATGGATCTCACAGGACACTGGGACACTGTCCCCATCACACACACAGAGGCTGTGTCCACATCCTCATGGATCATCAGGATGGATGGACCTCACAGGAGAGCTGGGACATGGTCCCTATCTCACACACAGAGGCTGTGCCCACATCCTCATGTGCCATCAGGATGGATGGATCTCACAGGACACTGGGACACTGTCCCCATCACACACACAGAGGCTGTGTCCACATCCTCATGGATCATCAGGATGGGTGGACCTCACAGGAGAGCTGGGACATGGTCCCTATCTCACACACAGAGGCTGTGCCCACATCCTCATGAACCATCAGGAGGGATGGATCTCACAGGACACTGGGACACTGTCCCCATCACACACACAGAGGCTGTGTCCACATCCTCATGTGCCATCAGGATGGATGGACCTCACAGGACACTGGGACACTGTCCCCATCATACACAGAGGCTGTGCCCACGTCCTCGTGAAGCATCAGGATGGGTGGACCTCACAGGAGAGCTGGGACATGGTCCCTATCTCACACACAGAGGCTGTGCCCACATCCTCATGTGCCATCAGGATGGATGGACCTCACAGGAGAGCTGGGACATGGTCCCTATCTCACACACAGAGGCTGTGCCCACATCCTCATGAACCATCAGGAGGGATGGATCTCACAGGACACTGGGACACTGTCCCCATCACACACACAGAGGCTGTGTCCACATCCTCATGGATCATCAGGATGGATGGACCTCACAGGAGAGCTGGGACATGGTCCCTATCTCACACACAGAGGCTGTGCCCACATCCTCATGAACCATCAGGAGGGATGGATCTCACAGGACACTGGGACACTGTCCCCATCACACACACAGAGGCTGTGTCCACATCCTCATGGATCATCAGGATGGATGGACCTCACAGGAGAGCTGGGACATGGTCCCTATCTCACACACAGAGGCTGTGCCCACATCCTCATGTGCCATCAGGATGGATGGACCTCACAGGAGAGCTGGGACATGGTCCCTATCTCACACACAGAGGCTGTGCCCACATCCTCATGAACCATCAGGAGGGATGGATCTCACAGGACACTGGGACACTGTCCCCATCACACACACAGAGGCTGTGTCCACATCCTCATGGATCATCAGGATGGATGGACCTCACAGGAGAGCTGGGACATGGTCCCTATCTCACACACAGAGGCTGTGCCCACATCCTCATGTGCCATCAGGATGGATGGACCTCACAGGAGAGCTGGGACATGGTCCCTATCTCACACACAGAGGCTGTGCCCACATCCTCATGAACCATCAGGAGGGATGGATCTCACAGGACACTGGGACACTGTCCCCATCACACACACAGAGGCTGTGTCCACATCCTCATGGATCATCAGGATGGATGGACCTCACAGGAGAGCTGGGACATGGTCCCTATCTCACACACAGAGGCTGTGCCCACATCCTCATGAACCATCAGGAGGGATGGATCTCACAGGACACTGGGACACTGTCCCCATCACACACACAGAGGCTGTGTCCACATCCTCATGGATCATCAGGATGGATGGACCTCACAGGAGAGCTGGGACATGGTCCCTATCTCACACACAGAGGCTGTGCCCACATCCTCATGTGCCATCAGGATGGGTGGACCTCACAGGACACTGGGACACTGTCCCCATCATACACAGAGGCTGTGCCCACGTCCTCGTGAAGCATCAGGAGGGATGGATCTCACAGGACACTGGGACACTGTCCCCATCATACACAGAGGCTGTGCCCACATCCTCATGAACCATCAGGAGGGATGGATCTCACAGGACACTGGGACACTGTCCCCATCACACACACAGAGGCTGTGTCCACATCCTCATGTGCCATCAGGATGGATGGACCTCACAGGACACTGGGACACTGTCCCCATCATACACAGAGGCTGTGCCCACGTCCTCGTGAAGCATCAGGATGGGTGGACCTCACAGGAGAGCTGGGACACAGTCCTTATCTCACACACAGAGGCTGTGCCCACATCCTCATGTGCCATCAGGATGGATGGACCTCACAGGAGAGCTGGGACACTGTCCCCATCACACACAGAGGCTGTGCCCACATCCTCATGTGCCATCAGGATGGATGGACCTCACAGGAGAGCTGGGACACTGTCCCCATCACACACAGAGGCTGTGCCCACATCCTCATGAACCATCAGGATGGGTGGACCTCAGAAGTCAGTGGGGCACTGTCCTCATCACACACACAAATACTAGCCTAATTCTGAAAGAATTTCACCAAAGTGAGGCCACTGAAGTTTCAGAGGGCCTTTCACTTTTTCCATCTTTATGTGGTTTTATCAATAGAATAGAAATTAGGACCCTATTTATTTCAGGTCGTTATCTAAAAGGAAAGCCATATTGGGCAGGATGTCTACCCTTACCTGTGGGATGATTTCAGTGCCTGCCTTCTAAATGTGACTCGTACAATTCTGCCCCGTGTCACAAGCACACGCTGAAATGCAAACCCCACAACTTACCTGGCTTGCAAGTGTGGTAGATCCTCTCCAGCAGGTGTGAGCACTTTCCGTCTGCCCAGTCATGGAGGACCCTGGCCAGGATGTACAGATCAGCTTCCGGAAGAGGGTCTTTGAAGAAATCCCCTGGAACACAGGGCAGGCACACCGAGGTCAGCCTGCAATCCAATCCCATTTGACTAAACCTATTCTGGGCACAAAAGGTCACCTGGATGGGTCACGCCTTTCCCAGGTCTTCCAGGCTAGTCACCTGCAGACCTAGCCTCAGAAAACAAAAAGGCTTAGGAGAAAGATAAGAAAATACTGAGGTCGGGCGCGGTGGCTCACGCCTGTAATCCTAGCACTTTGGGAGGCGGAGGTGGGCAGATCACGAGGTCAGGAGATCAAGACCATCCTGGCTAACACGGTGAAACCCTGTCTCTACTAAAAATACAAAAAAAATTAGCCGGGCGTGATGGCGGGTGCCTGTGGTCCCAGCTACTCGGGAGGCTGAGGCAGGAGAATGGCATGAACCCGGGAGGCGGAGCTTGCAGTGAGCCGAGATTGCACCATTGCACTCCAGCCTGGGCGACAGCGAGACTGTCTCCAAAAAAAAAAAAAGAAAGAAAATACTGAATAAGTGTGGCCTCTTTCTCTCCTCCTCCTTTAAAAAAAAATCATAATATGGTTTCTTTTTTGTTTTTTTGTTTGTTTGTTTGTTTGAGATGGAGTTTTGCTCTTGTTGCCCAGGCTGGAGTGCAAGGGCCTGATCTCAGCTCACCGCAACCTCCACCTCCTGGTTTCAAGCGATTCTCCTGCCTCAGCCTCCTGAGTAGCTGGGATTACAGGCACCCGCCACCACGCCCGGCTAATTTTTGTATTTTTAGTAGAGATGGGATTTCTCCATGTTGCTGAGGCTGGTCTCGAACCCCCAACCTGAGGTGATCCGCCCGCCTCGGCCTCCCAAAGTGCTGGGATTACAGGCATGAGCTGCTGTGCCCGGCCCATGTTCTTTCTTTCTTTCTTTCTGATGTCCCCTGCAAAAGCACTGCTGCTGATATCACCCAAAGCCGTGGATTCCAGGAGTCCCTGGGAATTCGGTCAGCAGCTCCTAACTGATGAGCTGAACTGAACCTACAGTCAAGACCTGTTCTCCAGATTTAAAGTAAATACGCAAGACTGACCCTTTATGTGTGTGCGATGTGAAACGCTCAAGTCTTGTCATAGTTTTCCCGCAAAATGATAAGGTGCCAATCTTGGGAGAGATCTTGGTGAGCTCTGTGCAGTGAAGAGTTAATTCAGGCCAGGCGCGGTGGCTCACGCCTGTAATCCCAGCACTTTGGGAGTCTGAGCGGGGCAGATCACGAGATCAGGAGATTGAGACCATCCTGGCTAACACGGTGAAACCCCATCTCTACCAAAAATACAAAAAAAAAAAAAAAATTAGCTGGGCGTGGTGGTGGGCGCCTGTAGTCCCAGCTACTCGGGAGGCTGAGGCAGGAGAATGGTGTGAACCCGGGAGGTGGAGCTTGCAGTGAGCCGAGATCCCACCACTGCACTCCAGCCTGGGTGACAGAGCGAGACTCCATCTCAAAAAAAAAAAAAAAAGAGTTAACTCAGGCCAGGCGCGGTGGCTCACTCCTGTAATCCCCAGCACTTTGGGAGGCCGAGGCAGGTGGATCACGAGGTCAGGAATTCAAAACCAGCCTGGCCGAGATAGTGAAACCCTGTCTCTACTAAAAATACAAAAAATTAGCCAGGCATGGTGATAGGCACCTGTAAAATCTCAGCTACTTAGGAGGCTGAGGCAAAAAATTGCTTGAACCTGGGAGGCAGAGGTTGCAGTGAGCTTGGATCACGCCACTGCACTCCAGCCTGGGTGACAGAGTGAGACTCCGTCTCAAAAAAACAAGAAAAAAAAAGGGGGGGGGTTAACTCAGCAGGCCTGTGTTGTCCAAACCCTCCACATTCTAAAGAGAGGATTGGCACTTAATTGGCAACTGTAATCTCTAAGAATGTCCTACCTCACAAGGGTATCTTTGTTCAGCTGGGTCTCTGGGCCACCCAGGATAGTTTGTACTAACAGTGGGATTTACTATAGGATCACCTTGGGAACTCTGGAAGAGGTGAAGATTGGAGTCAGCCATGCAGGGTGTCTGCCATGTCTATGTAACCAGTCTCCAAGAAAATCCTTGGATGTCAGGGATTGCGGAGGCTCTCCAGGCTGGCAGTGAGTGGTGTGTGTTGTCAAACCTTGTTGTTGGGGGAATTGATTGCTGTCCACAGCTCCACTGGGAGAAGACAACAAGAAGCTCACATGTGGTTTCTCCCGAACTCTATCCCATGCTCCTTTCTCCTTCGCTGATATGCATCTGTATTCTTTCATTGTTGTAAATATAACTATGTGTATGATGGCTCTTCTGAGCTCGGTGTGTCCTTCTAGTGAATTATTGAACCTGAAGGTAGTCGTGGAGACCCTGGCCACACCCTTCACTGCAGAAATGATATGACTGGCTGGGTGCGGTGGCTCACGCCTGTAATCCCAGCACTTTGGGAGGCCGAGGCGGGTGGATCTCCTGAGGTCAGGAGTTTGAGACCAGCCTGGTCAACACGGTGAAACCCCATCTCTACTAAAAATACAAAAAGAGGCCGGGTGTGATGGTTCACACCTGTAATCCCAGCACTTTGGGAGGCCAAGGTGGGCGGATCACGCGGTCAGGAGATCGAGACCATCCTGGCTAACACAGTGAAACTCCACCTCTACTAAAAATATAAAAGATTAGCCAGGTGTGGTGGTGGGTGCCTGTAGTCCCAGCTACTTGGGAGGCTGAGGCAGGAGAATGGTGTGAACCCGGGAGGCGGAGCTTGAAGGGAGCCGAGATCTGTCACCACACTCCAGCCCGGGCAAGAGAGTGAGACTCCATCTCAAAAAAAAAAAAAAATTAGCTGGATGTGGTGGCGCATGCCTGTAATCCCAGCTACTTGGGAGGCTGAGGCAGGAGAATTGCTTGAACCCAGGAGGTGGAGGTTGCAGTGAGCCGAGACTGCACCACTGCACTCCAGCCTGGGCGACAAAGCAAGACTCTGTATCAATAATAATAATAATAATTGTAAGAAAACTGTATATCTACACCCAGCTTTCCATCCATCATGAATAACAGACAGTGTTGAGTTGAGGGTGTTTCCGGGAGTGAGAGGAAAACCACATCACATCTTCTTCATTTCCCAGAAACATCCAGTCCCCCTGGAGAAGCCGTGAGACACATCTCTGCTTCCCCACGGACACAAACACACCTTCCTGGAAGTCAATCTGTTCTTCCTCCTGGAATGAGAAGTGCTGCTTTGCCGTCCACACCACTTCTGGGATGTCAAAAACGGTGATCTTACATCCAGGGTACAGAGACATGCATTCCTTAGCCAGAGCTCCAGCCCCACCTGGAAGGGGACACAGCCCGTTTGACCCTCAGAGATGAACCTGAGAGACATCGCTCACCCTCCACACACCATGGACTCATGAAGGGTCCAACCCAGGAACTTGGGTCCTTCCGCCATGTCTGGTCTTTTTTTTCTTTTTATTATACTTTAAGTTCTAGGGTACATGTGCAGAACATGCGGTTTTGTTACATAGGTATCCATGTGCCATGGTGGTTTGCTGCACCCATCGACTCGTCATTTACATTAGGTATTTGTCCTAGTGCTCTCCCTCCCCCAGCCTCCCAGCCCCCCAGGCCCTGACAGGCCCCAGTGTGTGACGTTCCCCTCCCTGTGTCCATGTGGTCTCATTGTTCAGTTCCCACCTATGAGTGAGAACACGCGGTGTTTGGTTTTCTGTCCTTGCGATAGTTTGCTGAGAATGATGGTTTCCAGCTTTATCCATGTCCCTGCAAAGGACATGAACGCATCCTTTTATTTATTAATTTATTTATTTTTGAGACAGAGTCTGGCTCTGTCGCCCAGGCTGGAGTGCAGTGGCACGATTTCCGCTCACTGCAAGCTCTGCCTCCCGGGTTCACGCCATTCTCCTGCCTCAGCCTCCCCAGTAGCTGGGACTACAGGCGCCCGCCACCACGCCCAGCTAATTTTTTTATTGTATTTTTAGTAGAGACAGGGTTTCTCCGTGTTAGCCAGGATGGTCTCGATCTCCTGACCTCGTGATCCGCCCATCTCGGCCTCCCAAAGTGCTGGGATGACAGGCGTGAGCCACCGCGCCCGGCCGAACTCATCCTTTTTTATCCACCATGTCTAATCTTGACGGTGACGTGATTGTCTACAGGCCCCTGAGTTCAGGTGGTCTTTCTGGCTGGGCTGACCCAAGCTCCAAACTTCCATATGGCCACGCACTTAACTGTGTGTTCTTGAAGCCGGCGCACCTGTCCAGCCAAGGGCGGCCAACAGCTAAGAGAAGGATGTAATAACAAGCCCCATTCAGAGGCCCCGGTAAGTCGTGCACACAAAATCCATCATGGGCCACAGAGACTTCCAGCCCCATGCTCCTTGTCCATTATTTCTGTAGAAAGTCAGTCTTTTTATTTATTTTGAGATGGAGTCTCACTCTGTCACCAGGCTGGAGTGCAGTGGCGCGATCTCAGCTCACTGCAACCTTCACTTCCCGGGTACAAGCGATTCTCCTGCCTCAGCCTCCTGAGTACCTGGGATGACAGGCACCTACTGTCATGCCTGGCTAAGTTTTTGTATTTTTAGTAGAGACCGGGTTTCACCCCGTTGGTCAGGCTGGTCTCAAACTCCTGACCTTGGGATCCGCCCGCCTCAGCCTCCCAAAGTGCTGGGATTACAGGCATGAGCCACCGCACCCAGCCTTTTTTTGTATTTTTAGTAGAGACGGGATTTCACCATGTTGACCAGGCTGATCTCGAACTCCTGACCTCAGGAGATCCACCCGCCTCGGCCTCCCAAAGTGCTGGGATTACAGGAGTGAGCCACCGCGCCCGGTCTGCTTGTTCATTATTTTCTTCCCAAGCTGCTCCCCAGGCAGGGGGATCCTGAACTCTATCTATCCCTGCTCACAGTGACTAAAAGTAATAAACTTGGAGAAGCTCCTCACTCTGCAAAGGGCCTTCTACCAGCCAGGAGCTGTTCTGAGTGATCCACTGAGTCACAGGAGGGAGATAGGGTGGGTGGATCACGGCCTGGAGTGTGACAGCCCTATGGGGTAGAGGAGGTGCTTAAGGGGTGAGCTCGGGGTTGGGGATTTGTATTCAAAAAGCAAGCTCAGCCTGGGTGCAGTGGCTCATGCCTGTAATCCCATCACTCACTCTGGGAGGCCGAGGCAGGAGGACTGCATGAAACTGGAGTCTGAGACCAGCCAGGGCAACATAGGGAGACTCGTTCTCTACAAAAAAGTTTGAAAATGAGCTCGGCGCAGTGGCTCATGCCTGCAATCCTGGCACTTTGGGAGGCGGAGGCGGGTGGATCACGAGGTCAGGAGATCGAGACCATCCTGGCTAACACGGAGAAACCCCGTCTCTACTAAAAAAAAAAACAAAAAATTAGCTGGGCGTGGTGGCGGGCGCCTGTAGTCCCAGCTACTCAGGAGGCTGAGGCAGGAGAATGGCGTGAACCCGGGAGGCAGAGCTTGCAGTGAGTGGAGATTGCACCACTGCATTCCAGCCTGGGTGACAGAGCAAGACTCCATCTCAAAAAAAAAAATAAATAAATAAATACAAGTAAATAAATAAATAAATAAATAAATAAAACAAGCTCAGCTCAGCCTGGGTGTGGTGGCGGGCGCCTGTAATCCCAGCACTTTTGGAGGCTGAGGCAGCAGGATTGCATGAGCCCAGGAGTCTGAGACCAGCCAGGGCAACGTAGAGAGACTCAGGCTCTACAGAAAAGTTTTTAAATGAGCTAGGTGTGGCGGCAGTCATCTGTAATCCCAGCTACTTGGGAGGCTGAGGTGGGAGGACCACTTGAGCCTGAGAGTCTGAGGCTGCAGTGAGCTATCAACACACCATTGCACTCGAGCCTGGGTGACAAACAGGACCCTCTCTCAAAAACTAAAAACAAGACCGAGGCGGGTGGATCATGAGGTCAGGAGTTCGAGACCAGCCTGGCCAACATGGCAAAACCCCGTCTCTATTAAAAAATACAAAAATTAGCCTGACAGAGTGGTGCGCACCCATAATCCCACCTACTCGGGAGGCTGGGGCAGGAGAATCGCTTGAACCCAGGAGGCGGAGGTTGCGGTGAGCCGAGATCGTGCCACTGCACTCCAGCCTGGGCGACAGAGCGACACTTCATCTCAAAAAAAAAAAAAAAAAAAAAAATTAGCCTGGTGTGGTGGCAGGTGCCTGTAATCCCAGCTACTCGGGAGGCTGAGGCAGGAGAATCGCTTGAACCCAGGAGGCAAAGGTTGCAGTGAGCCGAGATCATGCCACTGCACTGCAGCCTGGGCGATGGAGCAAGCTTCCATCTTAAAAAAAGAAAAGAAAAAGAAACGTGTGCTCGCAGAGGAGATGTTTGCTGACTCTAGGAAGTGCCCAGTGCTGGGAGGAATGATTCCTCTAAGACCAGTAAGGCCGCACATGTCAAAGCATCAGAATGCAGAAAATAAAAGACATGAATAACACATTCCCCATACAGAACAGAAGCCACACCTCCGAGGTATTAGTGGTGAGGGGTACTTACCACCAAGGTCACACATAAGTGGGAACACTGACAGGTCAAAGGCGGTCAGCACGCTTCTCCCGTTGACGCTCCAGACCTCCTGCAGAGCTTGCATGAACTGTAGCCGCTCGCCCTCGGACCTGGCATGCAAAACCACGCTTGTCAAGATGGTGAGGATCTGGGGACGTGCCCAGAGCAAGGGTGTACATAACCCCCTGTTGAGAACGGAGCTATACCCCACAGGTGCACCTGGAAGGCTTGCATTTGTGAAATGGAACAGGAAGTCATTCGGGATGGGGGAACCATAGGTCAGCCAGCAAAGTGTACCCAGCTCCGGGAAACCTGGAGTTGATTCAGAACGGACGATTGTTCTCTGGATGGGAAGGGATTTCTATCTGAAGAGGAGTTTAGATGTTTTCTAAGAGGAAAGTCAATAATACGTTCCCCCATCCACAGAGCTCAGCCCCAGAGGACAAATCCAGGAAGCGGGTGGGAGGTCCACACATCCTGGGGAAGAGGCTAGAGAAAAGGCAGGAACTAGGAAGGGAGGCAGGTGAGATGGAGCCAAGAAGGATAGGTGGACACAGAGGCGGACAGGGCTCTGGTGTTGGAAGCATTTCCTGCTCCTCCCCCCCCACAGCTCCCTCTCTCCTCCTGTCCTCTCTGCAGAGCCTGCTGTAGGGGTTTGCCTCAGAGTAGCGAGGGCTGAAAAATTGCCTCTTAGGTACCACGGTCACTATTCAGGTGATGGGCACACTAAAAGCCTAGGCTGCAAGGTGCAACATGTAAGCATGGAAGACATGGGTACTTGTGCCCCCTAAACAGATACATATATTCACATACACATACACATGTATACACACATATATATATATATAAAGAAAGGAAAGAAGGAAGAAGGAAGAAAGAAAAAGAAAGAAAGGAGGGAGGGAGGGAAGGAAGGAAGGCAGGCAGAAGGAAAGAGGAAGGAACGAAGGAAGGAAGGAGAAAGAAGGAAAGAAAGAAGGAAAGAAAGAAAGAGAGAGAGAAAGAAAGAGAGAAACGGGGGAAAGGAAAGCAGACCGAGGAGAAGAGAGGAGGAGAAAAGGAGGTGAAATACGGGGCATGAAAACAGAGAAGATGAGAGAAAGAAGACGGGAGAGGAGAAGGAGAGAGGCAGGTGAAGGGAGGGGAAGGGAGGCGAGAGGAAAGGAGAGAGGGAAGAAGAGAGAGGAGACAAGAGAGGGAAGATGGGAGAGAGGAGGGGGAAGATGGAGAGGAAAAGAGAGGAGAGAAGAGAAGAGAAGGAAAAGGAGAGAAAGAGAGGAGGATGGAAGAGGAAAAGAGAGGGAACAGGACAGAAGGAGAAGAGAGGGGAGGGGAGAGCAGGGGAGGAGAGGAGAGGTTGGGGGGCAGGCGAACCACTCAGGCATCCCCTTGTCCTTCATACCCTTCCCTACTCCATGCCTCAGCCAGCTGGAACACTGGACGGGCCCATCAATTCACCTCCATCTGGGAATTCTAGGTAAGAGCTTCGGGCAAAGGCCAAAGCTGTGTCCACATCGCAAAGCAAAGTGAAGAGCTGAGGTCTCACCTGGCCTCACCTTCACCTCTGACCAAATCAAAAACTGGGCCTCTATATTCTTTTCTTTTCTTTTTTGAGATGGAGTTTCACTCTTGTTGCCCAGGCTGGAGTGCAGTGGTGCGATCTCAGATCACCGCAACCTCCGCCTCCCGGGTTCAAGCAGTTCTCCTGCCTCAGCCTCCCGACTAGCTGGGATTACAGGCGTCCGCCACCACGCCCGGCTAATTTTTGTATTTTTAGTAGAGACGGGGTTTCACCCTGTTGGCCAGGCTGGTCTCGAACTCCTGACCTCAGGTGATCCACCTGCCTCGGCCTCCCAAAGTTCTGGGATGACAGGCGTGAGCCACCGCGCCCGGCGCGTGCCTCCATTTTCTACATAAACACTGAGTTTGTGAGTAGTCCTTTCGAAGGAAGGGTCACGTTGCACCTCCTCAGGAATTTGATCAATTTAAACATCAGATGAGCAAAATCTGGGGTAGTAGTGGGGATAGGGGATGTTATTTTAAATTAAATGGCAGCTTCCTCCTGGGTTGTGCCATTTGAGTAAATGGATTGGGTTTCCTAAGTCCTTTAAAAATAAACAGAATCTTATCTGAGTTGTTGGTTTCAAAGTGATGGGTGTTACCTGTAGATGGCCGTAAAAAGCTCTTCAGCGGGAACGCCAAACGTCTCCAGGTACTGGTTCCTTCCTTCTCTAAGAAAAGAGAGAGAAGGCTGATTTTCATTTCATTTCATTTCATTTCATTTCATTTCATTTCATTTCGTTTCATTTCGTTTCATTTCATTTCAGCTCTGTAGCCCAGGCTGGAGTGCAATGGCACGATCTCGGCTCACTGCAACCTCTGCCTTCTGGGTTCACGCCATTCTCCTGCCTCAGCCTCCCGAGTAGCTGGGACTATAGGCGCCCGCCACCACGCCCAGCTAATTTTTGTATTTTTAGTGGAGACAGGTTTCACCATGTTGGTCAGGCTGGTCTCAAACTCGTGACCTCAGGTGATCCACCCGCCTCGGCCTCCCAAAGTGGTGGGGTTACAGGTGTGAGCCACCACACCTGGCCTTATTTTATTTTAGGAGATGGAGTCTCGCTGTGTCGCCCAGGCTGGAGTGCAATGGCACGATCTTGGCTCACTGTAATCTCCGCCTCCCGGGTTCAAGCGATTTTCCTACCTCAGCCTCCCGAGTAGCTGGGATTACAGGCACCTGCCACCGTGCCTGGCTAATTTTTGTACTTTTTAGTACAGATGGGGTTTCATCATGTTGGTCAGGCTGGTCTCGAACTCCTGACCTCAGGTGATCTGCCCGCCTTGGCCTCCCAAAGTGCTGGGATTACAGGCGTGAGCCACCGCACCTGGCCTTATTTTATTTTATGAGACGGAGTCTCGCTGTGTCGCCCAGGCTGGAGTGCAATGGCGCGATCTTGGCTCACTGCAATCTCCACCTCCTCGGTTCAAGCGATTCTCCTGCCTCAACCTCCCGAGTAGCTGGGATGACAGGCACCCGCCACCATGCCTGGCTCATTTTTGTATTTTTTAGTAGAGATGGGGTTTCACTATGTTGGTCAGGCTGGTCTCGAACTCGTGACCTCAGGTGATCCACCCGCCTCGGCCTCTCAAAGTGCTGGGATTACAGGCGTGAGCCACCGCGCCTGGCCAGCTGTTGCTTAATTGTTTAAACCTGAGGACTTAATTGTTACACGTGACCTTTTTCTTCCTTGCCCAAATTCTTATCTAAGGGGCCTAGGGAGTTATGCTCTATAACTATAAAGTCTCGTGAGATGGGTTTTATTTAACCCTATATTACGTGGCTCACTTTCCAACCTGACTCTGGCATAACAACCCATCACAGATAAAGAAGAAAATCAAAGGCTGGGCGTGGTGGCTCACACCTATAATCCTAACACTCTGGGAGGCCAAGACGGGGGCAGATAGCCTGAGCTCAGGAGTTGGAGACCAGCCTCAAAGACAGGGTGAAACCCCGTCTCTACTAAAACACAAACAATCAGCCAGGTGTGGTGGATGCCTATACTCCCAGCTACTGGGGAGGCTGAGGCAGGTGAATCACTTAAACCCAGGAGGCGGAGGTTGCAGTGAGTCGAGATCATACCACTGCACTCCAGCCTGGGCAACAAAACAAAACTCTGTCTCAAAAAAAAAAAAAAAAAAGGAAATAAAAATATTTTAGCCCCAAACATGTTCTCTTTACCATAGCTTGAAATACTCCTGTAAAGCTACCTGTTGTGGAGAAAATCTACGTTCTGGAGAGAATCACCTTCCTTTTCCTTCCTTTTTTCTGATCCAGGAGAGAACCAAGTCAGATAGGAAACAGTAACAGTCTATTCTTTCTGAAGCCTGCTACCTGGAGATTTCATCTACATAATAAGAATTTGGTCTCCACAACCCCCTATGTTAACCCAGACACCCCTATTTTTTTTTTTTTTTTTTTGAGATGGAGTCTCGCTCTGTCGCCCAGGCTGGAGTGCAGTGGTGCGATCTTGGCTCACTGCAACCTCCGCCTCCCGGGTTCACACCATTTTCCTGCCTCAGCCTCTCCGAGTAGCTGGGACTACAGGCGCCCGCCACCACGCCCGGCTAATTTTTTGTATTTTTAATAGAGACGGGGTTTCACCGTGTTAGCCAGGATGGTCTCGATCTCCTGACCTCGTGATCCGCCCGCCTCAGCCTCCCAAAGTGCTGGGATTACCGGCATGGGCTACTGCGTCCGGCCACCCAGACACTCCTTTCTATTGAGTCCAGGTCTTCTCTCTCTCTCTCTCTTTCTTTCCTTCCTTCTCTTTCTTTCTCTTACTTTCCATTATTTCCCTTCTTTCCCTCCCTCCCTCCCTCCCTCCCTCCCTTCCTTCCTTCCTTCTCCCCTCTCTCTCTCTTTCTGTTTCCTTCTTTCTGAGACAGAGTTTTTGCTCTGTTGCCCAGGCTGCAGTGCAGTGGCACAATCAGCTCATTGCAGCCTCTGCCTTCTGGGTTCAAGCAGTTCTCCCACCTTAGCCTCCTGAGTAGCTGGGACTACAGGTGCCTGCCACCATGTAGGCAGGCAGATCACGAGGTCAGGAGATGGAGACCATCCTGGCTAACATGGTGAAACCCCGTCTCTACCAAAAACACAAAAAATTAGTCGGGTGTGGTGGCGGGTTCCTGTAGTCCCAGCTACTTGGGAGGCTGAGGCAGGAGAATGGCGTGAACCCGGGAGGCATAGCTTGCAATGAGCCGAGATGGCGCCACTGCGCTCCACCCTGGGTGACAGAGCAAGACTCCATCTCAAAAAAAAAAAAAAGAAAGAAAAGAAAAGAAAAAACAAAGAAAAAGAAACCTTCCCTTTCACCTCCTCCACTGCCACTTCACCAGCCCCTGGCGGTAGTCCTGAGACTTGGTCACTGCCTGGATGCAGCCCCCACCTCCCAGCATCTGCCTGGGGTCAGCCCCCACCTCCCAGCATCTGCCTGGGTGCAGCGCCCACCTCCCAGCATCTGCCTGGGGTCAGCCCCCACCTCCCAGCATCTGCCTGGGTGCAGCCCCCACCTCCCAGCATCTGCCTGGGTGCAGCCCCCACCTCCCAGCATCTGCCTGGGTGCAGCCCCCACCTCCCAGCATCTGCCTGGGGTCAGCCCCCACCTCCCAGCATCTGCCTGTGGTCAGCCACCACCTCCCAGCATCTGCCTGGGGTCAGCCCCCACCTCCCAGCATCTGCCTGTGGTCAGCCACCACCTCCCAGCATCTGCCTGGGGGCAGCCCCCACCTCCCAGCATCTGCCTGGGTGCAGCCACCACCTCCCAGCATCTGCCTGGGGGCAGCCCCCACCTCCCAGCATCTGCCTGGGTGCAGCCCCCACCTCCCAGCATCTGCCTGGGGTCAGCCCCCACCTCCCAGCATCTGCCTGGGGTCAGCCACCACCTCCCAGCATCTGCCTGGGGGCAGCCCCCACCTCCCAGCATCTGCCTGGGTGCAGCCACCACCTCCCAGCATCTGCCTGGGGGCAGCCCCCACCTCACGGCGTCTGCCAGGTGGCCCCAGCACCGGTAGCTGGTCCTGCCCATGTACTTCAGCATGCTGCATTGTGACGTCGGGCTGACCGTGGTCAGGTAGTCGCTGGACAGCTCTGTGTTTCGATAGAAAGCTGAAACACACACAAAAAAACAGGGAAAAAGCAGTGAGATTCCGAGTTCCTGCCGGCGGACGCTCCCCAGCTCGACAACATCGTGATTTCAACATGATTACAAGCCCATCTCTTCTTTAGAGATGGGGTCTTCCTCTTGCCTTGTACAGCTGGAGCCTTCTGTGGAAGGCGCAAAGGTGACCTGGGGCGGCTAGCACCCCCGTCGGGTTCGGTTTGTACAAATCCCCATCGGGAGTTTGGGTGCAGCAAGTACAAAGGCAGATGAGCCACGAGAGGAAACGTACGTTACATTCCACAGAATGTCTAAAATAACTTATTGAGGCCGGGCGTGGTGGCTCACACCTGTAATCTCAGCGCTTAGGGAGGCCGAGGCGGGTGGATCACCTGAGGTCAGGAGCTCGAGACCGGCCTGGCCAACGTGACGAAATCCTGTCTCTACTAAAAATAAGTGGCCCAGGCTGGTGGATCACCTGAGGTCAGGAGCTCGAGACCAGCCTGGCCAACGTGATGAAATCCTGTCTCTATTAAAAATACGTGGCCCAGGCTGGTCTCGAACTCCTGGGCTCAAGGAATCCCCCAGCCTGGGTCTCACACTCTGGCAGCTTTGACGTCCCCAGGGCAGAGGTCGGTAGCTGCCACAAAAACCACACGACCCCCAAACCTGCAAATACAGATGGAGTCTCGCTCTGTCGCCCAGACTGGAGTGCAGTGGCACGATCTCGGCTCACTGCAACCTCTGCCTCCCGGGTTCATGCCATTCTCCTGCCTCAGCCTCCTGAGTAGCTGGGATGACAGGTGCACGCCACCACACCCGGCTAATTTTTTGTATTTTTTTTAGTAGAGACGGGGTTTCACTGTGTGAGCCAGGATGGAGACTGTTTCACTTTTTACAGAACACGTGGGCTGCAGAGGGTGTCTATGTAAAATGCCTCCTTCAAAACGCCCGTGTCCTCACCTTTTCCTCCCCTCGTCTCCACTTTCAGCAGCTTCAGGGACACACAGATGTCCAGCAGGAGCTCTGTCCCATGGGCGCTGGCCCTCACACCTGCAGCCACTGCCGCCACGTCCAGGGGCCCTGGGGCCTCGGCGAGAAGGTCAAACACGCCCAGCTCGCAGGCGGCGAAGAGAACCTTGGAGCAGGAGCGGAAATAAAAGGTCAGGGCTCAGCCTCCTGGGAACCACAGTCTTAGAAACACCCCATACCATGGCAGGCTAGGGAGGAAAGCATTGTTTTATTTATATTCTTATTCATTTATTTATTTTTTTTTTTGAGACAGAGTCAAATGAGATTGCACCACTATGGAAAACAGTCATATTTATTTATTTATTTTTATTAATTAATTAATTTATTTATTTTGAGTTGAAGTCTCACTGTATCACCCAGGCTGGAGGGCAGTGGTGCGGTCTCGGCTCACTGCAACCTCTGCCTCCCGGCTTCACACCATTCTCCTGCCTCAGCCTCCCGAGTAGCTGGGATTACAGGCCTGTTCCACCATGCCTGTCTAATTTTTGTGTTTTTAGTAAAGATGGGGTTTCACCATGTTGGCCAGGCTGGTCTCGAACTTCTGACCTCGTGATCTGCCAGCCTCGGCCTCCCAAAGTGCTGGGATGACAGGCGTGAGCCATTGCGCCTGGCCCCACCCTGTTTTCCATAGCCGTGCAACCTCATTTAAAAATGTCTCCTGGCTGGGTGCTTTAACTCATACCTATAATCCCTGCGCTTTGGGAGGTGGGTGGATCACCTGAGGTCAGGAGTTTGAGACCAGCCTGGCCAACATGGTGAAACCCCATCTCTACTAAAAATACAAAAATTAGCCGGGCGTGGTGGCTCATGCCTGTAATCCCAACTACTTGGGAGGCTGAGGCAGGAGAATCGCTTGAACCTGCTAAGCGGAGGTTGCAGTGAGCCGAGATCTCACCACTGCACTCCAAGCCTGGGTGACAGAGTAAGACTCTGTCTCAAAAACAGAGACAGAGGACCGGGCGTGGTGGCTCACGCCTGTAATCCCAGCACTTTGGGAGGCCTAGGAGGGTAGATCACTTGAGGTCAGGGGTTCGAGACCAGCCTGGCCAACATGGTGAAACTCCGTCTCTACTAAAAATACAAAAATTAGCCAGGCATGGTGGTGCGCACCTGTATCCCAGCTACTCGGGAGGCTGAGGCAGGAGAATGGCGTAAACCCGGGAGGCAGAGGTTGCAGTGAGCCAAGATCGCATCACTGCACTCCAGCCTGGGCTGGACAGAGTGAGACTCCGTCTCAAAAAAAATAAATAGGCCGGGTGCGGTGGCTCACGCCTGTCATCCCAGCACTTTGGGAGGCCGAGGCAGGTGGAGCAACTGAGGTTGTGAGTTCGTGACCAGCCTGACCAACGTGCAGAAACCCCATCTCTACTAAAAATACAAAATTAGCCTGGTGTGGTGGTGCATGCCTGTAATCCCAGCTACTCGGGAGGCTGAGGCAGGAGAATCACTTGCACCCGGGAGGCAGAGGTTGTGGTGAGCCGAGATCGTGCCATTGCACTCCAGCCTGGGCAACAAGAGCGAAACTCCGTCTCAATAGATAAATAAATAAATACATATAAAAATAAAATAAAGCAGTAATCAGGTAATGCCTTCAAATAATACACAAACTATAAAAAATGAATAAATCAGCCAGGCGTGGTAGCTCACGCCTGTAATCCCAACATTCTGGGAGGCCGAGGTGGGCGGATCACCTGAGGTCAGGAGTTCAGGGCTAACCTGGCCAACATGGTGAAACCCCATCTCTACTAAAAGTATAAAAATTAGCTGGGCATGGTGGTGTGAGCCTGTAGTCCCAGCTACTGGGGAGGGTGAGGCAGGAGAATTGCTTGAATCCTGGAGGTGGAGATTGCAGTGAGCCAAGATCGCGCCACTGCACTCCAGCCTGGGCAACAGAGCGAGACTCCATCTCAAAAAAAAAATAAAACAAGAATAAATCATCCATGCATTTCTTTTCTTGCACACATCGTTTTGGATGGGTGCCAAGGCTCAGGCAACCTTAGTGACAGGAAGTCATAAACAAACCACAGGGAAAGATGGTTTCTTCAGGCCACGTGTCTTCCAGGATACTTACAGTTAGCTTTATTTCAACAGCATGGGGAAAGAAACACAGATTACACCTACCACTATCTTTTTGTTTGTTCTTTTTTTTGAGACGGAGTCTCGCTCTGTCACCCAGGCTGGAGTGCAGCGGTGCAATCTCGGCTCACGGCAACCTACGCCTCCCGCGTTCAAGTGATTCTCTTGCCCCAGCCTCCCGAGTAGCTGTGATTACAGGCACGTGCCACCACACCCGGCTAAATTTTTGTATTTTTTTTTTGGTATCTTTATTTGTTTATTATTATTATCATTATTTTTTTGAGACAGAGTCTCGCTCTGTCGCCAGGCTGGAGTGCAGTGGCACGATCACGCCTCACGGCAACCTCCACCTCCCAGGTTCAAGCCATTCTCCTGCCTCAGCCTCCCGACTAGCTGGGACTACAGGTGCCCGCCACCATGCCAGGCTAATTTTTTTGTATTTTTAGTAGAGGCGGGGTTTCACCATGGTCTCGATCTCCTGACCTCGTGATCTGCCTGCCTCGGTCTCCCAAAGTGTATTAGTTGTTTTTCTTATGAAGGTTGTAGTAAGATATATTCTATTCAAGTGGTATTAGCTTTTTTATTAAACTGTTATCAATTCCTGTTTGGTTAAGGTTGCATTGACTGTTTGTTTCAGTAAGTCTGCATAAAGTTTATTATTCTAAGCTTGTATTAGCTCCTTTTCTATTAAAGCTATATTAGGCCAGGTGCAGTGGCTCACACCTGTCATCCCAGCACTTTGGGAGGCCAAGGCAGGCAGATCACTTGAGGTCAAGAGTTCGACACCAGCCTGGCCAACATAGTGAAACCCCGTCTCTACTAAAAATACAAAAAGTAGGCATGGTGGTGCACGCCTGTAATCCCACCTATTCGGGAGGCTGAGGCAGGAGAATCGCCTGAACCCGGGAGGCGGAGGTTGCAGTGAGCTGAGATCATGCCACTGCCCTCCAGCCTGGGCAACAGAGTGAGACTAGGTCTCAAAAAAAAAAAAAAAAAAAAAAAGCTATATTAATTCTTGTTCTTTAATGTTGTATTAACCTTTTTCTTTTTTATTTATTTATTTATTTATTTATTTTGAGACGGAGTCTGGCTCTGTCACCCAGGCTGGAGTGCAGTGGTGCGATCTCGGCTCACAGCAAGCTCCGCCTCCCGGGTTCAAGGGATTCTCCTGCCTCAGTCTCCCGAGTAGCTGAAACTACAGGCGCCCACCACCACGCCCGGCTAATTTTTAAAATATTTTTAGTAGAGACGGGGTTTCACCGTGTTAGCCAGGATGGTCTCAATCTCCTGACCTCCTGATCCACCTTCCTCGGCCTCCCAAAGTGCTCAGATTACAGGCATGAGCCACCACGCCCGGCCCGTATTAACCTTTTTAAATTAGCGTTCTGTTTTGTTTTATTCATTAAAGTTGTATTCATTCCTTTTGGGGTTGTCTCAATTAATTGTTCTTTTAAGGGCATATATTAAATGTTACCTTCTTATGGCTGAGTTCACCCTTGGTCTATGAAAGGTGCATTAACTGTTTCTGTTAAGGGTACGCTAACTTTGATCTTTTTTTTTTTCTGCTCCCAAAGACTTTTTATTATTATTATTATTATTATTATTATTATTATTATTATACTTTAAGTTCTGGGGTACATGTGCAGAACGTGCAGGTTTGTTGCACAGGTATACATGTGCCATGGTGGTTTGCTGCACCTGTCAACCCGTCACCTACATTAGGTATTTGTCCTAGTGCTCTCCCTCCCCAGCCCCCACTTTTTTTTTTTTTTTTTGAGACAGGGTCCCGCTCTGCCCCCAAGGCTGGAGTGCAGTGGCGTGATCTCGGCTCACTGCAACCTCCACCTCCCGGGTTCACGCCATTCTCGTGCCTCAGCCTCCCAAGTAGCTGGTACTACAGGTGCCCGCCACCACGCCCAGGTAATTTTTGTATTTTTAGTAGAGATGGGATTTCACCATATTGGCCAGGCTGGTCTCGAACTCCTGACCTTGTGATCCGCCCGCCTCGGCCTCCCAAAGTGCTGGGATTACAGGCGTGAGCCACTGTGCCTGGCCAAGGGTATACTAAATGTTATCTTCTTAAGGCGATATTCACTCTTGGTCTATGAAAGCTGCATTAGCTAATTGTTTCTGTTAAGGGTGTACTAAGTTTGATCCTCTTAAGGTGGTATTAACTCTGCATTAACTCTGGTTCTGTGAAACTTCTGACAACTCCCATGACATGGTATCATGTGCCTTAAAGTGACTGCTCTTCCAAGATTTAGAACCCACCAGACCACCTCCCTGAACACCGCTGTGAACCAGCGACAGTCTTTGAATGAGCAGTCAATAGCCCCAGCAGGAGGCCTGCGGTCAAAGGAGGCAAAGGTAGCAAGTTACTGTTGTCTGGGACAGTAACAGAAATCCCACCTTTACTAAAAAATAGAAAAATTAGCCAGACATGTTGGCTCATGCCTATAATCCTAGCACTTTGGGAGGCTGAGGCAGGCAGATCACCCGAGGTCAGGAGTTCGAGACCAGCCTGGACAACATGATGAAACCCCGTCTCTACCAAAAATACAAAAAATTAGCTGGATGTCAGTGGCTCACGCCCGTCATCCTAGCACTTTGGGAGGCTGAGGCAGGCAGATTGCCCAAGGTCAGGAGTTCAAGACCAGCCTGGCCAACATGATGAAACCTCATCTCTACCAAAACTACAAAAAATTAGCCAGAGGCAGTAGCTCACACCTGTAATCCTAGCACTTTGGAAGGCCGAGGCAGGCAGATCGCCCGAGGTCAGGAGTTCGACACCAGCCTGGCCAACATGATGAAACCCCGTCTCTGCCAAAAATACAAAAATTAGCCGGGCGTGGTGGTGGACGCCTGAAATCCCAGCTACTCAGGAGGCTAAGGCAGGGGAATTGCTTGAACCTGGGAGGGAGAGGTTGCAGTGAGCTGAGATCATGCCACTGCACTCCAGCCTGGGCAACAACAGTGAAACTCCATATCAGAAAAATAAATAAAAATAAAAATAAAAATAAAAGTTAGCCAGGCTTGGTGGCAGGCACCTGTAATCCCAGGTACTCAGGAGGCTGAGGCAGGAGAATCGCTTGAACCCCGTAGGCGGAGGCCGCTCTGCGTATCAGTGGCTGGGGAATAGGTATTTTTAACCCTTGGGGGCCTAGAGGTAAAATTCACGGGCTCTACAAACCAGGAAGGAGAAGAGACTTCACTCTAATTTTCACTACCTCTTCCTAAGATGTGGTGTTCCCTTCAACCATGAGCGTACTGGCAAACCACAGCCATGATAGAAGAAAGTGTGGGGGCCAGGAGGATCACCTGAGGTTGGGAGTTCGAGACCAGCCTGACCAACATAGAGAAACCCCATCTCTACTAAAAATACAAAATTATCTGGGCGTGTTGGAACGCGCCTGTACTCCCAGCTACTCGGGAGGCTGAGGCAGGAGAATCGCTTGAACCCGGGAGGCAGAGGTTGCAGTGAGCCGAGATAGCGCCACTGCGCTCCAGCCTGGGCGACAAGAGGGAAACTCTGTCTGAAAAAAAAAAAGGAAAAAAACAAACAAAAAAAACCGGTGGCTTGCTGACGGAGAGAAACCACAGATATTTTCAAGTCACACGAGAGCTGCTGCAGACATCTCAAAATATCGTCAGCACACGACCCCCTTTCACGATGATGCTGGTTTTTGGTTTTTGTTCTGAGACAGAGTCTCACTGCGACACCCAGGCTGGAGTGCAGTGGCATAATCTCGGCTCACTGCAACCTCTACCTCCTCCGGGTTCAAGCAATTCTCCTGCCTCAGCCTCCCGAGTAAATGGGATGACAGGTGCCCACCATCATGCCTGGCTAATTTTTATACTTCTAGTAGAGACGGGGTTTCACCATGTTGGCCAGGCTGGTCTTGAACTCCTGACCTCAAGTGATCCGCCCACCTTGGACCCCAAAAAGTGCTGGGATGACAGGCATGAGCCACCGCGCCCTGCCGTTTATTTTTTAAAGAGACTCAGTATTGCTCTGTCATCCAGGCTGGAGTGCAGTGGTGCAATCATAGCTCACTGCAGCCTTCATCTCCTAGGCTTAAGCGATCCTCCCGCCTCAGCCTCCTGAGTAGCTGGGACTACAGGTGTGCACCACCCCACCTGGCTAATTTTTAAAATATTTTTGGCCAGGCACAGTGGCTCACGCCTGTAATCCCAGCACTTTGGGAGGCCGAGGCGGGCGGATCATGAGGTCAGGAGATCGAGACCATCCTGGCTAACACGGTGAAACCCCGTCTCTACTAAAAATACAAAAAATTAGCCGGGCGTGGTGGCGGGTGCCTGTAATCCCAGCTACTCGGGAGGCTGAGGCAGGAGAATGGCGTGAACCTGGGAGGTGGAGCTTGCAGTGAGCCGAGATCGTGCCATTGCACTCCAGCCTGGGCGACAGAGCGAGACTCTGTCTCAAAAAGAAAAAAGAATTTGTAGAAATGGGGGGTCTCACTATGTTGCCCAGACTGGTCTCGAATTCCTGGGCTAAAGCGATTCCCTCGTTTCGGACCCCCAAACCGTTGGGATGACAGGTGTCACCGCTGAGCCCGGCCATCATTAACCCTTTTCAAGCATAATTCAGGGGCACTTAGTACATTCGTGATGTTGTATAGCCAGCACTTCCGCCGGGTTCCAGAACATTTGCATCACCCCAAAAAGGGACACTGTCTCCGTTAAACACTCCCTCCGCAGTCCTGCCCAGCCTCTGCAAACCACCAGTCCACTTTCCACCTCGAAGGATTTGCCTGCTCTGCACATTTCATATAAATGAAGTCATACCATATGGGGCCTTTCACGTCAGCCTTCCTTCACTGAGCACGATGTTATTCTGTGAGAAGAAGAAATGAGGCCTTGGGAGGCCGAGGCAGGTGAATCACTTGAGGTCAGGAGTTCGAGACCAGCCTGGCCAACATGGTGAAACCCCATCTCTACTAAAAATACAAAAATTAGCCGGGCGTGGTGGTGGGTGCCTGTAATCCCAGATACTCGGGAGGCTGAAGCAGGAGAATAGCCTGAACCCTGGAGGCGGAGGTTGCAGTGAGCCAAGACCGTGCCACTGCACTCCAGCCTGGGTTACAGAGTGAGACTCCAGCTCAAAAAAATAAAAAAAAGGAATGAGGTGTTGCTCCTCTACGGGTGAACCCTCAAAACTCACCTCTATGATAAACGCACAGTGTAATTATTTACTGGGTTAATAAACAACCACATATACTACTCTATCATGAAATGTTTTAAAAATTTCAACACTTGCAGTTCAATAAACATTGTCTTGTTTCTAATCCTATGTATTTCATCTTAAGCTTTGTTTCTTTTTTTTTGTTGTTTGTTTGGTTTTTTTTTGACACAGAGTCTTGCTGTGTCCCCCAGGCGGGAGTGCAGTGGTGCGATCTCGGCTCACTGCAACCTCCGCCTCCCAGGTTCAAGCGATTCTCCTGCCTCAGCCTCCCAAGTAGCTGGGATTATAGGCATGTACCACCAAGCCTGGCTAATTTTGTATTTTTAGTAGAGATGGGGTTTCTCTGTGTGGGTCAGGCTGGTCTCGAACTCCCGACCTCAGGTGATCCGCCCGCCTCAGCCTCCCAAAGTGCTGGGATCACAGGTGTGAGCCACCACGACTGGCCCAATGTACTTACATACATTGATTGATGACTCATGTCTCTGTAAAATGTATCAAACCAAGCTGTCCCCAGACCACCCTGGGCACATGTCCTCAGGAACTCCTGAGGCTACATCGTGGGTGTACGTCTTTCACGGTGGAAAATAAACCTCCTAAAATGATGGAGACTCATCATTTTTCTCGACTGACACAACAATGGAACGTGAGTGTGATGAACGGAAGTCTATTCCCCCTTGTCCCACAGAGCGTATCCTACCTGGGACACCATGAAGCCGTTGGCGTAGTCATTAAGGAGGCGATAGGCCTGGTCCTCTGAGGATCCCATCTTGTCTCCAATCCAGCCGTGGCTTCCGGAGCCTCTGGAGCGCTTGCTTCAAGGAGCACAGAGCCTGCTGGCAAGGTGGGGAAGAGCCACCCGCTCACAGCTGCTGCCTGACTCTCCCTGCTGCCTGCCCAGTACTCAAACAAAGACGGATCACTCTAGAAATTTGCATTAACCGTATTAGGGGATCACAAAGCGTGTGGCGATTCCCTGGCTTTCTGGGCGCCCCTCCGCAGCCCTAAAATAGTCTGCATCAGGCCCCCCCGAGCCCTTGACTCATCAGCTGTAGAACTGATCCCAAACCAATATGCTCACCCATCATTAGCACTCATTAATCGTCTTATGGATTGAGCAGGTCCTGCATTCATTTCTGGGGGTCGTGCGAATTTCTGCAAACTGGGTGGCTCAAGAAACCAGTTCTCTCACACTTCTGGAGGCTGGAAGTTCAACATCAAGATGCCAGCAGGCCAGCCTGGGCAACATAGTGAGACCCCTTTTTTTTTTTTTTAGATGGAGTCTCGCTCTGTCGTCAGGCTGGAGTGCGGTGGCACCATCTCAGCTCACTGCAACCTCTGCCTCCTGGGTTCAAGCGATTCTCCTGCCTCAGCCTCTCGAGTGGCTGGGACTATAGGCACACACCACCACACCTGGCTAATTTTTGTATTTGTAGTAGAGACAGGGTTTCACCATGTTGGCCAGGCTGGTCTCCAACTCCTGACCTAAGGTGATCCACCCACCTCGGCCTCCCAAAGTGCTGGGAAGACAGGCATGAGCCAATGTGCCTGACTAATTTTTTAATTCTTTGTAGAGATCGGGGTGGGGGGGGGGTGTCTCACTATGTTGCCCAGGCTGGTCTTGAACTCCTGACTTCAAGAGATCCTCCCACTTCAGCCTAGATATCTTGCAACGTTTATTTGGACAATCTAAATGCCTGCACATAATTAAAATGTGACCGTGCCAGGGCTGGGCGTGGTAGCCTGTCATCCCAGCACTTTGGGAGGCCGGGGCAGGCGGATCACAAGGTCAGGAGATCGAGACCATCCTGGCTAACACAGTGAAACCCAGTCTCTACTAAAAATACAAAAAATTAGCTGGGCGTGGTGGCGGGTGCCTGTAGTCCCAGCTACTTGGGAGGCTGAGGCAAGAGAATGGGTGTGAACCCGGGAGGCTGAGGTTGCAGTGAGCCAAGATCGCGCCACTGCACTCCAGCCTGGGCGACAGAGCGAGAATCTGTCTCAAAAAAAAAAAAAAGTGACCGTGCCAGGTCTCTACCCCATTTCTGAGGATGCATGTCTCGCCGCAACCTCTGCCTCCCAGGTTCAAGTGATTCTTCTGTCTCAGGCTCCCAGTAGTTGAGATTACAGGCACCCACCACCACGCCCGGCTAATTTTGTATTTTTAGTAGATACGGGGTTTCTCCATGTTGGTCAGGCTGGTGTTGAACTCCTGATCTCAGCTGATCCGCCTACCTCGGCCTCCCAAATTGCTGGGATGACAGGCGTAAGCCACCACTCCCAGCCTCCAGAGTGATTTTCTAGGGGAAAAATATAAACACAGCCTGTCATCCCAGCAATGTGGGGCAGATCACATGAGGTCAGGAGATCGAGACCAGCCTGGCTAACACGGTGTAACCCCGACTCTACTAAAAATATAAAAATTAGCCAGGTAAGGTGGCTCATGTCTGTAATCCCAGCACTTTGGGAGGCTGAGGTGCGAGGATCACTTGAGGTCAGGAGTTCAAGATCAGCCTGGTCAACATGGTGAAACCCCGTCTCTACTAAAAATACAAAAATTAGCCGGGCATGGTGGCAGGTGCCTGTCATCCCAGCTACTTGGGAGGCTGAGGCAGGAGAATCACTTGAACCTGGAAGGGAGAGATTGCAGTGAGCCGAGATTGGGCCATTGCACTCCAGCCTGGGCAACACAGTGAGGTCTGTATCAAAAAGAAAGAAAGAAAGAGAGAAACAGAGAGAGAGAAAGAGGAGAGGAGAGAGAGAGAGAGAGAAAGAAAGAAAGAAAGAAAGAAGAGAAAAGAAAGAAGAGAGAGAGACAGAAATGGAAAGAAAGAAAGGAAAGAAAGAGAGAGAGAGATACAGAAAGAAAGAAAGAAGGAAGGGAGGGAGGAAGGAAGGAAGAAAAAGAAGGAAAGAAAGAAAGAAAAAGAAAGGAAGAAAGAAAGGAAGGAAGAAAAAGAAAAGAAGGAAGAAAGAAGGAAAGAAAGAAAGAAGGAAAGCAAGAAAGAAAAAGAAATCCTTGAAGTTCAGAGCGATGAAGGGTCCTTGGGGACACCTTACCTGGAGACAGAAGGGGCTGGCCCCCAATCATATTTGCTTAATGGAATCCCAAAGCTACTGTCAGGAGACCAAATCTCTGCCTGCTGTGGGGATTTCTCAGGGATCTGAGTTAAGGCGATTACCTTAGGAATTGAGAAGGGCAGGAACACGGTTACTAGAGAGTGGAGTCTTACAAAGGACATGAACGGACACTTTTTCTTTTTTCTTCTTTTTCCTTTTGAGACAGAGTCTCGCTTTGTCACCAGGCTGGAGTGCAGTGGTGTAATCTTGGCTCACTGTAACCTCCACCTTCCAGGTTCAAGCGATTCTTCTGCCTCAGCCTCCCGAGTAGCTGGGATTACAAGCACCTGCCACCATACCTGGCTAATTTTTGTATTTTTCGTAGAGACAGGGTTTCACTATATTGGCCAGGATGATCTCGAACTCCTGACCTCAGGTGATCCGTCTGCCTCAGCCTCCCAAAGTGCTGGGATAATAGGCATGAGCCACTGAACCCAGCCAACAGGCACTTTTCCAAAGATGACACACACGTGGCCAACAAGCATATTGTATTAGTCCGTTTTCATGCTGCTGATAAAGACATATCTGAGACTGCGTAATTTTGGGTAATTTTTTTTTTTTTTGAGATGGAATCTCGCTCTGTCACCAGGCTGGAGTGCAGTGGCACGATCTCAGCTCACTGCAAGCTCCGCTTCCCGGGTTCAAGAGATTCTCCTGCCTCAGCCTCCCCAGTAGCTGGGACTACAGGCGCCCACCACCACACCTGGCTAATTTTTTGTAATTTTAGTAGAGACGGGGTTTCACCGTGTTAGCCAGGATGGTCTCGATCTCTTGACCTCGTGATCCGCCCGCCTCGGCCTCCCAAAGTGCTGGGATGACAGGCGTGAGCCACCGCGCCCGGCCAACAGACACTTCTCCAAAAAAAGACACACACGTGACTGACAAGCATATTAGTCCATTTTCATGCTGCTGATAAGACATACCTGAGACTGGGTAATTTTGGGTAATTTTTTTTTTTTTTTTTTGAGATGGAGTCTCGCTCTGTCACCAGGCTGGAGTGCAGTGGCTCGATCTCAGCTCACTGCAAGCTCCGCCTCCCGGGTTCGTGTCATTCTCCTGCCTCAGCCTCCAGAGTAGCTGGAACTACAGGCACCAGCCACCACAGCCAGCTAATTTTTTGTATTTTCAGTAGAGACAGGGTTTCACCGTGTTAGCCAGGATGGTCTCGATCTCTTGACCTCGTGATCCACCCGCCTCGGCCTCCCAAAGTGCTGGGATGACAGGAGTGAGCCACCGCGCCCGGCCAACAGACACTTCTCAAAAAGAAGACACACGCGTGGCTGACAAGCATATTGTATTAGTCCATTTTCATGTTGCTGATAAATACATATCACACTCATGGCAGGAAAGCCAAGGAGAAGCAAAGGCATGTCTTACCTGGTGACAGGCCAGAGGGCGTGTGCAACAGGGGACCTCCCATTTATAAAACCATCAGATCTGGGCCAGGTGTGGTGGCTCACATGTGTCATCTGGGCAGTTTGGGAGGCGAAGACAGCTGGATCATTTGAGGTCAGCAGTTTGAGACCAGCCTACCAACATGGTGAAACCCCATCTCTTCTACAAATACAAAAAATTAGCTGGGCGTGGCAGTGCATGCCTGTTATCCTAGCAACTTGGGAGGCTGAGGCAGGAGAATCGCTTGAACCCGGGAGGTGGCGGTTGCAGTGAGCCGAGATCGCGCCGCTGCACTCCAGCCTGGGCGACAGAAGGAGACTCCATCTCAAAACAAAGAAAAAAAAAGATGAAGATGTTAGAAGGTGATTTGGGGGTGTGGACAGAAGGGGAGGGGAGGGAGAGCTGGATTTTGGGGTGAAGGTGGTTTTGGAAGTCTTTGAAATCCGAGGCAGGAGGGACCGGGTGGGTGCTCCCAGGAAAGACCGTCTCTGCCAGAGGGAACAGCAGGTGCGGAGGCCGTGGGGTAGCGGCAGTGCGTCCGGGCTGTTCAAAGAAGAGACAACAACCCTGCATGGGTGGAGCATCTGGAAAGACAGAGGGAGAGGAGGGGAGGGGGCCGATGGACAGGAGACAGGGTGGCTTTAAAAGCCCTCAGGGACATTGCACGGAACCCCTCACCACCTTGAGACAGCGTCTGGCAGGACGGTTTCAGGAGAGGCCTGCATGGTCTGGACACAGTCAGAAGCTGCCATTTTGGGGATGGGATGTTTGGGACACAGAGTTGGCCGGAAAGCCCAGGAGCTTTTGTATAACTTGGGTGAGTGGGACGGGCTGAAGTTTTGGCTGGAGTAGGGTCAGGGGTGGCCTGGAGTCTTAGCTGGAGTAGGGGCAGGGGAGGCCTGGAGGTTTGGCTGGAGCAGGGTCAGAGGCGGCCTGGAGGCTTGGCTGGAGTCGGGGTGGGGAGAGAGGCCATTTATTTTACTATCTCCTGTCTCTGAAGAGAAGGAGGAAGTAAAAGTTGAAAAACAACAGGAATGAAGTCAGTGGCAAGACCAGCCGGCACCCCTGACCAGGCCTGAGGTTAAAACATTAACCCCCGACTCTAACCACACGTGCTCTCAATCTATCAGAACCCTTTCACGTGGAACCCCTTAGAGTTGTAAGCCTTTCAAAGGGCCAGGAGCTCTGTCTTCGGAGAGCCCGGTTCTCGAGACGTGAGTCCGCCAACGCTTCCGGCCGAATAAAGCCAAAACCTTCCTAAACCTGGTGTCTGAGGGGTTTTATCCGCGGCTAGTCCTGCTACAGGGGCAGGAGTGGCCTGGAGGTTTGGCTGGAGTAGGAACGGGGGCGACCTGGACGCTTGGCTGGAACAGGGGCAGGGGCGGCCTGGAGGGTTGGCTGGAGCAGGGGCGGGGCGGCCTGGAGCTTTGGCTGGAGCAGGGGACAGGGGTGGCCTGGAGGCTTGGCTGGAGGAGGAGCAGGGGCGGCCTGGAGGCTTGGTTTGAGTAGGGGACAGCGGCGGCCTGGAGGTTTGGCTGCAGTAGGGACAGGGGTGGCCTGGAGGCTTGGCTGGAGTAAAGGAAGGACTGGCCTGGAGGCTTGGCTGGAGTAGGTGACAGGGCCTCCTGGAGGCTTGGGTGGAGTAGGGGACAGGGGTGGCCTGGAGCTTTGGCTGGAGTAGGGGCAGGGGCGGCCTGGAGCTTTGGCTGGAGTAGGGGACACGGGCAGCCTGGAGGCTTGGCTGGAGTAGAGGACAGGGGCGGCCTGGAGGCTTGGCTGGAGTAGAGGACAGGGGCGGTCTGGAGGCTTGGTTTGAGTAGGGGACAGGGGCGGCCTGGAGATTTGGCTGCAGTAGGAACAGGGGTGGCCTGGAGGCTTGGGTGGAGTAGGGGAAGGGCTGTACTGGAGGCTCAGGCACCTGAAGCTTCCTACAGGCCTCGGAGTCTCACCGCGGCAGCGGCAGCAGGAGAGGAGGGGCCCGAGAGAGATTGAGAAGAGCCTGGGACCCTACCGACCAGCGTGGTGTCCCCATGTCCCCAGAATGCAGAAGACCCAGGGCTGGGGTTTGGCGGGGATGTGTGGAGTCTGAGATGCCTGTGGGGTGACTGGCCCTGGATGGTCCAGTGTGCAGGTCCTGCCCTGGGGCAACTGTAAACAGCCGCCCCCTCCGTTCTCCCAGGGGAACATACTGTTGCTTTTTTTTTTTTTTTTTGAGACGGAGTCTCGCTCTGTCACCCAGGCTGGAGTGCAGTGGCGTGATCTTGGCTCACTGCAAGCTCCGCCTCCCGGGTTCACGCCATTCTCCTGCCTCAGCCTCCCCAGTAGCTGGGACTACAGGCACCTGCCACCACACTCGGCTAATTTTGTTTTTGTATTTTTAGTAGAGACGGCATTTCACCGTGTTAGCCAGGATGGTCTCGATCTCCTGACTTCGTGATCCGCCCAACTCGGAGTCCCAAAGTGCTGGGATTACAGGCGTGAGCCACCGCGCTCAGCCCCTGGAGTAGGGACAGGGGTGACCTGGAGGCTTGGCTGGAGTAGGGGCAGGGGTGACCTGGAGGCTTGGCTGGAGTAGGGTCAGGGGTGGCCTGGAGTCTTAGCTGGAGTAGGCGCAGGGGTGGCCTGGAGAGGTAAAGCCTGTTGCCTTTACCTCCCAATGACCCTGGCACAGATGGGCTTCCGGACTGAGTGCCTCGGTGGTCTCTGGCAGCCTGGACAGCCTGGACAAGAGTCATTTGCTGCAGAGAGGGGACGGGACGGAGTGATGGGAAAAGTTTTTCACCAGGAGCAGAGGCATGAGCTGAGTGAGGTGGGGTGCAGGGAAAAGCCCCTGCCATCTGGGACGGAGGCGGCAGCCCCTGTGCAGGCCGATCCAGTGGCCGGGTGCAAACTCGGGAGGTTTGCTGGGGCAGCGTACAGCGGGGAGGGTAGGGGGTCGAGCTCCCGCTCTGAGTCAGGCTGTGCAGGAGAGCAAGGCGGGAGACACAGGATGCCCCAGCTCCTGGGCAGGTGGACGGGGCTTGAGGACGCCACCAGGAGGGTGTGCGTGTCCTCCACCAGGTGGGAAGGAGGATGAGCTAGTGAGGAGGGGCAGGTGCCCAGGAAGGAGGCATGGGAGGAGGTCCCAGACGGGATGCCTGGGTGATGCAGCTCCGCTCACCCCTGCCCGAGCTGGCCGGTCCGGCCGCAGCTTCAGCATCCCCTGGGAAGCCGCTGTTGGAGATGCTGGAGGCCTGCGGGGCGGGCCAGGGCAACACATCACCACCTGGACATCCATGGCTACGGCTGAGGGCTGGGACCTCTCCTATACCCCCCATGCATGCATGTTTTTCTATACTCTTTATTGTTTTACTTTTTTTGAGATGGAGTCTCGCTCTGTCGCCCAGGCTGGAGTGCAGTGGCGCAATCGCCTCTCACTGCAAGCTCCGCCTCCCGGGTTCACACCGTTCTCCTGCCTCAGCCTCCGGAGTAGCTGGGACCACAGGCGCCCGTCACCACGCCCGGCTAGTTTTTTTTGTATTTTTAGTAGAGACGGGGTTTCACCGTGTTAGCCAGGATGGTCTCGATCTCCTGACCTCGTGATCCGCCCGCCTGGGCCTCCCGAAGTGCTGGGATTACAGGCGTGAGCCACCGCGCCCGGTCTGTTTTTCTTTTTAGAGACAGAGGGTCTCTCTTTTAGAGATGGGGTCTCACTCTGTCGCTCAGGCTGGAGTGCAGGGGCACCATCATTTCTCCCTGCAGCCTTGAACTCCTGGGGTCAAGCGATCCTCCTGCCTCAGCCTCCCGAGTAGCTGGGGCCACAGGCACCCACCACCACGCCCAGCTACTTTAAAAACTTTAAAGTTTCTGTATGTTTGCTAGAGACAAGCTCTCACCATGTTGCCCAGGCTGGTCTCGAATGCCTGGGCTCAGTCAATCCTCCTGCCTCAGCCTCCTGAGTAGCTGGGACTACAGGTGCCTGCCACCAAGCCTGATTAATTATCTTTGTAGAGATGGGGTCTTGCTATGTTGCCCAGGCTGTTCTCAAACTCCTGGGCTCAAGCTATCCTCCTGCCTCGGCCTCCCAGAGTGCTGGGATTACAGGCATGAGCCAACCTACGCATTTGTAATATTATCTAAAATTTTTCAAAAATGCAGATGGTGCCATTTTAGACATAGAATATGTAATTTTTCAAAAACTCTTTGCTTCATCCCGAAGGCTGCGGCCTATGGAATTTGAACATGATCACAATCTGGTAACCGTATTCACCCATTTTAACAATACAGGTGAACAAATTAACAGCAGTTCATGTCATATTGGCACTTTTGAAATACATTTTATTTATTTATTTATTTATTTGAGATGGAATCTCACTCTGTCATCCAGGCTGGTGTGCAGTGGGGTGATCTCGGCTCACTGCAACCTCCGCCTCCCGGGTTCAAGCGATTCTCCTGCCTCAGCCTCCCGAGTAGCTGGGACTACAGGCACGCACCTCCATGTCCAGGTAATTTTTGTATTTTTAGTAGAGATGGGGTTTCACCGTGTTGGCTGGGCTGGTCTGGAACTCCTGACCTCGGGTGATCTGCCTGCCTCAGCCTCCCAGAGTGCTGGGATGACAGGCGTCAGCCACTGCACCTGGCCCATTTTTTTTTTTTTTACCTTGATGTATTATTATAGATTTAGGGCATAGAAGTGCAGTTTCGTTACCCTGGAGGCCGTTACTTTAATTGAAATCACAGAGACACAGAAAGTCAAACGCAGCGTGTTCTCACTTCTGAGTGGGAGCTGAGTAATGTGTTCACGTGAGCACAGAGAGTGGAATCGTAGACACAGCGCTGCTTTATTCACACGTACCCGTATCCCCATCCTCCTTCCCTCTGGAATTCCAAGCTGCACTTTTGAACTTGAAAGTTTACCTGGTGAGGCTGGGTGCGGTGGTTGATGCCTATATTCCCAGCACTTTGGGAGGCAGGTGGATCACCTGAGGTCAGGAGCTTGAGACCAGCCTGGTCAACCTGGTGAAACCCCATCTCTACTAAAAATTAAAAAAAAAAAAAATAGCCAGGTGTGGTGGCAGACACCTGTAATCCCAGCTACTTGGGAGGCTGAGGCAGGAGAATCACTTGAACCCGGGAGGCGGAGGTTGTGGAGAGCCGAGATTGTGCCACTGCACTCCAGCCTGGGCGACGGAGCGAGACTGTCTTGAAAAAAAACAAAAAAACGGAAGGAGCCGAGGATGGTCACCGTGACACAGGCCATACTCAACAGGGAAGTTTGATTTTTTTGGCTGAAAGAGATCCTGAGATCCCAACTGAAGACACGAGGCAAATCGGTTCAGAACTAAGTGTCATAAAAGGGTATGAACGAGAGAATCACACTTTCTCACTCGTATTTTGCAATAAATCCATTCGTTTTCTGTTCTGCCACATGGAAGTGAAATTCCTTGTGGATTTTTATTTTTTATTTTTTATTTTTTGTGAGACAGAGTTTCACTCTTGTCGCCCAAGCTGGAGTGCAATGGTGCGATCTCAGCTCACCGCAATCTCCGCCCCCCAGGTTCAAGTAATTCTCCTGCCTCAGCCTGCTGAGTAGCTGCGACTATAGGCATGTGACAACACGCCTGGCTAATTTTTGTATTTTTAGTAGAGACAGGGTTTCTCCATGTTGGTCAGGCTGGTCTTGAACTTCTGACCTCAGGAGATCCACCAGCCTCGACCTCCCGACGTGCTGGGATTACAGGGATGAGCCACTGCACCCGGCCTATTGTGGATATTTTAAGTGGATAATAATCCCAATCACTAGAAAGGGACTGAACACAAAGTGCCCTAAATCACAAGACCGAGAGAGACAAAGAGAGACTAAAATAGAGATAGGGAGAGAGGGCAAGCAGAGGGGAAGCTGGGCGAGAGGAGAGAAGGAAGGATTAAGAGAGGAGGAGAGACAGGCCGGGAGCGGTGGCTCACGCCTATAATCCCAGCATTTTGGGAGGCCAAGACAGGTGGATCACGAGGTCAGGAGTTCAAGACCAGCCTGGCCAAGATGGTGAAACCTCGTCTCTACCAAAAATACAAAAAATTAGCCGGGCATGGCAGCAGGTGCCTGTAATCCCAGCTACTTGGGAGGCTGAGGCAGAGAATTGCTTGAACCCAGGAGGCGGAGGTTGCACTGGGCCGAGATCGCGCCACTGCACTCCAGCCTGGGCAACGGTGAGATTCCATCTCAAAAAAAAAAAAAAGAAAGAAAAAAAAGAAAGGAGGAGAGACAGAGACAAAAACAGAGATCAGAAGAGAGTACAAGCAGAGGGGAAGCTGGGCGAGAGAAGAGACAGCAGGGAAAAACAGGGGAGAGACTGACAGGGGTTGAGAGAGGGAGGAGGGCAGGGCACGCACACACCAATCTCCTATGCTCCCCCCAGAAATCTGTGGGGCAACATTCCTCGGGTCGAATGCTTCCATTTCTTCCTTCCAGGCTCAAGTGTAAAGACAAAATCTAATCAGTAACAGCGTTGCTTCAATTAATCTCCATTCTCACCTATCAGCCGCTACTTACTGCTACTGACCCCTACAGCAAAGAAGAGAAATTTCAGCCGGGCGCGGTGGCTCACGCCTGTAATCCCAGCACTTTGAGAGGCCGAGGCTGGTGGATCTCCTGAGGTCAGGAGTTCAAGACCAGCCTGGCCAACATGAAGAAACCCTGCCTCTACTTAAAAATTCAAAAATTTTAGAATTTTTGAATTCGTCTCAAAAAATAAAAGAGAAATAGGAAAGAGGGAAGGAAGGAAAGGAAAAAAGAAAGAGAAAAGGAAAGAAAAGGAAAAGAAAGGGAGGGAGGGAAGGAAGGAAGGAGAGAGAGAGAGAGCACGAGCGATAGACAAAAGAGAAAACAGAGAAAAGGAGTTCAGATTCCTAAATCTCTTCCATAGATACCCAATTCTATAGGCCTGGGGGTGGTGCTCTCCAGCTTTCCTAGACTGCCCACATCTAACATATCACAAGGCAACACGCATTCAATTTCTGCCACCTTCTCTCCCATCAACCCCTAGCCCAGTCCACCAGCACTTCAAGCCGCCACACTCATCACACTCCCAGCTTACAGCCCCTCTTGCTTCTCGTCCCAAAAGTCTGGAGTGGGTCAGCCTCATGAGTGCGATCAGCTCCATGTCCACCTTTCCTGCTTCTCTTCTGCCTACTCCTTCCCCCGGCCACATGCACTTCTTGACCTCAGACACACCACGTCCACCCTTCTGTCTTGCGCACACAGCTCTCTCGAGAAGCTATCACTGGGACTTCTCATCCCTGTATCTACACATTCCTCAGCGTTGCAGGGAGTGCTGTCTTTTCCAGCACCATATCCCAGGTGCCCAGAGCAACACCTGGTCCTAGCAACGTTGTTTGTTTGTTTGTTTGTTTTTGAGATGGAGTCTCGCTCTGTCGCCCAGGCTGGAGTGCAGTGGCGTGATCTCGGCTCACTGCAACCTCTGCCCCCCAGATTCAAGCGATTCTCCTACCTCAGCCTCCCGAGTAGCTGGGATTACAGGTGACCATCCCCACGCCCGGCTAGTTTTTTGTGTTTTTAGTAGAGACGGGGTTTCACCATGTTGGCCAGGCTGGTCTTGAACTCCTGACCTCAGGTGATCCACCTACCTCGGCCTCCCAAAGTGCTGGGATAACAGGTGTGAGCCACCATGCCCGGCCCTGGCAACGCTCTAATAACTACTGAACAGGCAAAAAGCTCAGTGCTGGGCTGGACAGACTGACACAGATACACAGCTTTTTTTTTTTTTTTTGACAGGAGTCTCGCTCTGTCGCCCAGGCTGGAGTGCAGTGGCGCGATCTCGGCTCACTGTAAGCTCCACCTCCCCGGTTCACGCCATTCTCCTGCCTCAGCCTCCCGAGTAGCTGGGACTACAGGCACCCGCCACCACGCCTGGCTAATTTGTATTTTTAGTAGAGACGGGGTTTTACTGTGTTAGCCAGGATGGTCTCGATCTCCTGATCTCGTGATCTGCCCGCCTCGGCCTCCCAAAGTGCTGGGATGACAGGCTTGAATTGCCGCGCCCGGCCAGATGCAGACTTCTGAGAGGTCCGTGTTTGCAAACACTCTGTGTCTGGACGCATCTTGTCAGTTGGTCTCAGGCCAGACAGAGCCGTTTGAGAGAAAGGTGTGTGTGTAGTGCTCATCTGTCTGCTAGTGATATGAGCTTGGGGGTGCAACAGGCACGTGTCCAGCCCTCCAGTCCCCAAGAACGTTTGTGTTTTAATTAAACAGAGGAACAGACTATTCCACCCTGGGTCAAGCAGGCAGTGCCTACGCTACCTGTGACCACTACTTTAGGCGGGGAAAAGAACCGTCTTTGGCCGGGCGCGGTGGCTCACGCCTGTAATCCCAACACTTTGGGAGGCCAAGGCAGGCGGATAACGAGGTCAGGAGATCGAGACCATCCTGGCTAACACCGTGAAACCCTGTCTCTACTAAAAAATACAAAAAAATTGGCTGGGCACGGTGGCGGGCGCCTATAGTCCCAGCTACTCGGGAGGCCGAGGCAGGAGAATGGTGTGAACCCGGGAGGCGGAGCTCGCAGTGAGCTGAGATCGTGCCACTGCACTCCAGCCTGGGTCACAGAGCGAGACTCCGGCTCAAAAAAAAAAAAAGAACGACCGTCTTTTAAATTTGCTTTAAAAACAGCTCCTTGGCTTTAAAAAAGATTGGTTTTGGGAATTTGGCTAAGTTTATGTTCTCAGCAAACAAATCAGATGCCTCTTAAGAGCCAGGATTCTCCTCTCAGAAGGTTACTACCGTACAGCTGCGGGAGAGCTGTGGGATATGTCATCGTTGAATCAGCAGTTCTAGGAAAAGCGAACGATCTCTACTGGTTTCACGCACACTTGGCTAGCCTCAGCTGAATAATGCAGTCCAAGGAACATAAAAACACAAAAATCGTAAGCGTGAAAAATTTTAGTTCATTGGAAAAGGATTTTATTTCACCATAAAAATGCAAACTGGAATAAACACCATCTTTCCTAACGCGAACGTTACAGCTATTTTTAGGTATTTCTGAGCTTCACTTGGAGAAGCAAACGATTATAAAACAAGTTTGCAGCCTGAAATCTGTTTGAAACATTCCAAGTAAAAATAATTTAGCAAAACAGCTTCTTAAAAAAACCACACACACTAACCTTTACTAGAAACCAAAGCTTTTAACCAATCTTTTTTATGCTTAATTCCTTGACGTTGTAAAAAGTGAATGTTTTTGAAGGAGCATCAGACCATTTTGTACCACTCCCCACATACCGACACCTTAGAAAGAACGGCCCGTTTGAGTTTTGATCTTAAAGGACTTGTACCTTCCTCATCCGTGACTCAATGTCAGCACGACGATTCGGCATCCCACCCAAACTGCACTTCCTGATCAGTTAACATTACAAACGGGGGGGAAAGAATCACCAGGGCAACGCTTTCTTTTCAGTGCCAGTGTGACTATGGTGGCCCGTGCACCTCCTAGGCCGTGCACGCAGGGAGGTCGCCAAGCAGACACAGAAATCCCCGTGTGGGGGAATGCAGCAGCTCTGCCATCCTCACGACTGTCGGTCTGTGCAATTTTCCTGACTGAGAGAGGACCGGCCGCATTAAAGCTATCGGATCAAGTTTTAAAGGACTACGTGTTTGAAACTGAAGTGCCAAGTACGCTGCGGTGAGTGGAGAAAGATGGATCTCTAAAGCATGGTGTCTTCCTTCCTGCCGGCGGGCTCCGTGGACATTCGTGGCTGCAGAAGGGTCTTGGCTTTGCAGGGGTGGACGGAGAGCGGCCAAGGAGCGGCCAGGAGGCTCGAGCAGGTCCTGGTCTTTCCCGGACAGGCCGTGGGGAGGCCGTGCCCGTCATTACCTGTTCCAGGTACTGCGGTGCCTGCTCGGGGACCGGGAGCGCGACCGCTCGCTTCGGCGGCGGTGGCGGCTGTGCTTCCTGCTGGCGCTGCCCCTCCGCTCCCGGCTCCGCTCCCTCCGGTGCCTGTCTTTGCTGTGGGACCTCCGGGACCGGGTGTGGTCCGGGCTCGTGCTGCGCCGGCGGGGGCTGTCATCCTTGTAGGCGTGCTTCTTGTGGGGCCGCCGCTCCTTGCGTGGCCTCCCGTCCTCCCTGCTGCTGGCCCGCCTGGCCCGGCTCCTCTCCCGCTTGTGCCGGTCAGCAAGCCCGTCTCCGGTGGCCCGGCCCCGGCCCTTGCTGGGCTCCCGGTTGCACTTGTCCTGTTCTGACCGGGTGTCCTTTCTGGAGACATTCTGCTCGCAGGCAGGGATGCCCTTGGGCTGTTGGTTGTTGTCAGGAATGCAGGAGAGGACGCCGCCCGGGCACCTCTTCTCTGGAGAGCCATCCTCGGGGACCACACGACAGGAGCTCTGAACCTCCTTGCATGGGGCCTCCTCGGCCACGCTCCCGTTCACGCTTTTGGGAGCGCCGTCGGCCTCTGGGTGGGCCGGGCTCTCCTTGGGGGCACCGGCCGGGGGCTGGCCCCCGAGGGGGTGCAGCGTGGTGGCGCTCACACAGCCGGACGACACGGTCTGCAGGATGTCCAGGACGGGCTGCAGCAGGTCGGCGTGTGCCACGCCCAGCTCGTCGTGTGTGTGGCTGTCGTCCGGCTTCTTGCTCAGCAGGATGCTCAGCAGCCGCTCGCGCAGCTCCCGCTCTTTCCGCTGCAGGCCCAGCGCGCGCTCCTTCTCCTCCTCCACGCGCCGCAGCTCGGCCTCCTGCAGCCGCCGCCGCTCCTCCTGCTGCTGGAGCCTCAGCTTCTCCTCCTTCTGCTCCTGTTCCCGTAGCTTCACAGCCTGCGGGGAAGAGGAAAGTGCAGCTGAGCCCGGTTCCTGAGCCTGGCCGGACACGTGGGACAGGAGCTGGGAAGGTGTTTGGAGGCCCCATGGTCTGGGGATGCAGGATCAGCGGCCTGGCTGGACTCCAGCCCAGGGGTGGGGGGCGTCTCCTACGGCGAGCCAGGTCCAGCCCGTCCATCCCTCGGCTCCCGCGGCCACACCTGGGGCCATCATGCGTCTGAGTGAGAAGGAAACCCCTTGGCAAAGCGGCTCGGCGCAGCCCCAGGGCGGGCCTCTTGGGCAGAGCCGAGCCCTGCCGGGAGCCCCACCACGTTGCACACAGGCGCCTGCGGTTAGGTCACAAGCGGCCGCCAGCAACAGGGAGCTGAGATGACGCCGCAGACGCATGCCACCGCCGTAGCTGCGGGGCGAGCCTGGCCTAGCCTGGGTTAGTGTCTTCAATATTCACCATGAGGTAAGGACTGGGCTGCCACATGTCTCAGCCTCTTGTCATGCTCCTTCCCGGGGACTTATCACAACTGTAATCAGACAACAGGTTATGGGGTCGCCCCGCGTTGGACTCCAGGGGGACGCAGCCCTCCTGAGGACAAGGAGCGTGCCGGGGACGTCTGTCCTGGGGAGGTCTGTCTGTCTGTGGGCCCTGGCCCCGGGCTCATGGGAGTTACCAGTCGCGCCTGCAGGAGGAGCAGGGAGGCTCTTGGTGCTGAGGGGGTCGTCAGTACCGGCGCTGGTGAGACCTGTCAGGTTCACGCTGCGGAGGAGGGACCCGGGCCCACGGCAGGCCCCCTCTGTGCGCTCAGCCCTCCCCCCAGCCCACCTTGCCCCTCTGCTCTGGGCCACTGGTGAGGTCACAGCCAGGCCAGCTGACCACACACAGAGGCGCGGGCCAGAGGGAGCGGCCCCCTGCACTCTCTGCCACTGCCCCGACCCAAAGGAAACAGAGAGCCTCTGCCCTGGCCCCCGGGAGGCTGCCAGCCTGCTCGGGGAACCTGAATGCACCAGCTTTGCAAAAGGAAACCGTCACAGCTCTGAAATCATCGGGAACGACAGACGAGCGCTACACCCTCCCGGGAAGGAGCCGTCATCCTCGGCATTAAAGCTGGTTTCGTAGCTACAGCTGCAGCCGGCGGGGAAACGGCGCCGTGACGCCGCCCGCATTTCAGGGGAGGGCACTGAGGGCAGCCCGGGCGCGGCTGGCGGCTGCAGAGGGAGCCCCCGGGTACCTTGGCTCTGCTGAGCAGCTCGGCGATGAGCCGGATGGACTGCAGGTTCCTCTGGGCCAGCAGCAGCTTGCGCTCCTCCAGCTTGATCTTCTCCTGCAGCTGCTTCTGCTCCTCCGCCTGCAGCTTCTCCAGCTTCTTCTGATTCCGGCGCAGCTCACGGTCCCTCTGCTTCTGCTCCCTCTTGCGAAGCTTCTCTTCTCTTTTCCTCTCTCGCTCCAGCTCTTCCAGCTCCTTTTGTTTCCTGTGTGGAACACACCGGGGGTGGTCACAGAGAGCGCCGCAGCCAACACACCACACACCATACAAGCGGCTTTCCAAACACGGCGGAACAGGCCACGGTCCAACGATTAAGCATTTAACTCTTTATCCCAAGGTGGACCTCGGTTGACTCAAAGCAGCCCGAGAGGTGGAAGGAGTGAGCCGGGCGAGGACCTCCGTGACCTTCCAACACACCGTCCTGCTAAGTGTGACCCAACCCTGAAACCACGAAGAAAACGACCACTGGACCGACCACATCAAAAGCCACGCCCCCAGTCAGGGGAAAGACGGATGGGCAGACGGACGGGTGAAAGAGGAACCCCAGCAGGCCCAACAAGGCCCCGGGATGCACAGCGGCGCGGAGGACGCCGGTTCTGCCCACCAGGAACCGCGCTGGGTGACTCCTTGTTGTGCAGGACTCCTGTGAGGGCACCACACAGCACTGGCACGGGGGGACCTCTCTCTAAACAAATCCAACCACAGCCACGCCACTCAGCTCCTTGCACTTTTCCTGTGGAGAGGGGTGTCCAGGAAGTGAGGATGAATGCGGCCGGGGAGGGGCGCGGTCCCCAGAGAGAGTCCACAAGAGACAGTGGGGAGTTCCCTAGCTCAGCCTCCCCCGCCCCGCAGCTCTCAAATGCATTTCAACCAACACCGGACATGGGAACAAGTCGCAGCTGTTCCTATGGAACACGACACGGAGGCGGAGACTTCTGAAGCCCGGGTGGGCGCCGCCAACCGCCTAGTGAGGCCACAAAGCCCGCCGGGGTGACACAGACCCACGCAGACACCAAGGGGAGAGGAGACACGGGGACAAGGAGGAGCAGGCCGGGAGAAAAGGCATCCCACGCTCTGCCACCCCAAGAAGGGGGCCGGGCCAGGTGCCGACGCCCAGACAGTGATCCACACGGTCTCCGGGCGGGGCATGCAGGTCCTCAGGCAGTTTCATGTGCTGAAGGTTTAACCGCCCTGTGAGCTGTCACCGCCCCACGAGCTCGGAGGGCGGCTCAGGGCAGCCCAGCACACAGCACGCCCTTAGGCGGGACCCACAGCGACGCCTCGAGGCTGGGCAGCTTTCAGAGGACAGCTCTCATCAAGCTCAAAGTTACACGTGAGGGCTGAACAAGCAAACATGCCTCATCTCCACCCACCAGAAAGAAATGCAGGAGGCTGCCCTGGGCCTCCCCTCATGCTCAGCCTCTGAGGAAGGACAGTGGGGGACAGCGGGGACAAGTACGGCCCTGCGTGTGGAGCCCTCCTGGCCAGCTCCCCCAGACAACAGGCCTGCCCCTCCCCGGGGCTCTGGACACCCCATCCTGCTCTCGAGAACCTCATGGCCCGGCCCCGCTTCCCCCAATCCCTCTGTGGTCTGGCCAGGCAGACGGGGTCCCTTCCCTGCAGAGACACACTCCACTACTCCAACGTCCATCTCTCCTCAGGGAAAGATCAAGGATGCAGCTTCTTCTCCGCACCCGCAAGCTGCTTTCTGAAATGTTGCGGGGACACTCCTGCGACACCGAGAGGTCCGAGGCTCTGAGTCCCACTCCACACTTCCAGAATGTGGACAGGCACATTCAGCCAGGCCTGGGCTGTGTCTGCAGCCTGGAAGAGTCCCTGTAACGCCCCAGGACTGTCTCCCACCCCAGCTGTCCTGCTCGGCCTGACAGTGGCTGACACAGGGGACCCGGACTCAACCCCACATCCGAACCGCCCCTCCCAGGGACCGCCTCCCAGGATGGCGACGCAGCAGCATGTCCCTCCCTCCCAGGGCGTCTGCCTCTCTGTGCTGCCTGCCTTAGGTCCTGGGAATCCTGACGGCTGACATGGGCCCCCCCAGCACATTCACGGCCACTCGCTTACACACTGCACCTGCCTCACCTAAGGAGCCCTCGGGGTTCAGATTCAGAGGCTGACAACCCGACTCTCCCCTGGGGAGGCAACGGGGGCTACGTAAAGAACACCACGGGCAGGATGGACCTGCTCCCAGGAGTTCAGTGCCGGGACTCTCGTGCAAACATCACCAGCCACACACATCAACACGCTGGCACCAGCGTCACATAAAGCAGTGAGAAATGGAAACAAAACGGACCAACTCGGTCCCACCAGAGGCTGTCCAGGAGCCCCCCAGCCAAGTCCAACACGTCCCAGACTTGATATCGGCGACATGAAGCGCAACAGACGTGCAGGACGCACCAAAGTCGTCAGAGGACACAGCGGGAGGGACGGAGGACGAAGAGGAGTAGGAGGAGGAGGATTCCGCCTCACTAGGAGGGTGGGAGGGACGGAGAAGGAGGAGGAGGAATCCACCTCACTAGGAGGACACGGCAGGAGGGATGGAGGAGGAAGAGGACGAATCCGCCTCACTAGGAGGGCACAGCGGGAGGGATGGAGGAGGAAGAGGAGGAGGAGGAGGAATCCACCTCACTAGGAGGGTGGGAGGGACGGAGAAGGAGGAGGAGGAATCCACCTCACTAGGAGGGTGGGAGGGATGGAGGAGGAGGAGGAGGAATCCACCTCACTAGGAGGGTGGGAGGGATGGAGGAGGAGGAGGAGGAATCCACCTCACTAGGAGGGTGGGAGGGATGGAGGAGGAGGAGGAGGAATCCACCTCACTAGGAGGGTGGGAGGGATGGAGGAGGAAGAGGAGGATTCCGCCTCACTAGGAGGGTGGGAGGGATGGAGGAGGAGGAGGAGGAATCCACCTCACTAGGAGGGTGGGAGGGATGGAGGAGGAGGAGGAGGAGGAGGATTCCGCCTCAGGGGATTCACAGAAAGTTGTTGGTTCCCTCCTGCAATGCTAAGAAGATAAAAGGGGCTACAAAGAGTGACCTGAGGTTGTCTCTGGTACCCCAACCACAGTGAACGACCCAGGCAATTGCTTTAAAGGCCTCTTATGTGAAACCGGGTTTTTGTCCTATCATTGGTTTTTTGTTTTTTTTTTTTTTTTTAAATCTGGCCATCACCATCAACCCTCTACTTCATTTTGTAAATGTAGCCTCAACCTAAATGCAAACTTGCAAACAGCCAAGGCATTCTGCTTGTTTCAGCGGGAGGTGTGAACAGCATGTGGAGGGAGAAGAGGTGGCTCTTCGGGCAAGGCGCGGTCCTGGGAGCCGGCAGAGATCGTGTCAGACCACGACGTGTGACAAGAAAAAGAGAAACATTCATATTCTGCTGCGTCTCAAACAGCCACTCACGCAGGTCCTCACGTGCACAGCTGAGCACCCACAGGCCTGCACACACACCCATACGTGCACACACAAGTACACACACGGGTTCACAGGCACACACGCATGCACACAGGCACATGTGTGCTATGTGCCGATACAGAAGCACACACATGTGGGCACACGTGCACATACACACACAGGTACACACACGAGCTCACACACATGCACGCACACACAGGCACACGTGCACACAGATGCTCAGGCACACACTCGGGCGCACATAGGGACATACAAAGTACACACACCGGTTCACAGGCACACGTGCGTCCATGCACACAGGTACACACACAAGCTCACAAGCATGCATGCACACACACACGCACAGGAATACATGCAGACACACGCACACGGGTCTGCGCACACTCCCAGGTGCCGGACACCAGCGCCGAGGGCCCGCTCCCGCAGAAGGTACCTTTCCTCCGCTCGCTGCCTCTCCTCCGCTTCCTTCTCTCTGCGCTTTTGTTCTTCTCTTTGCTGCTCCAGTTCCTGAAGCTTCTGCCTCTCCAGCTGCCGCTTCTTAATTGAGGCATCACTCAGGTGTTTGGTCGAATCAAAAGAAACCTTTAAAAGCAAAAACAGTGTCAGATGGCCTTCCCCCAAAACCCCCCAGACACACGGCCAGGCGCCCTCTCCTGGGCCGTAGGGCCGAGTGGCCTCAGAGCCTGAGCGCCCGCTCACCGCTCACCGCTCACCACTCATGTCCGGTGCAGACCCAGACAGTGGAGCCCAGAAGCCAAACCAATCCCTTCAAGTCACCATCAGTGGCTCAAGACTTAGCTCATCCCACGGAGTTACGACTCAGCGAGGAACACCAACTAGCCCTCGCCACTTACTGAACACAAGTGACACGCCACCGCTGCGAGACACAGCTCCCCTTCCGCTACCCGGCTCCACCATTCCCTGTGGCCACAGTCACTGAGCAGGCCGCCTGCCCACACCCACAGGGCACATCTTAAGGCCACAAAACCCCCTCCAGGAGGCTGGCTCATTTGTCACTGTGAAGCCAACACGGTCAAAACACGAGGCTAGGCTGAGCGCAGTGGCTCACGCCTGTAATCCCAGCACTTTGGGAGGGCGAGGCAGGCAGTTCATGAGGTCAGGAGTTCGAGACCAGCCTGGCCAATACGGCAAAACCCTGTTTCTACTAAAAATACAAAAATTAGCCAGGTGTGATGGCACGCGCCTGTAGTCCCAGCTACTCGGGAGGCTGAGGCAGAAGAATCGCTCGAACCCAGGAGGCGGAGGATGCACTGAGCAAAGATTGCGCCACTGCACTCCAGTCCAGGAAACAGATCGAGACTCTGCCTCGAAAAAAAAATAAAAATAAAAAAAATAAAAAAAATAAAAAAGCACATGAGGCTAAAGGGAACGTTCAGCCCTGGTTTCAAGGTGCATTCTGGGAAGGCCGGGTTCTCTTGGTTCTGACACGGTTCAAATCCCTGTCAGAGTTCCTGAGGCTCCATCCCTCACCTACTATATGACCTGTGTCTCCCCCACATCTTCCTTAAGATACCAAATTTCCAAAACCACAGCACGGGACCCCTACTCCACCTCACGCCTGTGCCTCTGAAATTGGACAGGCACAGGACTGTTGCTGCCATTTTACTTAGGGGAGGTCCCCACAGCCTCAGGGGTGTGGCTGGGAGCGTTCTGCTGACCCTGCTGGAAGGAAGTCGCCAGAGGGAGGAAGCGCGTGGCTCTCTCGGTGCCCAGGACTCACCTTGATGTTGCAGGCCACGGCCTTGCCGTCCTCGCCCTTGTACATGAGTTTCATCCCGCGCAGGGCGCTCATGGCCTGGATGAAGCCCATGTACTCGCGGTACTGCACATAGGCCTCGAAGTTCAAGTGCCCCCCGAAACTGAAGGTGTGGAAGTTGCGGCCCGTCATCTCCTCCCGGTAGGGGTCCAGCATGGGGATGTCCACATTCCGGATCTCCCCGAACTTCTCAAACACCTTGACCAGGACGTCCTCGCTGGGCTTCTCGGAGCCCGACTCCTTCAGGGCGAACCACTTGCAGGGCAGCCCCTCCAGGTGGATGGTGTCCGGCCGCTCCCCCGGCAGGGTCTCGTTCATGTCCTTGGCGTCGCGGAAGAAGGAGTCCCAGTCGTGGCGGGTGGGGAAGTCGATCTTGAACTCGGCCGCGCGCACCTTCAGGATGTCGGAGAAGCCGCTGAGCTTGATGGTCTTGCCGTCCAGGCAGGCCAGAAAAGACTTGACCAGGCTCTTGTTCTCCACCTCCCCCTCGAAGCGGATGAAGTCCATGGTGCTCTTGGAAATACGCAGCGTGGAGAACTGGTGGTTCTGCACCATGCCCTTCAGCCTCTCCATCACCTCCCAGTTGGAGATGGACTTCCCCGGCTGCTTCAGCTGCGGGAGTGCCACGCTGATGGTCATCTTGGTGATGGGCTTCAGGTACAAGCCGTAAGCAGGGCAGAGCTCCACGGCCTCAGACGTGTCGTGCACGATGGTAGCCGCTGCCATAGCCTCCGGGACCTTGGGCCTGAAACATAAGACGCAGACAGTCAGCACCAGCACCCCCCACCTCCCCCGCCAATGAGGAGGGGCCAAGCCAGCAGGCACTTTCTGGACCCGGAGAAGAGAAACAGCAGTGTCTCTCTGCCGTGTCAGAGACCGGTTTCCACTTTGTTAACAGCCATCTCAACGGAGTTCTTTACTTTTTGAAATCATTAAGAGTACACCAAAGGGGAAAGAGCCGAGCTGATAAAGAACAGGTTAGTGTCAAAGCCTCGGTCAGCACTGCCCGACACCCTACATCCAGCAGCCAGCAGCTCCCAAGGCCTGCAGAATAGGAAGCTGAGCACGACCAGGCCCCTCACACAGGTCAAGTAGGAACGGGGACGCTACAAACGCCTAGCTCCACGGGAAGGGGCAGAGAGACACTGGGGAAGGGAAGGGGCCAGGGAGAGCACAGCTGCAGGCATCTGGAAAGGTTTTGTGGAGGGGGCGGCGGCCCTGTACTTGCCCTGATAAAACAGGAAGTCTCGGGCTGCAACAACAATCCAGAACCATGAACCCTAGTAATCTCCACGAAGGCCAAACGTATCCCAGCTTTAACCCACTCAAAGCCAAAAAGTACAACGAACTTTCCACAAGTTAGGGGCCGGAGTCCCCCGTCTGCGCCTTCTTTCTCCGCCCACCTTCATTAACCCACCTCTTCCCTGCTGAGCTGACGGGCAGCCACTTCCTGACGGCCAAGTCCAAGTAGAGGAAGCTTCACTCGCAGAAACCCAACCATCTCAGGTGACCGCCTCCGGCCCGGCCGCCCACCCCATCAACCTGGAGGCTTCCTGCCAGGCCCAGGAGACGGCCTCCTCGCCCAAGCCCGAGGTGGGAGGTGCGAAAGAAGGGAGGGAGGGTGGAGAAGCGACCAGAAAAGGTCAGTGGGGCACCAGGGAGGGGCTCCAGTCTGGACAGAGACCAGTGAACCCTCCCCCAGAACCCAAGCGGCCCCAGCAACTTCACCACCGAGGAACCCTCCCCACTCTGGCCTCCAGCGCCCTCCGACCACCCCGGTACACCTGGCTGCCCAATCCCCAGTACGCGGCATTGCCCCTGGTATTCCCACCTACCGCAGCCCCCCAGCATGGCCTCAGGCTGCCGCTGGCACCCCTGGCAGGGCCCCACACATTCTCAGGCCCTTGGCCACTCGGTACCCTCAGCTCCTCAGTTCCCCGCTCCCCACCACCCTCCTGGATGAGCCCCAATACCCCAACCTACACAGCACCGCCCCAGCCTCCGAAAACCCCGGACAGCCCCTTGCTTCCCACTGTAGACCTAGGAGCGACCGCAGCGCCACGTCCCCTAGTCCCAGGCCTCCTAGTCTCCCGCCCATCCGATCCCCCGAGCTCCCAGCCCTCCGACACCGCTCCAGGCCTCAGCTCCTTCGGTGCAGTCCCAGGAACCGCTCCAGCCCCTACCCCTACTTCCAGGGACCCCCGGACCCCGACCGCAGACCTCCCCAGCCCCCGATTCCCCCGTACAGTTTCAGGCGCTCCCAGCCCCCCGGTGGCACCCCACGCCCCCCAACCCCAGCCCCGTCACCTCCGAGGCCCCTAGGCGCCGCCTCCCAAGCCCCGGCCCCCCGGGCCCGGCCCTAGGAGCGAAGCGTTCGCCGGCTGCAGCCAGGCCCGGGAGGCACGGGGGCGGCACTCACCTGCGCGGGGCTCCGCCTGCGTCCCAGGCCGCCGCCGCCGCTGGCCCAAGCTCCCGCCGTCCCTCGACGATCCCCGGACAGGCGCGGCCTCACCGCCGGGAGCCGCCACCGTCCCCCGGAGGCGCCTCCGACGCCGCCACCGCCGTCGCCGCCCGCCCTCTATGACGCATTTCCACTTCCGGCGCGCGGGCTCGCGGAAGAGGCCGCGCGGCAGCACCGGGTTTCTCCTTCTTGCCCTGGCTCCGCCCCCGGGAGGAGGGACTTCCGGGAGCCCGACCTTTTGCACTGCGCGTGCGCGAGTCCGCCCCGCCCCCATGGTGCCACCTGCCTGCGGGTAACCAGGGGAGGTACTTGGGCCAGGGTCTGTGGTCATAGCCCTTAAGCCAAACAGGAGGGGGGCCGGTGTGGGGTCTAAATTCCAATTGTAGAGTCAAATATATATAACAAAATTCTAAAATGTAATAGGATCCTATAACGGGATTCTATACTATACTTGCAAATTATGGGTAATATACTTGAATAATATAATTTATGTATAAATTAGATATCATATTCTATGACGTAATTATAGAATTACATATAAATTGCTAGTTAATTAACTATTAATTGAATGGTTAATAATTATTAATTGTATATTAATAATTATTAACGCATACCATTACATAATGTAATTATGAAATAATAAATGATAACTTACAATGGTATTATGAAATTAATAATAATTTATATTGCAATTATGAAATAAATGATCATTTCTAATTATAAGATAATTTATAATGTAATTATGAAATAAATATAATGTAATTTAAAAATAAATGATAATCTAATGTAATTATGAAGCAAATGCTATTGTATAATATAATCATAATTTATAATGTAATTTTGGAATAATAAATGATAATCTATAGTGTAATTATGAAATAAATGAAAATATATAATGTAATTCTGAAATGATCATTTATAATGTAATTATGAAATAATAAATGACAATTTATAATGTGATTACAAAATAATAAATGAGGCCAGGTGCGGTGGCTCACGTCTGTAATGCCAGCACTTTGGAGGGCCAAGGCGGGCAGATCACAAGGTCAGGAGTTCAAGACCAGCCTGGGGCCGGGCCCGGTGGCTCATGCCTGTAATCCCAGCACTTTGGGAGGCCGAGATGTGCGGATGATGAGGTCAGGAGATCGAGACCATCCTGGCTAACACGATGAAACCCCGTCTTTACTAAAATACAAAAAATAATCAGCCGGGCGTGGTGGTGGGCACCTGTAGTCCCAGCTACCAGCTACTCGGGAGGCTGTGGCAGGAGAATGGCGTGAACCTGGGAGGTGGGGCTTGCAGTGAGACCGTGCCACTGCACTCCAGCCTGGTTGACAGAGCGAGACTCCATGTCAAAACAAAACAAAAAAAAGACCAGCCTGGCCAGCATGGTGAAACCCCGTCTCTACTAAAAAGACAAAAAACTAGCCGGGTGTGGAGGTGGTTGCCTATAGTCCCAGCTACTCAGGAGGCTGAGGCAGGCCCGAGAATCACTTGAACCCAGGAGGCAGAGGTTGCAGTGAGCGAAGATGGCGCCACTGCACTCCATCCTGGGCAACAGAGCGAGACTCTGTCTCCAATAAATAAATAAATAAGTAATGATAATTTATAATGCATTATTCATTTTTTATTATAATTTATTGTTTATTAAGTATGCCATGCTCTATGTGAGAGGTACGTGCTTCTGACGTCCCAAATATGTCACAAGTCCCCAAACTGGATATCCAGGGTCAGATAATCAGAACAGAAATCTTGCATTGCTCAACATCAGCTATCAACAAAGGAGAAAGCCAACACACCAGGGGCCTGAGGAAGACGGAACATTCTGTGAACCCAGGCAGGCTTCAGAGGGGCCGGGCTGTGTAAGAGGGTTGCTATGCCTTCCATGTTTCTGTCCTTCCAAAACTCAAGTTCAAACTCAGTTCCCACTGCAAGAGTATTAGAGGTGGTGCTTTTAGGAGGTGGTTAGGTCATGAGTGGGATTTGTGCTCTTAGAAGACAGGCCCCAGAGAGCTCTCTCACCCCTTCCACCATGTGAGGACACAGCCAGAAGGAACCACCTGTGAACCAGCAAGCGGGTCCTCACTAGACACTGAACCTCCCACTCATTGATCTTGGACTCTCAGCCTCCAGAACCGTGAGACATAAAAGTCTGTGATTTAGGCCGGGTACAGTGGCTCATGCCTGTAATCCCAGCACTTTGGGAAGCCGAGGCGGGTGGATCACCTGAGGTCAGGAGTTTGAGACAATTGTGGCCAACATGGTGAAACCCTGTCTTTACTAAAAATACAAAAATTAGCTGGGCGTGGTGGTGCGCACCTGTAATCCCAGCTATTCAGGAGGCTGAGGCAGGAGAATTGCTTGAACCCGGGAGGTGGAGGTCGCAATGAGCCAAGATTGCGCCATTGCACTCCAGCCTGGATGACAAGAGGAAGACTCCATCTCAAAAGAAGGGGAGGGGAGGGGAAGGGAGGGGAATGGAGGGGAAGGGAGGGGAAGGGAGAGGAGGGGAGGGGAAGGGAGGGGAATGGAGGGGAAGGGAGGGGAATGGAGGGGAAGGGAGGGGAAGGGAGAGGAGGGGAGGGGAAGGGAGAGGAGGGGAGGGGAAGGGAAAGGAGGGGAGGGGAGGGGAAGGGAGGGGAGGGGAAGGGAGGGGAGGGGAGGAGGGGATGGGAGGAAAGAAGGGAAGGGAAGGGGAGGGGAAGGGGGGAGGAGAGGGGAGGGGAAGGGAGCGGAGGAAAGGGGAGGGGGGAGGGGAAGGGAGGGGAGGGGAGGAGGGGATAGGAGGAAAGAAGGGAAGGGAAGGGGAGGGGAAGGGGGGAGGAGAGGGGAGGGGAAGGGAGTGGAGGAAAGGGGAGGGGGAGGGGAAGGGAGGGGAGGGGAAGGGAAGGGAGGGGAGGGGAGGCGAAGGGGGAGGAGAGGGGAGGGGAAGGGAAGGGAGGGGAGGGGGAGGGGAAGGGAGAGGAGGGGAGGGGAAGGGAGAGGAGGGGAGGGGAAGGGAAAGGAGGGGAGGGGAGGGGAGGGGAAGGGAGGGGAAGGGAGAGGAGGGGAGGGGAAGGGAGAGGAGGGGAGGGGAAGGGAAAGGAGGGGAGGGGAGGAGAGGGGAAAGGAGGGGAGGGGAGGGGAAGGGAGGGGAGGGGAAGGGAGGGGAGGGGAGGAGGGGATGGGAGGAAAGAAGGGAAGGGAAGGGGAGGGGAAGGGGGGAGGAGAGGGGAGGGGAAGGGAGTGGAGGAAAGGGGAGGGGGGAGGGGAAGGGAGGGGAGGGGGGAGGGGAAGGGAGGGGAGGGGAGGGGAGGGGAAGCGAAGGGAGGGGAGGGGGGGAGGGGAAGGGAGAGGAGGGGAGGGGAAGGGAAAGGAGGGGAGGGGAGGGGAAGGGAGGGGAAGGGAGAGGAGGGGAGGGGAAGGGAGAGGAGGGGAGGGGGAGGGAAAGGAGGGGAGGGGAGGAGAGGGGAAAGGAGGGGAGGGGAAGGGAGGGGAGGGGAAGGGAGGGGAGGAGGGGATGGGAGGAAAGAAGGGAAGGGAAGGGGCGGGGAAGGGGGGAGGAGAGGGGAGGGGAAGGGAGCAGAGGAAAGGGGAGGGGGGAGGGGAAGGGAGGGGAGGGGAGGAGAAGGAAGGGGAGGGGAGGGGAGGGCAGGGGAAGGGAGGGGAAGGGAGGGGAAGGGAGGGGAAGGGAGGAGGGGATGGGAGGAAAGAAGGGAATGGAAGAGGAGGGGAAAGGAAGGGAGGAGAGGGGAGGGGAAGGGGGGGAGGAGAGGGCAGGGGAAGAGGGGGAGGAGAGGGCAGGGGAAGGGGGGAGGAGAGGGGAGGGGAAGGGGGGAGGAGAGGGGAGGGGAAGTGGGGAGGAGAGGGGAGGGGAAGGGGGGAGGGGAGGGGAAGGGGGAGGGGAGGGGAGGGGAAGGGGGGAGGAGAGGGGAGGGGAAGGGAGGGGAGGAGAGGGGAAGGGAAGGGAGGGGAGGAGAGGGGAGGGGAAGGGAGGGGAAGGGAGGGGAGAGGAGGGGAGGGGAAGGGAGGGGAAGGGAGGGGAGGGGAGGGGAGGGGAAGGGAAGGGAGAGGAGGGGAAGGGAGGGGAGGGGAGGGGAGGGGAAGGGAAGGTAGAGGAGGGGAAGGGAGGGGAGGGGAAGGAAGAAGAGGGCTTGTGGGTATTTGGGGGGGCGTTTGCATTGTGTGAGCCATGATGTCCATAAAGGCTAATATTAATATGATTATGAGTCTCTACTTGACCAAGGAGAAAACAAACACACCAGGGTCCCCAGGACGGGGACCATTCTGTGAACCCAAGCAGGCTTCTCAGTGAGACACACCCCTTTGCTGCCTGCATGTACATTCTTCTTCTTCTTAGGGACACGAAAGCGTTTGGGGTTCTCTTTAAAATTCTTCTCGCTGCTGCTGCTTTACATACCATTGGTGTGTGTTTCCCGGGGGGAGCTGTTAAATTGGGAAACCACTTTGCCACTCAGCTAGTTCCCTGAAGGTATTTGCAAAGCAAATTCAGAAGGAGATATTCACTCCTTCAGAACCAGCAAGCACCAAAGGATGGTTATAATAATCTGGAAAACCTTTAAGGAAAATGCTTGGCCTCCTAAAGCATTTTGGAGCAAAACATCCCTCTCCTGAATGTACCCCAGAAATAAAAAAACAAAGTTCTCGGATATCTGCAGCCGTAATCCTTTGTCATGGGGAGGTAGCCATGAGTCTTTGTTGTGTACCCAGTCTGTATCATTTCCATGAATTGAGCATGAAAGGCAAATAAAAAGATTCTGAGATATCAGTCTCATGATGCTGCAGCAAAGGTGCTGGAACTTTCCAGATGCAATAAGCTCTCTAGTCAACAGACTTCAAGATCATCAAACAGGAGAGTATTCTAGGTAGGCCCGACCTAATCAGGTGAGCACTTTAAAAGAAGGTCTGGGGCTGGGCACGGTGGCTCACGCCTGTAATCCCAGCACTTGGGGAGGCCGAGGCAGGTGGATCACGAGGTCAGGAGTTCGAGACCAGCCTGGCCAAGATGGTGAAACCCCATGTCTACTAAAAATACAAAAAATTAGCTGGGCGTGGTGGCACACGCCTGTAATCCCAGCTACTCCGGAGGCTGAGGCAGAGAATTGCTTAAACCTGGAGGGGCGGAGCTTGCAGTGAGCCGAGATCGCACCACTGCACTCCAGCCTGGGCAACAGAGCGAGACTCTGTCTCAAAAAAAATAAATACATTAAAAAAAATAAATAAACAAGAAAGGCTGGGTGCGGTGGCTCAGGCCTGTAATCCCAGCACTTGCGGAGGCCAAGGCGGGTGGATCATGAGGTCAGGAGTTCGAGACTAGCCTGGCCAACGTGATGAAACCCCGTCTCTACTAAAAATACATTAACCTGGAGGGGCGGAGCTTGTAGTGAGCCGAGATCTGGCCACTGCACTCCAGCCTGGGCGACAGAGCGAGACTCTGTCTCAAAACAAACAAACAAACAAACAAACAGGCTCATGCCTGTAATCCCAGCACTTGGGGAGGCCAAGGCAGGTGGATCACGAGGTCAGGAGTTCGAGACCAGCCTGGCCAACATGGTGAAACCCCGTTTCTACTAAAAATATGAAAATTAGCTGGGCGTGGTGGCGTGCACCTGTAATCCCAGTTACTCGGGAGGCTGAGGCGGGAGAATCGCTTGAACGTGGGAGGCCGAGGTTGCAGTGAGCCGAGATCATGCCACTGCACTCCAGTCTGGCAACAGGGCAAGACTCTGTCTCAAAAACAAACAAACAAACAAAAACAAACAAAAAACAAAAAACACAACAACAACAAAAACAAAAAACAAAAAACACAACAAAAACAAAAAAAACAAAAATAAAAAAACGAGAAGAGTCCACAGCACATTCCTCGGACATTCAGCCTCATTGCCTCTGCTCTAGCTCTTCTGGGAGCATCTGGAAGATCTGGAAGCATCTGGAAGATCTGCGTGCATCATCCTGCTTGTCTATTCTTGGGTGACTTGATGTCTCTTGAGGAGCTGGTTTCTGTGAACTCTGTGAAATCCTCTTGGACCCTCTGCATCTCTTCACCTGAAAAATGGAGAAAAAGGTTTTCAGCTGTTTTGGGTTGACCTGGATGAATGGGAGGAATTTCTGCATGATGCTTCTGAGGTGGGCTGTTTCCCTGAAATATCTTTTTTGTTTTGTTTTGTTTTTTTGAGACGGACTCTCGCTCTGTTGCCCAGGCTAGGGTGCAGAGATGCAATCTCAGCTGACTGCAAACTCGGCCTCCTGGGTTCAAGGGATTCTCCTGCCTCAAGCCGCCGAGTAGCTATGATTACAGGTACACCAACATGCCTGGCTAATTTTTTTTTTTTTTTTTTTTTGACAGAGTCTCGCTCTGTCTCCCAGGCTGGAGTGCAGTGGCGCGATCTTGGCTCACTGCAACCTCCGCCTCCCGGGTTCACGCCATTCTCCTGCCTCAGCCTCCCGAGTAGCTGGGACTACAGGCGCCTGCCACCACGTCCGGCTAATTTTTTTTTTGTTTTTAGTAGAGACGGGGTTTCACCGTGTCAGCCAGGATGGTCTTGATCTCCTGACTTCGAGATCTGCCCGCCTTGGCCTCCCAAAGTGCTGGGATTACAGGCGTGAGCCACCACGCCCGGCCCATGCCTGGCTAATTTTTGTATTTTTAGTAGAGATGGGGTTTCACCATGTTGGCCAGGCTGGTCTTGAACTCCTGACCTCAAGTGATCCACCTGCCTTGGCCCCCCTAATAGCTAGGATTACAGGCGTGAGCCATGGCACCCGCCCTGAAAAATCTGTTTCTTTCTTTACTTTTCTTTTTTTTTTTTTTTTATAAAGATGGGGTCTTGCTATGTTGCCCAGGCTGGTCTGAAACTCATAGGCTCAAACGATCCTTCCACCTTGACCTCCCCAAGTGCTGGGATTGCAGGCGTGGAGCCACCGTGCCCAGCCGGCAAAGTCTGTTTCTGACTCTGTCCACCTGTTCAGAAGTATGCAATAGAAATGGCTCTTTTTGCCATTGAAAGTAATTCATTGGCATTACTTTCAATGGCAAAACCCACAGTTACTTTTGGATGGACCCAAGAGAAACAGGAGAGCAGGTGCAAGGAGCCTATTCCTTCATGGTTTAACTGCTTGCTTCTGACTCTGCCCTTTGAAAGGAGAGATTCAGTGGTGGTTATTGTACAACACACTGGACAGTGATGAACTCACAGACAACCACATACACCTCTCTGTCTGCACCTTCCATCCGTAATACTTTGCCAAGATGGGGTGCCCAGGCCTGTACCCCCACTGCTTTCAGAGGCTGAGGCCAGAGGATCACCTCATCCCAGGAGTTCAAGACCAGCCTGGGCAACCTAGCAAGACCCCATCTCTGCAAACATAATTAGTCGAGTATGCTGGTGCATGCCTGTAATCCCAGCTATTTGGGAGGCTGATTTAGAAGGATTGCTTGAGCCCAGGAATTCAGGATCAGCCTCTGCAGCACAGCAAGACTCCATCTCTACAAAAAAAAAAAATAATAATAATAATACAAAAAGTTAGCCAGGTGTGGTTGCATGTGCTTGTAGTCTCAGCTACTTAGGAGGCTGAGGTGGGAGGACTACTTCAGCCCGGTAGGTCAAGGCTGCAATGAGTTATGATCGCAACACTGCCCTCCAACCCGGGCAAAGGAGCGAGACCTTTTTTCAAAATAATAATGACAATAATCATAATAAGCACAATAATAATCATGCATTTTCTTCCACAGACTTATACAGGGGACGCTGGTACACTTCAAAAGAAAATTCCAGCTGGGCACAGTGGCTCACGCCTGTAATCCCAGCACTTTGGGAGGCCGAGGTGGGTAGATCACGAGGTCAGGAGATCAAGACCATCCTAGCGAACACTGTGAAATCCCATCTCTAATAAAATACAAAAAACTTAGCTGGGCGTGGTGGCACGTGGCTGTAGTCCCAGCTGCTCAGGAGGCTGAGGCAGAGGAATCGTCTGAACCCGGGAGGTGGAGGTTGCAGTGAGCCAAAATCACACCACTGCACTCCAGCCTGGCGACAGAGCAAGACTCCATCTCACAAAAAAAAAAAAGAGAGAAAGAAAAGGAAAGAGAAAGAAAGAAAGAAAGGAAAGAAAGAAAGAAGGAAGGAAGGAAGGAAGAAAGAAAGAAAGAAAGAAAGAAAGAAAGAAAGAAAGAAAGAAAGAAAGAAAGAAAGAAAAGAAAAGAAAAGAAAAGAAATATAGGAAGAAAATTCCAGTCCTCATCTTGCTAAATGTTGGAAGAAAGATGGAGATTTAAGGAATACTGTCCAGAAGTCCCAGAGGAGATTTTAAGGCGTGAGGACACTGACCCATTTGCCCAAAGAAACAGCAAACCACGCTGAAAATGCAGAGTCCGTGTTTGAACCAGAGGAGGGCACTCAGTAAACAAACATTCCACTCCGGGAAACGGGGTAATTCTCTCCACCATCGCGTGAGAGGCCGTGCGGGCCAGAGGAAGTGACAGATAAAAACAGATTTCTAACTCAGCACAACACAACCACAGGCTCTACCTGGACGCTATGAGCTCATGTATGACTCAGACACTCATCTAGACCCACGGCCATTCCATCCTTCTGCAGCACGGACGGTTCCTACAATCTCTCCTGTGAAAAATACATCCGCCCCCCGCTTAATATCCCTTCTCTGTCCTCCTCGGCAGACCACACCCTAGCCCAAGTCATTTTTTTTTTTTAATATCAGCGTTTTGTATTCTTCTGCAAAGTGCTTATCATCAGCTGAAGCCATTTGTGCTTTGCTTTTCTGCAGTGAAGATTTCAGCATGCCGTTGGCCAGGTGCAGTGTCTCATGCCTGTGATCCCAGCACTTTGGGAGGCCGAGGGGGGAGGATTACTTGAGGCCGGAAGTTCAAGGCCAGCCTGCGCAACATGGCGAGACCCTCCCGTCTGTAAAAAGAAGAAAAAGAAAAAAATGAGCTGGGCGTGGTGGCACACACCTGTAGTCTCAGCCACTCGGGAGGGGCTGAGGCACAAGGATCGCTTGAGCCCAGGAGTTCCAGCCCGCAGTGAACTACGATTTTGCCACTGCACTCCAGCGTGGGCAACAGAGCTGGACTCTGTCTCAAAAAAAAAAAAAAAAAAAAAGAATTGTAATGATTTCCAAACAGACGTCTACCTCTTTTCTTGGAAGGATTGCTGGAGCCCGGGAATTCAGGACCGGCCTGGGCAATATAGCAAGACTCCATCCCTACAAAATAAATAAATAAATAAATAAATAAATAAATAAATAAATGAAATATAAAAAGTTAGCCAGGTGTGGTCATCTTAAGCGGGCTTTGGCCCCTGGAGGGTCTAACAATGTAATTTATCAGTCAAGAAAAGAGATGCATAAAACATAGACTCTACCTCAAAATCTGTCAATCAATCAATTACATTAAATAATATCAGCCAAGAAAAAATATATGAGAGTAAGACCCTGCCTCAAAATCAATCAATTAATTAATAACAGCCAAGAAAAGAGATGCCTAAGGCAGAGCGAGACTGTGCCTCAAAATCAATCAATTAAAGTAAATAATATCAGCCAAGAAAAGAGATGTGAAAACAGAGACCCTACCTCAAAATCAATCAATTAATTAAAGTAAATAATATCAGCCAAGAAAAAATATGTAAGAGAGACGCTGCCTCAAAATCAATCAATTAATTAATAACAGCCAAGAAAAGAGATGCCTAAGACAGAGCGAGGCTGTGCCTCAAAATCAATCAATTAATTAAAGTAAATAATATCAGCCACGAAAAAATATGTAAGAGAGACTATGCCTCAAAATCAATCAATCAATTAATTAATATCAGCCAAGAAAAGAGATGCCTAAGACAGAGCGAGACTGTGCCTCAAAATCAATCAATTAATTAAAGTAAATAATATCAGCCAAGAAAAGAGATGTGAAAACAGAGACCCTACCTCAAAATCAATCAATTAATTAAAGTAAATAATATCAGCCAAGAAAAAATATGTAAGAGAGACCCTGCCTCAAAATCAATCAATCAATTAATTAATAACAGCCAAGAAAAGAGATGCCTAAGACAGAGCGAGACTGTGCCTCAAAATCAATCAATTAATTAAAGTAAATAATATCAGCCAAGAAAAAATATGTAAGAGAGACTATGCCTCAAAATCAATGAATTAATTAATATCAGCCAAGAAAAGAGATGCCTAAGACAGAGCGAGACTGTGCCTCAAAATCAATTAATTAAAGTAAATAATATCAGCCAAGAAAAGAGATGTGAAAACAGAGACCCTACCTCAAAATCAATCAATCAATTCATTAAATAATAAGAGGCAAGAAAAGAGATGTCTAAGAGGTGGGCATATTGGGACATGCAGTATCAGTTTCAACCTCCAGGAGGGGCTGGAGAGTAAAGCTCAGTGGCAGAGACAGAAGGTGGTGGTGGCCCCGGTAAAAACTCCAGACACTGAGGTTCTGATCAGCTTCCCTGGTGGGCTGACTTGACGTCTGTCATCACACATTGATGCTAAGAGGAGGGAACAGCACCCGTGAGTCCTTGGGGAGAGGACAATGGAAGCTGTGGGTCTCAGCTCCTCCTTGACTCTCTCTTGTACATCTCTTTGCTTGGCTGATGTTACTTAATTAAATTAATTCATTGATTGATTTTCAGGCAGGGTCTCACTCTGTCTTAGGCATGTCTTTTCTTCGCTGATATTATTTAACTTAATAATTGATTGATTGATTGATTTTGAGGTAGGGTCTCTGTTTTATGCATCTCTTTCCTTGACTGATATTATTTGTTTAATTGATTAATTGTTTGGTTTCGAGCAGGGTCTCACTCTCTTATACATCTCTTTTCTTGCCTGATATTATTTAATTTAATTAATTGATTGATTGATTTTGAGGTAGGGTCTCTGTTTTACGCATCTCTTTTCTTGGCTGATATTACTTACTTTAATTGATTGATTTTGAGGCACAGTCTCCCTCTGTCTTAGGCATCTCTTTTCTTGGCTGATATTATTTAATTTAATTAATTGATTGATTTTGAGGTAGGGTCTGTTTTATGCATCTCTTTCCTTGACTGATATTATTTATTTAAGTGATTAATCGGTTGGTTTCGAACAGGGTTTCACTCTCTTATACATCTCTTTTCTTGCCTGATATTTAATTTAATTAATTGATTGATTGATTTTGAGGTAGGGTCTCTGTTTTACGCATCTCTTTTCTTGGCTGATATTTTTACTTGAATTGATTGATTTTGAGGCACACTCTCGCTCTGTCTTAGGCATCTCTTTTCTTGGCTGATATTATTTAATTTAATTAATTGATTGATTGATTTTGAGGTAGGGTCTCTGTTTTATGAATCTCTTTCCTTGACTGATATTATTTGTTTAATTGATTAATCGGTTGGTTTCGAGCAGGGTTTTGCTCTCTTATACATCTCTTTTCTTGCCTGATATTTAATTTAATTTAATTAATTGATTGATTGATTTTGAGGTAGGGTCTCTGTTTTCACATCTCTTTTCTTGGCTGATATTATTTACTTTAATTGATTGATTTTGAGGCACAGTCTCGCTCTGTCTTAGGCATCTCTTTTCTTGGCTGATATTAATTAATTGATTGATTTTGAGGCAGGGTCTCTCTTACATATTTTTTCTTGGCTGATATTAGTTAATTAATTGATTGATTGATTTTGAGGTAGGGTCTCTGTTTTACACATCTCTTTTCTTGGCTGATATTATTTACTTTAATTAATTGATTGATTTTGAGGCACAGTCTCGCTCTGTCTTAGGCATCTCTTTTCTTGGCTGTTATTAATTAATTGATTGATTGATTTTGAGGCAGGGTCTCACTCTCATATATTTTTTCTTGGCTGATATTATTTACTTTAATTGATTGATAGATTTTGAGGTAGAGTCTGTTTTATGCATCTCTTTTCTTGGCTGATATTATTTAATTAATTAATTAATTAATTGATTTTGAGTAGGGTCTCACTCTCTTATCCACCTCTTTTCTTGACTGATATTATTTAATTCAATTAATTGCTTGATTGTGAGGTAAGGTCTCACTCTGTCTTAGGCATCCTTTTTCTTGGCTGATATTGATTGATTGATTTTGAGCAAGGTCTCACTCTGTCTTAGGCATCATTTTTCTTGGCTGACATTATTTAATATAATTAATTAATTGATTTTCAGGCGGGGTCTCACTCATACTTCACTTTCCTTAGCTAATATTATTTAATTTAATTAATTAATTGACTTTAAGGTAGGGTCTCTGTTTTATGCATCTCTTTTCTTCCTGATATTAATTAATTGATTGATTGATTTTTGAGTCAAGGTCTCACTCTGTTACCCAGGCTTGAGTGCAGTGACGCAATTACAGCTCACTACAGTCTCGACCTCTGGGGCTCAAGCAGTCTTCCTAACTCGGCCTCCTGAGTAGCTGGGATGACAGACGTGCACCACCGTCCCTGGCTAATTTTTTATTTTTTGTAGAGATGAGGTCTCGCTCTGTTGGCCAGGCTGGTCTCAAACTCCTGGGCTCAAGCGGTCCTCCCACCTCGACCTTCCAACGTGTTGGGATTACAGGCATGAGCCACTGTGCCCAGCTTGGCTGATTTTAATTTGTATCTATTCGGTATAATAAGACTTTAATCAGAAGCACAGTGTTTTTCTGAGTTCTTGTGAGTCATTCTAGGAAATTATTCACCCTGAATGTGGTCACTGGGACCCTACAAGTTTTAGCCAGCTGGTCCAAAGTGAGAGTGCTTCCCGGGACCCCTGAATTTGAATTTGCAGCTGATGACCAAAGTAAAGGGAATTGGTGGGGACCGCAGAAATATAGAATCATGCATTTAATGGGTGCTTGAATGCCCTGGGGCTGCCCTAACAATTTGCCTAAAACTCAAGGGTTTAAAACAACAGATGTGATTTAGCTCATGGTTCTGGAGACCAGAAGTCTGAGGTCAAGATGTGGGCAGGATTGTGCTCACTCTGAAAGATCCAGGGAAGGATCCTTCCTGCCTCTCCCAGCTCCTGGGGGCTCCAGGAGTACCTGAACTTGTGGCTGCATCACTCCAGTCTCTGCCCCCATCTCCACGTGGCCTTCTCCTCTGTGTCTGTGTCTCCTCTTCCGTCTCTTAGAAGGACACCTGTCACTGGATTAAGGACCCACCCTACTCCAGGATGATCTCATCTCCAGATTCTTAATCACATCTGCAAAGACCCGATTTCCAAATAAGGTCTCATTCACCAGGGGGCAGGACTTAGATATGTCTTTTGGGGGACAAAATTCAAGCTATTATGGTGAGTAACTGGAGACTGTGGAAACAAGTTTTAAAAAAAGCATTGGCCTTAATCAAACAAAGATCTTAGAACCAAGTATGGGACTTTCATTTTGAGATACAGAGTCCTAGGGGTGGTAGACAGGAGAGAGAAGCCATCCCATCACTGCAGATGACCTGGATGTCTTACTCATGTGTCTTTCACTTTATTCATCCATTCATCTATCCACCCATTCGGCCAGTCATTAATCTGTCAATCTGTTCATCCATTTGTCCACCCATCCACTCATCTATCCATCCATCCATCCACCCACCCACCCATTCTGCCAGTCATTAATCTGTCAATCTATTTATCCATTTGTCCACCCATTCATTCATCCGTTCATCCATCCATTCATCCATCTAACCACTCACCCACCCATTCAGCCAGTCATCAGTCTATCAATCTGTTCATCCATTTGTCCATCCATCCATCCATCCATCTATCCATCCATCCATCCATCCATTTATCTATCCACCCACCCACCCATTCAGCCAGTCATCAATCTACCTGTTAATCTGTTCATCCATTTGTCCACCCATCCACCCATCCATTCATCCATCCATCCATCCATCCATCTAGCCAAGCATCCATTTATTCACCCATCCATCCATTAATGTACCCACCTATCCATCCATTTGCCCACCCATCTATCCATTCATCCATCCATCCATCCATCCATCCATCCATCCATCCAGTCACCCATCCATCTATTCACTCATCCATCCATTAATGTACCCACCCATCCATCCATTCATGCACCCATCATCCATCCATCCATCCATCCATCCATACAGTCACCCATCCATTTATTTACCCATCCATCCATCCATTCACCTGCCCATCTATCCATCCATCCATCCATCCATCCATCCATCCATCCATCCATCTATCCATCCATTTATTCACCCATCCATCCATTAAAGTACCCACCCATCCATCCATTCACCCACCCATCTATCCGTTCATCCATCCATCCATCTATCCATCAAGTGACTCATCCATTTATTTACCCATCCATCCATTAATGTACTCACCCATCCATCCATTCATCCATCCATCCATCCATCCATCCATCCATCCATCCATCCATCCATCCAGTCACCCATCCATTTATTCACCCATCCATCCATTAATGTACCCACCCAACCATCCATTCACCCACCCACCCATCTATCCATCCATCCATCCATCCAGTCACCCATCCATTTATTCACCCATGCATCCATTAATGTACCCACCCATCCATCCATTTACCCACCCATCTATCCATTCATCCATCCATCCATCCATCCATCTATCCATCCATCCGTCTAGTCACCCATCCATTTATTCACCCATCCATCCAGTAATGTACCCACCTATCCGTCCATTCATCCACCCATCTATCTATACTTTCCCCATTCAGCCATTCACAAATCTACCTATCAATCTATTCATCCCTCACTGCAAATGGCTGGATGACTTCTCTCTCCTGTCTACCACCCCTTGGCCACAAGCAAGAAAGGGGAATTCCGAGTCCAGCCTCATTCATAACATCATAAGAATCAAATACCTTCCAAAAGAAGGAACAGAGGTTACTACTCAGGTTTATCTGTGATAACCAGTGAGGTTGATACTCAGTTATTGGGCAGAAAATTTCATTGAAAACATAGCCTGCTGAGAAAATGCTGCTTTGTGGTGTGGGATGCATTTATTAAATGTTGATGTGAAACTGATATTTCAAGGAGATATACCACTGCAGATCAGCATGTTATCTCCCATGTGAAGACTAGAGAAACAGACGTTGTAAAGATCAGATAAAACGGCAGCCTCAAACAGGAAATAAAGATACAAAACAAAGATATGGGAGTGGGCCTTCCCCTTGAGGAAAATTACTTCCTTGCATTTCTTCTCATGCAACGGTCTTCCCTTTTCTCCTTAAAGTAATTGAGGTATAATTCAGAAAAGTGTGTACGATGCCAGGACAGGGTGAGCCACTCTATGCAGAGCAGGCCATGCAGGGAACAAATCATCTGGAAGGTCCTAGCAGCAGGTGACAATGAGGGAGGCCCAGGACTGTGGTCCTTATCAAGATGCTTCCAAGGAGTGGGGTCTTCCTTCGAGAGACTCCCAGGCAGGGTCCAGCACTGTGAGGTCAGTGAGCAAAGGCCTGACCCTCAAGCATGGGGACTCTTCTCCTAGAGCTGCACCTTGAGGTAGGAGGTGGAGGGTTTTGCAAAGATTGAGAATCCCAGGGACCAGTTCACTAAACTAGAATCCAGTGTCAGAGATCTTAATTCTCCCGCGTTTATCATATCCATCCATCCATCCACCCATCCATCCATCCATGCTTCCATCAGTCGATTCTTCTGTTCATGCATCTATGCACCCACCCACCCATTCAGCCAGTCATTAATCTGTCAATCTATTCATCCATCCACCCAGTCATGTATCCATCTACCTACTCATTCATTCATTCACCCATCTATCCATCCATCTACCCATCCATCCACCCTCCATCCATTAAACCATCTACCCGTGTATCTATCTATCCATCCTCTATCCACCCTCTGTTTATTAACCCAGCTATCAACCCACCCACTTTCTACTTACCCATCCACTCATTAATCCATTAATTTATCCTCTATTCATTAACCCATGTATCCATCCACCTATCCAGCCATCCATCCATTCAGTCAGCCAAGCCTTCATCCATTAACCCATCCATTCATTAATCCATTCATTAATCCTCTATTCATTAATCCATATATCCATCCACCTATTCAGCCATCCATCCCTCCAGCCAGCCAAATCTTCATCCATTAACCCATCCATTCATTAGTCCATTCATTCATCCTCTATTCATTAACCCATGTATCCATCCACCTATCCAGCCATCCAGCCAGCCAGCCAGCCAACCCTTCATCCATTAACCCATATATCCATATATCCATCCATCATCTGTTCATTCATCCTTTCATCTCTCCACCCATGCACCCACTCAACCGACCACCAACCCATCCATCCATTAACCTACTCATCGACCTATTCACTCATTCACTCATCCATCCATCTACCCTCAATCCATTAACCTATCTATCTATCCATCATCTATCCACCCTCCATTCATTAACCCACCCATTTAACCACCCACCCATCCATCCATTCATCCATCCCTCCATATATTCTGTATCCATTAATCCATCTATCCTTCCAGCATCTACCATCCATTAACCCACTCATCCATCTATTTATCCACCCTCTATCCATAACCCCTATAATCCATATTATAAAATCAAATTCACTCAATATTTTAAAATCAAAATTAATTCAAATAAACAACCATGAATAAATCATCAATACTGTGAACAAATACAGGATTCAGCAGTGCTCTGATATTTTTGATTGGAGCCTGAAGCAAAACATATGGAAAAGGAAAAATTCATGCCCCTCTGGACATATTTCATGTGTTTTTTTCCAGAACATTAAAATGGTTGGAAAATATTACAAGGATACACGGGTATATGAAAATTCAGAGCATTACTTTAACTTTTAAATTTTTTTTTATCAAAACCAGACTTTTTGGGGAGTAATTCTACTTTCCTGGCTTGAATGAAAGCATGCTTACCAAAATACTCTCAAACTTTCATTTTTGCTTGTATCATTGTCAATGGATAGGATTGTCATGTTTGTCAACTTCTCTTGACCAAGTGACCATCAAGCTTTCATGTTTAATTACCATCAGCATACTAGTCCCATCCTTATTTAAAATTTTAATGGTTTGTTTCTCATGGCATTTTTGCCTTAATATTTATGCCTATTTTATTTATGTATTTATTTGTTTGTTTTTTGTTTTTTGAGACAGAGTTTCACTCTTGTTGCCCAGGCTGGAGTGCAATGGCGCCATCTCGGCTCATTGCAACCTGCGCCTCCTGGGCTCAAGCGATTCTCCTGCCTCAGCCTCCGGAGTAGCTGGGATTACAGGCACGTGCCACCACGCCCAGCTAATTTCGTGTTTTTAGTAGAGACGCGGTTTCTCAATGTTGGTCAGGCTGGTCTCAAACTCTCCACCTCCGGTGATCTGCCCGCCTGGGCCTCCCAAAGTGCTGGGATGACAGGTGTGAGCCACCGCGCCTGGCCTTTATTGCTGTTTAAATATTGCATGAGGTTCGGGCACGGTGGCTCACGTCTGTCATCCCAGCACTTTGGGAGGCCGAGGTGGGTGGATCACTTGAGGTCAGGAGTTCGAGACCAGCCTGGGCAACATGATGAAACGCTGTCTCTATAAAAAAAAAAAATAAAATAAATATTGCATGACATGATGAGTTATGTTGGTTGCTGGGTTTGGGGAACCCCCTCAGGTTTTGTATCATAAGCATATCCCTCAATTCTCTCACGCTGCTCCCTCCCCGGTGTGTCTCACCTTCCTGGAGTTCCTTGTTGTAATCCTCAGACATATTTCTTTGCCAGGGATGCCAGAGATTCCAGAGCTTGACCCCAAGGGTGACACCTTTTTTTTTTTTTGAGACGGAGTCTCGCTCTGTTGCCCAGGCTGGAGCACAGTGGCACGATCTCAGCTCACTGCAACCTCCACCTCCCAGGTTCAAGCGATTTTCCTGCCTCAGCCTCCCGAGTAGCTGGGATTACAGGCGCCCGCCACCACGCCTGGCTATTCTTTGTATTTTTAGCAGAGATGGGGTTTCACCATGTTGGCCAGGCTGGTCTCGAACTCCTGACCTCAGGTGATCCACCCACCTCGGCCTCCTAAAGTGCTGGGATGACAGACGTGAGCCTCCACATCTGACCCAAATGCCATTTTTGAGTTACAAGACAGAGAGACAGTGGAGAGATTTATTTTTTTCCGTTTTTTTTTTTTTTTTTTTTTTTTGAGACGGAGTCTCGCTCTGTCACCCAGGCTGCAGTGCAGTGGTGCGATTTCGGCTCACTGCAACCTCTGCCTCCCGGGTTCACACCATTCTCCTGCCTCAGCCTCCCGAGTAGCTGGGATTACAGGCGCCTGCCACCAAGCCTGGCTATTCTTTGTATTTTTAGCAGAGATGGGGTTTCACCATGTTGGCCAGGCTGGTCTCGAACTCCTGACCTCAGGTGATCCGCCCACCTCGGCCTCCTAAAGTGCTGGGATGACAGACGTGAGCTTCCACATCTGACCCAAAATGCCATTTGTGCGTTACAAGACAGAGAGACAGTGGAGAGATTTACTTTTTTCCTTTTTTTTTTTTTTTTCTTTGAGACGGAGTCTCGCTCCGTCGCCCAGGCTGCAGTGCAGTGGCGCGATCTGGGCTCCCTGCAACCTCCGCCTCCTGGGTTCATGCCATTCTCCTGCCTCAGCCTCCCAAGTAGCTGGGACCACAGGTGCCCGCCACCACGCCGAGCTAATTTTTTGTATTTTTAGTAGAGACAGGGTTTCACCGTGTTAGCCAGGATGGTCTCGATCTCTTGACCTCGTGATCCAGCCCCTTCAGTCTCCCAAAGTGCTGGGATTACAGGTGTGAGCCACCGCGCCCCGCCCCAAGGCGACATATTCTTACGGCTTCCCCAAGGAGAGGCAATTGGAAAAAAAGGAGAAATTCTCACCCAGTGTTTCTGGATTTGGGGTTTTTCAGCAATTGCATGTCCGTCCTTCTCTGCCACCTGGCTTTTCATGACTGCCGCTATCCGATTTTCTCCAAGCTCAAAGGCAGTGATTCCAGGTGTGCAGCTCCTCCGAGGTGAAACACTTATGTCTGTTTTGCAGGTGAATGAAATGGAAATGCATGTGTGTATCCTGGGTCATCCTATGTATGCATTCGTCACTCTAGGATGAGGTTAGAAAACAAGTTGGAAGGCCAGGCGCAGTGTCTCACATGTCTGTAATCCCAGCACTTTCGGAGGCCGAGGCGGGTGGATCACGAGGTCAGGAGTTCAAGACCAGCCTGGGCGGTGTAGCAAGTCCCCGTCTTTAAAAAAGCCACAAAAATTAACCGGGAGAGGTAGTACATGCCTGTGGTCCCAGCTACTCAGGAGGCTGAGGCAGGAGAATGGCTTGAACCCAGGAGGCAGAGGTTGCGGTAAGCTGAGATCATGTCACTGCACTCCAGCCTGGGTGACAGAGCGAGACTCCGTCTCAAAAAAAAAAAAAAAAACAAACAACAGGCATGGTGGCTCATGCCTGTAATCCCAGCACTTTGGGAGGCTATGGGTGGATCATGAGGTCAGGTGTTCGAGACCAGCCTGGGTGATGTAGCAAGGCCCCGTCTTTAAAAAAGACACAAAAGTTAACTGGGAGACGTAGTACACGCCTGTGGTCCCAGCTACTCAGGAGGCTGAGGCAGGAGAATGGCTTGAATCCAGGAGGCAGAGGTTGCAGTAGGCTGAGATCATGCCACTGCACTCCAGCCTGGGCAACAGAGCGAGACTCCGTCTCAAAAAAAAAAACAAACAACAGGCACGGTGGCTCATGCCTGCAATCCCAGCACTTTGGGAGGCTGAGATGGGTGGATCACGAGGTCAGGTTCGAGACCAGCCTGGGCGATGTAGTAAGGCCCCGTCTCTAAAAGAGACACAAAAATTAACCAGGAGAGGTAGTACACACCTGTGGTCCCAGCTACTCAGGAGGCTGAGGCAGGGAATTGCTTGAACCCGGGAGGTAGAGGTTGCAGTGAGCTGAGATTGTGCCACTGTACTCCAGCCTGGGTGACAGAGCGAGCCTCCATCTCAAAAAAAAAAGGCCAGACACGGTGGCTCACGCCTGTAAACCCAGCACTCTGGGAGGCCAAGGCAGGTGGATCACGAGGTCAAGAGATCGAGACTATCCTGGCCAACATGGTGAAACCCCCTCTCTACTAAAATTACAAAAATTAGCCAGGCATGGTGGTGCATGCCTTTAGTCCCAGCTACTTGGGAGGCTGAGGCAGGAGAATCCCTTGAACCCGGGAGGCAGAGGTTGCAGTGAGCCGAGATTGCACCACTGCACTCCAGCCTGGTGACAGAGCAAGACTCCGTCTCAAAAAAAAAAAAAAAAAAAAACAAGTTAGAAAGCCAGCAGCCCACAGGACAAGCTGTAAACTTACCTGTGAATTCTCATTATTTTATCAAGGAGTTTACTTTTCCATGGCTACATGTGGCACCACGATGCAAGGATTACGTTGAATGGAGCCTGGCTTTTTTTTCTGGTTAAGCAGTGCACATAATACTGAACATTCAACAGGGGAAAATGAGCTTCCTATCGTGTGTGTGTGTGTGGTGTTCCCGGCGGTACCCACTGTACTGCTATGTTGCTATCTTGGGTTCACAGGTTGTGTTTCTCATCTGTCATCCTGCTGTCATCCCTCTCCCTTGACAAATGACGAAGCTGAAATCCCCCTGCGGACTGGGCATTTGGGTACATGGTGTCAGTCGGAGTCAGAGGTCTGGGCTCCGGACCCTTCCCTGCAGGCTCAGGTGCAAGAGCTCAGGGGCTTCTGTGAAGGCCCAGGTGTCAGGCTGGGGTAGCTGAGCAGGTCCTTATGGGGAGGGAGTTTCTTCAGAGGTGCCTGTGCCACGAGGCAGGAGTATGAGAAGACTAGGAAACTGGCTGGTGTCACGACTCAGGCACGGTAAGCATTGACTCTTTTTACGGGAAGAACACGGGAAGGTAGGATGTGGCCCCCAACGCCTCGTTACAGCTGTAAACGTCTCTGCAATTCTGCCTGCCCATCTCAACACAGAGGCCGCAGGATGCCTGCAGAATGATTCGGTAGAAATAGGACAGGAAGGAGTCAGGAAATGGTTGGCAAGCAGCCATCCTCCCCTACCGTATTGCTTACCCCGTCCTCCAAAACTTTTTTTTTATTGTGGTAAAATATACATAACACAAAAACGATCATCTTGTCCTTTTTGTGTGTGTGTGTGTGTGAGACGGAGTCTCACTCTGTCACCCAGGCTGGAGTGCAGTGGCGTGATCTCAGCTCACTGCAACCTCCGCCTCCTAGGTTCAAACAATTCTACTGCCTCAGCCTCCCGAGTAGCTGGGATGACAGGTGCTCGCCACCACACCCTGACTAATTTTTTTTATTTTTTGTACATACGGGGTTTCACCATCTTGGCCAGGCTGGTCTTGAACTCTGACCTCGTGATCCATCCACCTCAGCCTCCCAAAGTGCTGGGATTACAGCCGAGAGCCGCTGTACCCAGCCATCATCTTGTCCATTTTTTTGTGAGTCTTGTCAGGTTTCTACAATTTTTTTTTTTTTTTTTGAGACAGAGTCTCACTCTGTCACCCAGGCTGGAGTGCATCAGTGCAAACTTGGCTCACTGCAGCCTCCGCCTCCCGGGTTCAAGTGATTCTCCTGCCTCAGCCTCCTGAGTGGCTGGGATTACAGGGGTGCACCACCATGCCCCACTAATTTCTGTATTTTTAATAGAGATGGGGTTTCACTATGTTCGTCAGGCTGGTCTCGAACTCCCAACCTCAGGTGATTTACCCACCTCGGCCTCCCAAAGTGCTGGGATTACAGGCACGAGCCACCATGTCCAACCCAATTTTTTTTTATTGTGGTAAAATACACGTAACTTTAAAACCATCATCCTGCCCACTTTTGGAGAGTCTTGTGACGCGTCCGCATTTTTAATAAACTTCAAACTGTATCATTTCAAGTTAGCTCTTTTTCCTTTTTGATGTTTTAACTTTTATTTTAGGTTCGGGAGGTACGTGAGATGGGGGATTTTGCTACCGATCATTTCATCACCGAGGTACTTAGCCTAGTGCCGAATAGGTATTTTTCCTGCTCCTCTCCCTCTTCCCACCTTCTACCCTCACATAGCCCCCAGAGTCTGTTGTTTTTTAATTTGTGTTCAAGTGTCATCATTATTTAGCTCCCACTTATAAGAGAGAACATGTATTATTTAGCTTTCTGATCCTGTGTTAGTTTGTTAAAGATAATGGCCTCCAGCTCCATCCATGTCCCTGCAAAGGACATGATCTCATTTCATTATTATTATTATTATTATTATTTTTATTTTTATTTTTAGACGGAGTCTCTCTCTGTCGCCCAGGCTGGCATGCAGTGGCGCGATCTCGGCTCACTGCAAGATCCGCCTCCCGGATTCACGCCATTCTCCTTCCTCAGCCTCCCCAGCAGCTGGGACTACAGTCGCCCACCACCACACCTGGCTAATTTTTTTCTATTTTTAGTAGAGATGAGGGTTTCATCATGTTAGTCAGGATGGTCTTGATCTCCTGATCTTGTGATCCACCCGCCTCAGCCTCCCAAAGTGCTGGGATTACAGGCATGAGCCACTACTCCCAGCCCACACATATATACTATTTACAGTACAAATGCTTCTCACAGAAACATATATTCTATCCTCTATACATATCTAGCGTATATACATATATATGCTATTTATAATACAAATGCATCTCATATATACACTTTTTTTTTTAAGACAGAGTCTCTTTCTGTTTCCCAGGCTGGAGTGCAGTCGTGTGATTTCACGGCTCACAGCAACCTCAACCTCCTGGGCTCAAGTGATCCTCCCACCTCAGCCTCCCAAGCAGCTGTGACTACAGGTGCATGCCATCGTGCCCGGCTAATTTATATATATATATTTTTTAGTAGAGATGGGGTCTCATCATGTTGCCCAGGCTGGTCTCAAACTCCTGGGCTCAAGCTATCCACCCACCCTGGCTTCCAAAGTGCTAGGATTACAGGCATGAGCCACCTGGCACATATGGAGTTGTTTTAACCAGAGAAGGGACCTCACTTATATATTCTATCCTATGCATTCAGCTCTCCATATCCACAGTTTCCACATCTGCAGATGCAACCAACCTCAGATCAGAAATGTTTGAAAAACATAAAACTATGAATAAAAAACACAGTATAACAACTATATATACACACATATATATACATATATACACACATATACATATATACATATATATACACACATATATATTACATATATATATATATATATATATATATATATATATATATTTTTTTTTTTTTTTTTTTAGACAGAGTCTCACTCTGTTGCCCAGCCTGGAGTGCAGTGGTGCAATCTCAGCTCACTGCAACCTCCACCTCCCAGGTTCAAGCGATTCTCCTGCCTCAGCCTCCTGAGTAGCTGGGATTACAGGTGCACGCCACCACACGTGGCTAATTTTTGTTTTTTGTTTTTGTTTTTGTTTTTGTTTGGAGACAGAACCTCACTCTGTCACCAGGCTGGAGTGCAGTGGTGCAATCTTGGCTCACTGCAACATCCACCTTCCTGGTTCAAGCAATTCTCCTGCCTCAGCTTCCCAAGTAGCTGGGACTACAGGTGCACGCCACCATGCCCAGCTAATTCTTATATTTTTAGTAGAGATGGGGTTTCACCATGTTGGCCAGGATGGTATCGATCTCCTGACCTTGTGATCCACCCACCTTGGCCTCCCAAAGTGCTGGGATTACAGGCGTGAGCCCCTGCACCCACCCTATAACAACTATTTACATTATATTAGGTGTTATAAATAATTTACAGATGACTTTAAGCATATGGAAGGATGTGGGTAGGTTATATGCAAATACCACACCATTTTATATCAGGCGCCTCAGCATACCTGGATTTTCCTGTCCTCAGATGGGTTCCAGAACCAATTTCCCAATGTTACTGAGGGATGACTGTATTCATAGCTAATATATATATATATATATATATATATATATATATAAAATATTTGAAACATAAATTTGTCTCATGTATACATGTATCATATTAGATATATACATCTACCATATAGGCAAATATATTTGCAACATTAATTCATGTCATGTATACATATATCAGATATAGTATCTACCATATATAGTATATTTACAACATAAATTTATACCATGTATACATGTATTATAGCATATATACATGTCTACCATATATGTTATATTTGCAACATAAATTCATCTGATATATACATATATCATATATAATGTCTACCATATGTAGTATATTTACAACATAAATGTATCCCATATATATACATATCTACCATATCTGTCACATTTGCAATATAAACTCATCCCATATATATTATATCATATGTATCTACCATATATATTTGCAATATAAATTCATCTCATATATAAGATTATATCATATATATCTACCATATATGTTACATTTGTGTTATAAATTCATCTCATATATAAGTGTTTCATACATAATGTTTACCATATATGTTATATTTGCAACATAAATTCATCTGATATATATATATATATATACACACATATATCATATATAATATCTGCCATATCTGGTATATTTACAACAAAAATTTATCCCATGTATAGAAATATTATAGCATATATAATATCTACCATATATGTTATATTTGCAACATAAATTCATCTCATGTACACATATATTATATACATACATATCATGTATCATATGTAATATCTACCATATATGTTATATTTGCAACATAAATTCATCTATATATAAATATATCATATCATGTATAATATCTACCATATATGTTATATTTGCAACATAAATTCATCTCATATATAAATATATCATATCGTGTATAATATCTACCATATATGTTATATTTGCAACATAAATTCATCTCACATATACGTATATATACATATCTCCCATATATGGTATATTTTCAACATAAATTCCACAAAGAGAATAGAGCAGAAAGAATAATCAAAGAAATAACAGAGAAAAATATCTCCGCACTGAATAACACCATACAAACAAAAAGCCCTTTAAGTATCTTAATGAAAAGATACACATGGAAATTCCTGGAAATTTGTTTAAATATTCAAGATAAATCATATCCTGTAATGCCCAGGAGAAATAAGCAGATTATTTTACAAAGCAACACATCATCAGCCATCTACAGAACAAAATAACCAAAGGCCTGAAGCAATAAAAAACAAAATAGCTGTACTGAGGCTTGTTTAACATACAAAAAGCTGTATATATTTAAAGTATACAACCTGATAACTTGGGAGAAAAAGACACATCCTTGAAAGTCATATGTCACCTATGTCATAAACATATCTATGTCATAAACATATCTATCACCTCCAAAAGATTCCTCTTCCCTCTCGATATGATGATGATGTTTTTTTTTCTTGTTGTGATAAGAACGCTTCACATGTGATCTACTCTTTTAGCAAATTTTTATGTATACAATACAGTATCTTTGACTCTGGACACTATGTTCTATCCAGTAGATCATTTTGATAGAGAAAAGTTCCCCTCCCCAAAATCCTGCACTGAAAAAATCTGTCATCTTAGAGGCATGTATTTTCAAGGATGCAAATATGTTTTTTATATCCCCCAACTCCTTTTTTTTTTTTTTCAGAGAGGGAGTCTCCCTCTGTCTCCCAGGCTGGAGTGCAGTGGTGCAGTCCTAGCTCACTGCAGCCTGGGACTCCTGGGCTCAAGCGATCCTCCCACCTCAGCCTCCTGAGTAGCTGGGACCACAGGCGTGTACCACCAGGCCTAGGTCCCCTTTTGGGGGGGAAAAAAACAAGTGTTTTTAAAAGCAACAACAGGTTGGGCACGGTGGCTCACACCTGTAATCCCAGCACTTTGGGAGGCCGAGACGGGTGGATCACCTGAGGTCAGGAGTTTGAGACCAGCCTGACCAACATAGTGAGACCCTGTCTCTACTAAAAATACAAAAATTAGCCAGGCGTGGTGGTGCATGCCTGTCATCCCAGCTACTTGGGAGACTGAGGCAGGAGAATTGCTTCAACCCAGGAGAAGGAGGTTGCAGTGGGCTGAGATTATGTCATTGCACTCCAGCCTGGGCAACAAAGAGTGAATCTCCATCTTAAAAAAAAAAAACAAAAACCAACAACAACAGCCAAAGTAACTCCAGCCAAACCAGAAATGAATGAAATTAAGAATTTTAAAATGGGGAAGCTGTGGTACAAAATGATTGGCAGTTAACCATAAAACAGAAGAAGATTCATAAAAAATGTTTTCAAGGCACAATGTATGAAAATATACAGTATAGTAATAGTATATGTATTAATTAGTATCAGTACAACACATTCTAAGATGAAAAATATTTTTAGAGAATAGAGTTTGGAAATAAAAGATGTGAAATGCTTAAATAAATACAGACTCTGGCAGCATCGGAGAGAAGGAGGGGGGAGGAAGCAACCCACACCATCGTAAATCCTTATCTCAACCAATGCAAATAAAGAGTTTCAGTTTTCACCATAATGTTTAGAAAAAAAAGAGTTTTATACAGTTATTTTTGCTGCATATGTAACTATTAGAAAAGAAATGTTGCTATTTGCAGAATGCTGCTATAGTAATTACTGAAAAACAATTGAAGCAAATGTAGCATTATCCATAGACAGCGTGCAACAATGTAACAATTCTCACGATTAAATGCAAGGTTGTCTTAGTCCTTTCGTGTTGCTGTCACAGAACACCATACCCTGGGCAGCCTATCAAGACAGACCTTTACGTCTCTCGGTGCTGGAGGCTGGAAGTCCAAGATGAAGGTGTGGCTGATTCAGTGTCTGGTGAGGACCCGTCTCCTAGTTCATAGATGGCGCCTTCTCTCTGTGTCTCACATGGTGGAAGGGGCCAGGGAGGTCTCTGGGGTTCCTTTTATGAGAGCATGATTCCCATTCATGAGACTCCAACCTCACAACCTCGTCACCTCCCAAAGCCTCTTAACATCATCTTGTTGGTGGTTACATCAATGTGGGAATTCGGGGAGGACATTGACCTTCTGCCCACAGCAAAGCTCCACTGGAAGAGCTGAGGCTGTTCATGAGCTTCCCCACCCACACCCTCAGCCCCAGTTTTTAAAAATTTTTTTAAATTTTTATCCTTTAAGTTCTAGGGTACGTGTGCACAACGTGCAGGTTTGTTACATACGTATACATGTGCCATGGTGGTTTGCTGCACCCATTAACTCGTCATTTACACTAGGTATATCTCCTAATGCTCTCCCTCCCCCCTCTCCCAACGCCCCACGACAGGCCCTGGTGTGTGATGTTCCCCACCCTGTGTCCAAGTCTTCTCATTGTTCAATTCCCACGTATGAGTGAGAACATGCGGTGTTTGGTTTTCTGTCCTTGCGATAGTTTGCTCAGAATGATGGTTTCCAGCTTCATCCATGTCCCTACGAAGGACATGAACTCATCCTTTTTCATGGCTGCATAGTATTCCATGGTGTCTATGTGCCATATTTTCTTAATCCAGTCTATTATTGATGGGCATTTGGGTTGGTTCCAAGTCTTTGTTATTGTGAATAGTGCTGCAATAAACATGCGTGTGCATGTGTCTTTATAGCAGGATGATTTATAATCCTTTGGGTATATACCCAGTAATGGGATGGCCTCAGTCCCAGTTTTTGTCCACGTGCATTCTTGTTACAATCTAAAGAAAGGTGGAAAAAAAAAAAAAAAAAGAACCAGAGCAAAACAAGCAGACAAAAGGGAGATGCTGAGGCAGAGGAAGTGATTGTGGCAAAGCGTAATCACCATCAAAACCCTATACAATTGCAAATATTACTATAAACACTTTGTGTTTTGTTTTGTTTTGGAGTCGGGGTCTTGCTCCATTGCCCAGGCTGAAGTGCAGTGGTGCAGTCTCAGCTCACTGCAGCCTCCACCTCCTGGGCTCAAGCAATCCTCCTGCATCAGGCTCCTGAGGACCTGGGACTACAGGCATATACCACCATGTAGGGCTAATGTTTTTTAATTTTTTTGTAGAGGTGGGCTCTTGCTATCTTGCCCAGGCTGGTCTGAAACTCCTGGCCTCCAGCTATCTTTCTACACTGACCTCCCAAAGCACTGTGATTACAGGCATGAACCACTGCACCCGGCACTATAAACGTTTATTCTTTTCTTTTATTTTCTTTCTTTCCTTTCTTTCTTTCTTCCTTTCTCTTTTTTCTTTTTCTTTTTCTTTTTTTTTTTTTTTTGAGATGGAGTTTCACTCTTGGTGCCCAGGTTGGAGTGCAATGGCACGATCTTGGCTCACTGCAACCTCTGCCTCCTGGGTTCAAGCAATTCTCCTTCCTCAGCCTCCTGAGTCGCTGGGATTACAGGCGCCCACCACCACACCCAGCTAATTTTGTATGTTTAGTAGAGACGGGGTTTCTCCATGTTGGCCAGGCTGGTCTCGAACTCCTGACTTCAGGTGATCCACCCGCCTCAGCCTCCCAAAGTGCTGGGATTACAGGCATGAGCCACTGCACCTGGCACTATAAACATTTTTCCTCTCCTCTCTTCTCCTCTCCTCTCCTCTCTTCTTCTCTCCTCTCTCTCCCTCCCTCCCTCCCTCTTTCTTTCTTTTCTTTCTTTCTTTCTTTCTTTCTTTCTTTCTTTCTTTCTTTCTTTCTTTTTTTTCTTTCTTTCTTTCTTCTTCCTTTCTCTCTCTTCTTTCTTTCTTTCTCTCTTTCTTCTTTCTTTCTTTTTTTTTTTTTTTGACAGAGTTTCGCTCTTGTTACCCAGGCTGGAGTTCAATAGCGCAATCTCAGCTCACTGCTACCTCCGCCTCCCAGGTTCAAGGGATTCTCTTGCCTCAGCCTCCTAAGTAGCTGGGATTACAGGCATGTGCCACCACGCCCAGCTAATTTTGTATGTTTAGTAGAGATGGGGTTTCAGCATATGGGCCAGGCTGGTCTCAAACTCCTGACCTCAGGTGATTCACCCGTCTCGGGCTCCCAAAGTGCCGGCATTACAGGCGTGAGCCAATGCCCCTGACCATATTCTTTTCATTCATTCCTCCAAAGCTTACTTTGGAGATGTCACAAATCAAAACCTCATATAACTTTTAGTGTAAAATAACTTAGATCTTTCATCATAGTTATAGTAAACAAATATAACTCTTCTTCTATTTCACTCTGATGAAGTAAAAAAAATACCCAACTCCGTGGATCACGAGGTCAGGAGATCGAGACCATCCTGGCTAACACGGTGAAACCCCGTCTCTACTAAAAATACAAAAAATTAGCCGGGTGTGGTGGCGGGCACCTGTAGTCCCAGCTACTCAGGAGGCTGAGGCAGGAGAATGGCGTGAACCAGGGAGGCAGAGGTTGCAGTGAGCTGAGATTGCGCCATGGCACTCCAGCCTGGGCGACAGAGCGAGACTCCGTCTCAAAAAACAAAAAAATACCCAACTCCTAAGGACTTTTTTTAAAAAAGCAACGGAATTCAGAAAGGCTTCGAGAAGGATGTTTTGAAGTCAGCCTCTCATGGGCTCCCCCGGGACAGGGTCACCTGGCCAGGGAAAGTAGAGATGAGAAGGGCAATCCCAATTCACAGGCTATGAATAGACGTCAAAACTCCTCTGTACCTTATATCTCCTGCACCAGGCCTGAAAAAACAATTGGTCTTTAATGACCTTTGAAAAATCTGTTTGCCCCACAGCTTTGAGGAATGCACCTGGTACTCTTGTTATAACTGCATTATCTCCTCATTTTTTTTAAAGTGTGTGGTGGCGGGCACCTGTAATCCCAGCTCCTCGGGAGGCTGAGGCAGGAGAATCGCTTGAACCTGGGAGGCAGAGGTTGCAGTGAGCCGAGATCGTGCCATTGCACTCCAGCTTCGGCAACAAGAGCGAAACCCTCTCTCAAAAAACAAACAAACAAAAACTGTTTGCCCCACAGCATTGAGGAATGCACCCTGTCCTCTTGTTATAATTGGATTATCTCCTCATTTTTTTTTTTTTTAAGTGTATGGCAACTGAGCACAGCGACTTACCCCTGTAATCCCAGCACTCTGGGAAGCTAAGGCAGGTGGATCACCTATGGTCAGGGGTTCGAGACTAGCCTGGCCAACGTGGTGAAACCCCATCTCTACTAAAAATACAAAAATGAGCCAGGTTTGATGGTGGGTGCCTGTAATCCCAGCTACTTGGGAGGCTGAATTGCTTGAGCCCAGGAGGCAGAGCTGAGATCATGTCATTGCACTCCAGCCTAGGAGACAGGAGCAAAACCCTGTCAAGGAAGGAAGGAAGGAAGGAAGGAAGGAAGGAAGGAAGAAAGAAAGAAAGAAAGAAGGAGAGAGAGAAAGGAAGGAACAGAGAGACGGAGGTAGGGAGGAAGGAAGGAGAGAGAGAGAGAGAAAGGAAGGAAGGAACAGAGAGAGAGAGACGGAGGGAGGGAGGAAGGAAGGAGAGAGAGAGAGAAAGAGAGAAAGATAGAGAGAGAAGGAAAGAACAAAGAGAGAGAGAAAGAAAGAAGGAAAAGAAAGAAAGACAGAGAGAGGGAGGGAGAAAGGAAGGAAGGAAGGAGAGAGAAAGAAAGATAGGAGAGAGAGAAAGAGAAAGAAAGAACAAACAGAAAGAAAGAAGAGAGAAATAAAGAAGCAAAAGAAAGTAAGAGAGAGGGAGGGAAGGAGGGAGGGAGGAAGGAAGGAAAGAAGGAAGGGAGGGAGGGAAGAGAGTATGGGCCAGTCACAGTGGCTCACACCTATAATCGCAGCACTTTGGAATGCTGAGGTGGATGGAGCACTTGAGCCTATGAGTTCGAGAACAGCTTGGGCAACATAGTGAGATCCCATCTCTATAAAAAAATACAAAAATTATGTGGGTGTTGGGGTCTGTGCCTGTAGTCCCAGCTACTCAGGAGGCTGAGGCGGGAGGATCGCTTGAGCCCGGGAGGTCAAGGCTGCAGTGAGCTGAGACTGCACCACTGCACTCCAGCCTGGGCAACAGAGTGGGCACACCTTCACAAGGTGGCAGGGGAGAGAGAGAGAGAGAAAGAGAGAGAGACCAACCACAGGGGAAACTACCAAACACTTTCTTCTTTTCTTTGTTTTTCCTTTTTTTTTTTTTTTTTTTTTTTTGAGACAGAGTTTCACTCTGTCGCCCAGGCTGGAGTCCAGTGGCGCAACCTTGGCTCACTGCAACCTCTACCTCCCGCGTTCACGCCATTCTCCTGCCTCAGCCTCCCAAGTGGCTGGGACTACAGGTGCCTGTCACTACATACAGATAATTTTTTGTATTTTTAGTAGAGATGGGGTTTCACCGTGTCAGCCAGGATGGTCCCGAACTCCTGACCTCGTGATCCGCCCGCCTCGGCCTCCCAAAGTGCTGGGATGACAGGCAGGAGCCACCGCGCCCGGCTCTTTTTTTTTTTGAGACAGAGTCTCACTCTGTTGCCCAGGCTGGAGTGCAGTGGCACGATCTCGTCTCACTGCAACAGAGATGAGGCTGAGGCGGGTGGATTGCTTGAGCCCGGGAGGTCAAGGCTGCAGTGAGCTGAGACTGCACCACTGGACTCCAGCCTGGGCAACAGAGTGAGATCCTGTCTCCAAAAACAAAAAAAAAGCATACATTGCTTTGCAGGTGCCAAGCTCTAGGGCCCAAGTGCCCGCCAGTCCCTCATCTGCTGTCCTGATAGAATCCGTGAATCCCTGAAGCTCAGCTGCTCCCCCTAGTTGCATTCAAAGACGCAGCTTGAGGAGGCAGCCGAATGTCCCCCCTGCTGGGTCTCTATGACAATAGCCTCCAGTGGTGGGTACCTGCAGCTGCCTCTCTGCTGACAGCCGTGGGACCCCACTCTGTCTGTCCTCTTTTCCAGTACATCCCTTTTCCACCCCTTCGTGCCTGTTTGGGGTCTCCGCACTCACAAACCTGTAGAGTATCCTACAAACAACACTGCATGATTATAAGAAAAACTAGGCCGGGCGCAGTGGCTCACGCCTGTCATCCCAGCGCTTTGGGAGGCTGAGGCGGGCGGATCATGAGGTCAGGAGATCGGGACCATCCTGGCCAACACGGTGAAACCCCGTCTCTACTAAAAATACAAAACATTAGCCGGGCGTGGTGGCGGGTGCCTGTAGTCCCAGCTGCTCGGGAGGCTGAGGCAGGAGAATGGTGTGAACCCGGGAGGTGGAGCTTGCAGTCAGCACTGCACTCCAGCCTGGGCGACAGAGCGAGACTCCTTCTCAAAACAAACAAAACAAAACAAAAAAAACAACACAAAACTAAACAGCATTCCACTTTTCTGTAGTTTTACTGGTGGACGAACTCCCCCAAACAACGGGGACATAAATATCTTTATTCCTAAATAGCAAGGAACATCGGTGGCCTGGGTTTGTAGCCCAGACACCATCTCACTATCTGGGGATCTGGGTTGGTTGATCAAACTGTCCCTGTAAATCGGAGACAACGTAGCACCCTCCAGCGGGTACAGGGATACAGGGAGATGCCTGGTGAGTCTGTGGAAGCCACCCATTCCCCAGATGGGTATGACGGGGAGTAAGCGCAGGGTGACCCTCCTCAGGAGCCCGGCAATGGTTAGGGGCTGCCCGTGGTGATCTGTGCTGGGGTCCAGGACAGAGGCATCCCTGGGAACTCAGAGAGAAACTCTCTACCCAGATAGTCTCCAGTGTCTTCATTCACCATCCCCTAATTGAAAAGATGATGAAGGCAGCCACAATGGGGCATCCCAGAAAGGATGTGGGGAGAGGGGGTTATCCAAGAACATGCCAGGCCTGGAGCTGCTGACATTTGAGACTGGAGAATCCTCTGCGGTGGGGCCGTCCTGTGCACTGTACAATATTGAGCAGTGTCCCTCAGCTCCGCCCACCAGATGACAGGAGCACCTCCTGCTCCAGCCAGTGGTGAGAACCAAGGATGACTCCATATTTTACTGATGTCTCATGGACAGCAAAATCTTCTCCAGTTGAGAACCACTTTAATACAGAAGATGATAGATGATAGATAGATAGATAGATAGATAGATAGATAGATAGATAGATAGATGATACATGATAGATACATAGATAATAGATGACAGATAGATAGATAGATAGATTAGATAGATGATAGATAGATACATACATAGATAGATAGATACATAGATAGATGATAGGTAGGTAGATAGATGATGGATAGATAGATAATAGATAGATGGATAGATACATAGATTAGATAGATAGATGATAGATAAATAGATACATAGATTAGATAGGTAGATGATAGATAGATAGATACATAGATACAGAGATAGATTAGATAGATGATAGATGATAGATACATACATACATACATACATACATACGATAGATAAATGATAGGTAGGTAGATAGATGGATGATAGATGATAGATACATAGATGCATAGATACATAGATATATAGATACATAGATTATAGATAGATAAGATAGATGATAGGTAGGTAGGTAGACAGATAGATGATAGATAGATATATAGATAGATTAGCTACATAGATAGATAGATAGATAGATAGATAGATTAGATAGATGATAGATAGATACATAGATACATACATAGATACATAGATAGGTAGATAGATAGACGATAGGTAGGTAGATAGATAGATGATGGATAGATAGATGACAGATAGATACATAGATACATAGATAGACACATAGATTAGATAGATGATAGATAAATAGACACATAGATAGATACATAGATGGATAGATAGATTAGATAGATAGATGATAGATAAATAGACACATAGATACATAGATGGATAGATAGATTAGATAGATAGATGATAGATAGATACATAGATACAGAGATAGATACACAGATAGATAGATAGATGATAAATAGATAAATGATAGATGGATACATACATACATAGATACATAGATAGATACATAGATAGATACATAGATAGATAAGATAGATGATAGGTAGATAGATACATAGATAGATTGATAGATGATAGATAGATGATAGATACACAGATAGATGATACATAGATAGATAGATAAAGATAGATGAATGAATGGATGCATGGATGGATGGATGGATGGATGGATGGATGGATGGATGGATGGATGGATAAATGGATGGATAAATGGATGGATGAATAGAAGATGGATGGACAAATGTGCAAGCCTGGGCATTGTGGCTCACACCTGTAATCCCAACACTTTGGGAGGCTGAGGTGGGAGGAATGCTTGAGCTCAGGAGTTGGAAGCCAGCCTGGGCAACATAACAAGACCCCATCTCTAGAAAGAAAAGTTAGCTGGGCATGGTAGTGTGTGCCTGTAGTCCCAGCTACTCAGGAGGCTGAGGTGGGAGGATAGCTTTAGCCCAGGAGGTTGAAGCTGCAGTGAGCTAAGACTGCACCACTGCACTCCAGCCTGGGTGACAGAGCAAGGCCCTGTCTCAAAAAAAACAAAAAACAAAAAAACAGCTAAAATGGAAAAGATGTTTGATCTAAGGACAAAAACAAACAAACAAACAAATAAAAAAACCATGCTCATTCCGACAGAATGAGTAAGCTGAGGAGATCTTTGGTACAACACAGTGACTATAATGAATAACATTGAATTGTGTATTAAAAATCTCGCAGACCGGGTGCGGTGGCTCACGCCTGTAATCCCAGCACTTTGGGAGGCCGAGGCGGGCAGATCACGAGGTCAGGAGATCGAGACCATCCTGGCTAACACAGTGAAACCCCGTCTCTACTAAAATAAAAGTACAAAAAATTAGCCAGGTGCTGTGGCAGATGCCTGTAGTCCCAGCTACTTGGGAGGCTGAGACAGGAGAATGGGATGAACCTGGGAGGCGGAGGTTGCAGTGAGCCGAGATCGCGCCACTACACTCCAGCCTGGGTGACAGAGCGAGATTCCATCTCAAAAAAAAAAAAAAAATCTCGAAGACAGTGGATGTTAAGTGTTCTCACCACAGACACACAAACACATCATGTCTGGCCAGGTGAGGTGGCTCACGCCTGGAATCCTAGCACTTTGGGAGGCCGAGGTGGGTGGATCACTTGAGGTCAGGAGTTCGAGACCAGACTGACCAACATGATAAAACCCCATCTCTATTAAAAATACAAAATTAGTTGGGCATGGTGGTGCACACCTATAATCCCAGCTACTTGGGAGGCTGAGGCAGGAGAATCGCTTGAATCCAGGAGATGGAGGTTGCAGTGAGGTTGTAGCTGGGACTACAGACATCCGCCACCACGCCCGGCTAATTTTTTGTATATTTAGTAGAGACGAAGTTTCACCTTAGCCAGGATGGTCTCAATCTCCTGACCGCGTGATCCACCCACCTTGGCATCCCAAAGTGCTGGGATTACAGGCGTGATGCCTGGCTTATTTTTTTAAAAAAAATCTTGTAGAGATGGGGTCTGGCTATATTGTGCAGGGTGGTCTCAAACTCCTGGGCTCAAACAGTTTTCCTACCTAAACCTTCTAAACTTCTGAGATTACAGATGTGAGCCACCATGCCCGACCATTTTTTTTTCTTTTGGTAAAATTCACAGAACATAAAATTAACCATTTTATTTTATTTATTTTATTTTATTTGAGACGGAGTCTCGCACTGTTGCCCAGGCGGGAGTGCAGTGGTGCGATCTCGGCTCTCTGCAACCTCCGCTTCCTAGGTTCACGCCATTCTCCTGCCTCAGCCTCCCGAGTAGCTGGGACTACAGGTGTGCCCCACCACGCATGGCTAATTTTTTGTATTTTTAGTAGAGACGGGGTTTCACCATGTTAGTCAGGGTGGTCTTGATCTCCTGACCTCGTGATCTGCCCGCCTCGGCCTCCCAAAGTGCTGGGATTACAGGCGTGAGCCACCGCGCCCGGCCAAAATTAACCATTTTGAAGAGTGTGATTCAGTGGCATTTACCACATTCAGAAGATTGCACAACGATCACTGCCAACATTCTCATCACCTAAAAGGACACTCTGTACCCATTAAGCATGAATTCCCAATCCTCACTCCCCAGCCCCTCACAACCACAAATCCACTTTCTATTTGTATGGATCTGCCTGTTCTGGACATTTCATAGAAATGGAATCCTACAAAGTGTGTCCTTCTGTGTCTGGCTTCTCTCACTGAGCATGATGTCCTAAGGTTCATCCATGCGGCAGCCTGCGTCAGAACCTCATTCCTTTTTCAAGGGTGCATAGTATCCCATTTTCATGGCTGCGTAGTGTTCCATTGCATGGCTGTGTAGTACTCCATTGCATGGATTTATCCTGCATATCCACTCCCGTGTGTGCATGGATATTTGAGTTGTTTCCACCTTTCGGCTATTGTGTGCTGCTATGCATATTCCTCAGTGGTTCTGCCTCTCGATAGATTTAATTTAAAAAGAAGAAACAACCATAAAGTGTTTTCCTCCTGAGTTGAAGGTCACAGACATGCTTCCCTTTTTTGACCCCTTCCTGACACTGGAGCATCATGTTCAAATCAAGACCCCAGAACTGAGATTATAAGGAAATGAAATTGGTAGCCTGGGCTTCCTGTAGCCAGTACTTTGGTGTTTTGTTTTGTTTTGTTTTCTTCAAGACTGTAGTGCCAACTTCTGCAGAAAAACAGCACCCCTAGATGAGGAGGGTCAGATAGGGTTCGCGATGCAGAAAGTTGGAGGGTGTGGTACTTCCTCTTCCCGTACCACCTTTGCAGTCAACAACAGACCTCCCCAGGGCTGCCAACAGCCAGAGAGACAACTGGGTTACTCAGGAAAGCCTCATGAGAAGTGAAAGGCGGTGGCTACACAGCCCCGGCAGAGTTTCACAGGGTTCCCGTGAAAGCCATCCTGAAGTATGTTTGCCAGGCACTGGGTCCCAGGACGGCCCGAGTGCCTGGGACTTTACGGCACAGATGAGAAACGGTGGCCGTCTCCATTCCCCCGTACACATTCTCTACGCACGGCATCTGGCCCTAAACGCCAACTCAAGAGGGCCCTGGTAGCATCAGCTTCAACCCTGACCCTCCCTGGACGTGGATGACTCTTTCCTTTCCCTCATTTGCTGGGGCTGGAACCTTCATATTTCAGGAGAGTGTCTTAGTTCGTATGTGTTGCTATCGTGAAATACCATAGGCTGGGGGCCTTCTCAACAGCAGGCATCTATGTCTCATGGTTCTGGAGGCTGGAAGTCCAAGGTTAAGGTGTGGCAGATTCAGTGTCTGGTGGTCTATGAACCAGTGGCTTCCTGATCTATAGACAGCGCCTTCTTGCTGTGTCTCACATGGTGTTGGAAGGGGTGAGGGAGCTCTCTGGGGTCCATTTTATTTTATTTTATTTTGTTGTTGTTTTTGTTTTTTGAGATGGAGTCTCGCTCTGTCACTGAGGCTGGAGTGCAGTGGCGCGATCTCAGCTCACTGCAACCTCCGCCTCCCGGGTTCAAGCGATTCTCCTGCCTCAGCCTCCCGAGGAGCTGGGATTACAGGTGCCCGCCACCATGCCCCGCTAATGTTTTTTGTATTTTTAGTAGAGATGGGGTTTCGCCATGTTGGCCAGGCTGCTCTCAAACTCCCGACCTTGTGATCCACCCACCTCAGCCTCCCAAAGTGCTGGGATGACAGGCGTGAGCGTCAGCCTCCCGAGGAGCTGGGATTGCAGGCACCCACCACCACTCCTGGCCCTGGCTAATTGTTGTATTTTTTTGTAGAGATGGGGTTTCACCATGTTGGCCAGGCTGCTGTGGAACTCCTGACCTCGTGATCCGCCCGCCTCGGCCTCCCAAAGTGCTGGGATGACAGGCGTGAGCCACCGCACCCGGCCTGGGGTCCCTTTTATAAGGGCACAAATCCTACTCATAACACTCCACCTGCATGACCTCATCACCTCCCAAAGTCCTCACCTCCAAATACCATTGCCTTGGGGACTGAGGATTTCATCATGGGAGTTGTGGCGGGTTACAAACCTTGAGTAAGTAAACATCTTTCACCCATTCCCTGGGGCTGGAAGTTTCATGTTTCAGGATGATGTCTTAGTCCGTTTGCGTTGCTATAGCAGAATACCATAGCCTCGGTGGCTTAGAAACAACAGACATTTGCCAGGCGCAGTGGCTCACGCCTGTCATCCCAGCACTTTGGGAGGTCGAGGCTGGCAGATCACGAGGTCAGGAGATCGAGACCATCCTGGCTAACACGGTGAAACCCCGTCTCTACTAAAAATAAAAAATACAAAAAATTAGCCGGGGATGGTGGCGGGCGCCTGTAGTCCCAGCTACTCAGGAGGCTGAGGCAGGAGAATGGCGTAAACCTGGAAGGCGGAGCTTGCAGTAAGCTGAGATCGTGCCACTGCACTCCAGCCTGGGCGACAGAGGAAGACTCTGTCTCAAAAAAAAAAAAAAGAAAACAGAAAGAAACAACAGAGATCTGTTGCTCACAGCTCTGGAGGCTGGAAGTCCAAGATCAAAGCATGCCACATTCAGCGTCTTACTGAGAACCCGCCTCCTGGTTCCTAGATGGTGCCTTCTCACCATGTCCTCACATGGTAGAAGGGGCGAGAAAGCTCTCTGGGGTCTGTTGTATGAGATCGCTGATCCCATGCATGATGCTCCATCTCCATGACCTCATCACCTGCCAAAGGTCCCATCTCCTGACACCATCACTTTGGGAGTGAGGATTTCAACATGGAAATTTTAGGAGGATACCAACATTCACACAGGAGCAGATAGGAAGCAGACCCTCTCTCCACTGGAAAGACCCCAAGTGGATGAGTCTTAGGATTTCAGATGAGCAAGGCTGTGCTGGTGGCTCTCTGGCCACCCGGTCATGCTGAAGTTGTCTGTGGCAACCAGATCAGCCTACACCATGTGAATAGTGAAGAACCAAATTCTCTGTTCCTGAGACTGGATGTGAAAGGAAGTCCCTGGACTTGTGTGAGTTGGGAAAATCAGAGACTCTTTTCTGTCCCAAATCACTTTTCTCCTATGTCACCCTTTCTCCCACAAACTGTAGGAAGGTACTCATGGAATAAATGATTTTTTGGTTTTCCATTTATAGAATGTCTTCATTTCTCCCACAAACTGTAGGGGAAACCTGATGGAAGAAATGATTTCTCGTGTTCCATACTTTCTCGCATACAAAACGTCTTCACCCGTCTGCACTCACTTTACCGTGAAAAGGTGTGATGTGTGCGCCGTTTCCAAGATGTACCAGGTTAATGTTCAGCCCGTCAGTCTGAGGAATCGTCCCCGGGGGGTGACTTCTACGCAGTCAGGGCCCTTCCTTCCTTCCTTCTTTCCTTCCTTCCTTCCTTTCCTTCTTTCTTTCTCTTTCTTTCCTTTCTTTCTTTCTTTTTCTTTCTTTCTTTCCTTTTTCATTCTCTCTCTCCTCTTCCTTCCTTCTTTTCTTTTCCTCTTTCTTTCTCTCTCCTTCCTTCCTTCTCGTATTCTTTTCTGTTTCTTTCTTTCTCTCTTTCTTTCTTTTCTTTTTTCATTCTCTCTCCCCTTCCTTCCTTCCTGCCTTCTTTCTTTTCTTTCTTTTTCCTTTCTCTCTTTCTTTCTTTTCTTTTTCATTCTCTCTCCCTTCCTTCCTTCCTGCCTTCCTTCTTTTTTCTTTTTCTTTCCTTTCTTTTTCATTCTCTCTCTCCCCTTCCTTCCTTCCTTCTTTTCTTTTCCTCTTGCTTTCTCTTTCTTTCTCTCTCCCTCCTTCCTTCTTGTATTCTTTTCTCTTTCTTTCTTTTCTTTTTCATTCTCTCTCCCCTTCCTTCCTGCCTTCCTTTTCTTTCTTTCTTTTTTCTTTCTCTCTTTCTTTCTTTTCTTTTTCATTCTCTCTCCCCTTCTTTCCTTCCTTCCTGCCTTCCTTCTTTTCTTTCTTTCTTTCTCTCTCTTTCCTTCCTTTCTTGCTTCTTGTATTCTTTTCTCTTTCTTTCTTTCTCTTTTTCTTTCTTTCTTTCTCTCTTTCTTTCCTTCCTCCTTTCTTGTCTTTTTTTTTTTCTTTTTTTTTTGAGACAGAGTCTCACTCTGTCACCCAAGCTGAAGTGCAGTGGTGCAATCTCAATCTCAGCTCTCTACAACTTCCCCCTCATAGGCTCAAGTAATTCTCCTGCCTCAGCCTCCCAAATAGCTGGGATTACAGGCATCTGCCACCACACCCAGCTATTTTTTGTATTTTTAGTAGATACGGGATTTCACCATGTTGGCAGGGATAGTCTCGAACTCCTGACCTCAGGTGATCCACCCGCCTTAGCCTCCAAAAGTGCTGGGATGACAGGTGTAAGCCACTGCACCCAGCCGACATGCTCTATTTCCTGCTTTATTCCCATGCAGTAATGAGTGATGGGGTGTCTCTGGTGTACCAGACACTGTGCTAGGTGCATAGGGAAGAGTGGAGAATTATTTTGGCCTCCACCGGCCTGAAGGCTGTGTTTGGGGGTAGAAGAAAGCACATAAGTCACTTATATCAGCCAGGCATTAGCAGAGGCTATGGTTTGTCTCGGTGTCGCCACCCAAACCTCGTCTCTAATTGTAACTCCCACGTGTTGAGGGAGGGACGTGATTGGATCATGAGGGAGGTTTTCCCCACTCTCTTCTCAGCATACTGAATGAGTTTTCAAGAGACCTGCTGGTTTTATAAATGATTGACAGTTCTGTCTCCACCTGCGCTCTCTTTGCTGCCACCTTCTGAAACAGGTGCCTGCTGCCCATTCACCTTCCGCCATGACTGTCAGTTTCCTGAGGCCTCAGCCATGTGGATATGTGAGTCAACGTAACCGCTTTGCTTTTTTTTTTTCTTTCTTTTTTGAGACGGAGTCCCACCGTGTCGCCGAGGCTGGAGTGCAGTGGTGCGATCTCGGCTCACTGCAACCTCCGCCTTCTGGGTTCCTGCCATTCTCCTGCCTCAGCCTCCCGAGTAGCTGGGACTACAGGCGCCCAACACCACACCCGGCTGATTTTTTGTATTTTTAGTAGAGATGGGGTTTCACCCTGTTAGCCTCTCATCTCCTGACCTTGTGATCTACCCACCTCGGCCTCCCAAAGTGCTGGGATTACAGGCGTGAGCCACTGTGCCCGGCCCTCTTTTGGGTTTGTTTTGAGACAGTCTCACTCTGTTGCCCAGGCTTGAATGCAGTGGTGTGATCTCACCTCACTGCAACCTCTGCCTCCTGGGTTCAAGCGATTCTCCTGCCTCTGCCTCCCGAGTAGCTGGGATCACAGGCACCCGCCACCAGGTCAGGCTAATTTTTTGTATTTTTAGTAGAGACGAGGTTTCACAGTGTTAGCCAGGGTGATCTTGATCTCCTGACCTCGTGATCCACCCACCTCGGCCTCCTAAAGTGCTGGGATTACAGGCGTGAGCCACCGCACCCGGCCTGCTGGTTTTATAACTGTTTGCCAGTTCTCCCTCTGCACGCTTCCTCTTTGCTGCCACCTTGTGAAGAAGGTGCCTGCTGCCCATTCGCCTTCCAACTGGACTGTAAGTTTCCTGAGGCCTCCTCAGCCATGTGGATCTGTGAGTCAATGCGACCTCTTTCCTTTCTCAATTACCCAGTCTCAGGCCAATCTTTATAGCAGTGTGACAAGGGACTAATACTGCAGGCACAGAACAGAGAACCCCATCCCAGGAAGGAGATACGGAATGCCAGGGTGGGGTTCTGTGGGACATTGCAGTGGGATTTGCCATGAGGAAGGAAATCATGCCATTAGAAACAGACTTTGGGATCCACCAGGGCTTTGGGCCAATGGCGTAACTATTCTGAGTGGTTTTTTTTTTTTGTTTTTTTTTTTTTGAGACAGAGTCTTGCTCTGTCACACAGGCTGGAGTGCAGCAGTGCCGTGATCTTGGCTCACTGCAACCTCTGCCTCCCAGGTTCAAGTGATTATCCTGCCTCAGCCTCCCGAGTAGCTGGGACTACAGGTATGTGCCACCGCACCCGGCTAATTTTTGTATTTTTAGTAGACATGGGGTTTCATCATGTTGGCCAGGTTGGTCTCGAACTCCTGACCTCAGGTGATCTACCTGCCTCGGCCTCCTAAATTGCTGGGATTACAAGCATGAGCCACTGCGCCCAGCCTTTTTTTTTTTTTTGAGGTGGAGTTGTGCTCTTGTTGCCCAGGCTGGAGTACAGTGGCGCGATCTCGGCTCACCGCAACTTCTACCTCCTGGGTTCAAGCCATTCTCTCACCTCAGCTTCTCAAGTAGCTGGGGTTACAGGCACCCGCCCCAATGCCTGGCTAATTTTTTGTATTTTTAGTAGAGACAGGGTTTCACCATGTTGGTCAGGCTGGTCTCGAACTCCTGACCTTAAGTGATCCGCCTGCCTCGGCCTCCCAAAGTGCTGGGATTACAGGTGTGAGCCGCCGCACGCGGCCCCGAGCGTTCTTGTAACACATATGTTTGATGACAGAAAGTCTGTGCATCCACCTGGCACACAGAGCCCAGTAACTGTCGGTGACCAATACCGCCTCACTCACACCAGGAACGGCCCCAAGGCATCGTACCCCCAAAATACACTCGGCTTCTCACCCCACAAACAGCCACCAGCCTTTCGCTGCAATAGGCTTGGCCGTCAATCATGCAAGATTAAGAGGTTGATGGTGCACACAGATGGGTAAAAATTAATCTCATAAGACAAGGATCCCAGAGGCTCAGTGAGACCTGCGTCCTCCGAACAACCCCAGGGTGACCACAGTCACATCCATCTCCTCTGCTGCCCCAGGTTCAGAGGAAACCAGCTCAGCCCACAATGTCCATCCTTCACTTGTCTCAGAGGGATGGCTCTGAGGCGGGTCCCACATGATCCCTCAAAGGTCCCAGGACGATGGAGCCTTGGGTGGTTCTTCGGACCCCACCCATGCTGTGTTTTCTTCTCTTTCTCTTTCTTTCCTGTTCCCCATCTCCATCCATGCCCAGAATCTTTTTTTCTTTTTTTTTTTGTGTGTGTGTGTGTTTGTGAGATAGAGTTTCACTCTTGCTGCCCAGGCTAGGGTACAATGGCGCGATCTGGGATCACTGCAACCTCCGCCTCCCGGGTTCAAGGGATTCTCCTGCCTCAGCCTCCTGAATAGCTGGGATGACAGGCACGTGCCACCATGTCTGGTTAATTTTTCTATTTTTAGTAGAGACGGGGTTTCACCATGTTGACCAGGCTGGATGGTCTTGAAATCCTGAGCTCGTGATCCACCTGCCTCGACCTCCCAAAGTGCTGGGATTACAGGCGTGAGCCACTGCACTCGGCCCTTTTTTTTTTTTCTTTTTGAGACTGAGTTTCTCTCTGTTGCCCAGGCTGGGGTGCAATGGCACGATCTTGGCTCACTGTAACCTCTGCCTCCCGGGTTCAAGCCATTCTCCTGCCTCAGCCTCCTGAGTAGCTGGGATTACAGGTGTGCGCCAGCACGCCCGACTAATTGTTGTATTTTTAGTTGAGACAGGGTTTCGCCATGTTGGTCAGGTTGGTCTCGAACTCCTGAGCTCGTGATCCACCTGCCTCGACCTCCGAAAGTACTGGGATTATGGCGTGAGCCACTGCACCCGGCCTTTTTTTTTTTTCTTTTCTTTTTGAGACTAAGTTTCGCTCTGTCACCCAGGCTGGGGTGCAATGGCACGATCTCGGCTCACTGCAACCTCTGCCTCCTGGGTTCAAGCCATTCTCCTGCCTCAGCCTCCTGAGTAGCTGGGATTACAGGTGTGTGCCAGCACGCCTGACTAATTGCTGTATTTTTAGTAGAGACAGGGTTTCACCATGTGGGTCAGGCTGTTCTCGAACTCCTGACCTCAGGTGATCTGCCCGCCTTGGCATCCCAAAGTGCTGGGATTACAGGCGTGAGCCACCGCACCTGGCCTTTTTTTTTTGTTTTCTTTTTGAGACTAAGTTTCACTCTGTTGCCCAGGCTGGAGTGCAATGGCACGATCTCAGCTCACTGCAGACCCCACCTCCTGGGTTCAAGTGATTCTCCTGCCTCCTAAGTAGCTGGGATTACAGGTGCCCACCACCACGCCCGACTAATTGTTGTATTTTTAGTAGAGACAGGGTTTCACCATGTTGGTCAGGCCGGTCTCGAACTCCTGACCTCAAGTGATCTGCCCGCCTCGGCCTTTCAAAGTGCTGGGATTACAGGCGTGAGCCACCATGCTTGGCCTATGCCCAGGATTTTGCTTAGGACGTGTTGCAGGAACAACTGAGCCTACAGCCCTCCAGTTCCTAACCTTTCTCACATCTACAAAGACCTTACTTGCAAATGAGCTTCGTTTCCCACATTCAGGGGGTGAACCTACAATTATTTTGAAAAAGGGGTATGAGAAGCAGCATTAAACACACTCCCCATCCCTAAACCAATTGCTGCAAATAGACTAACATCTCCACACTTGGCCTGCATGGATATGCTTTGATTTTGGGTCTGGGATTCTATTCCTGGGGCTGTCTAGGCCACCCAGGCCTGGGTGAACACACCCCCCAAAAATTCAGGGTATACTCAGCCCTGAAACCTTGCGTACCCAGCAGAGAAGCTGGCACGATGGCTTGGCCCCCACCGCAGCCCCTGGCCGCCTTGTCTCTCTGTCCCTTGGGTGTGCACATTGGGAGGGCAGCTCCTAACAGCCAGGAACTTACGGGTCAACAACAGGCTTTACAGGATCCCCTGGAAGCAGGCAGCCTCGTTTCCCAGGGCAGACGTGGGGGCCTGGCCCGGGCTGCTATTTCTGTCCCTCTCTTCCTCCAGGCCCTGTCGGTTTTCCGTTCCTCTCTCAACATCAGGCCCTCAGCTCTCCCGGGACATGAACACATCCTGTTCCTGGTTTCCTTCAGAGAAACAGCCCCAAACAACCTTACGGCGGTCACTAAACCCACTGGGGTTCAGCTGGCATCCTCGGATCAGCTCAGATCGGCTCAGACACCTTCAAACACCATGTCAGAGAGATGAACATATTTTTCCCTGCAACCTGCAACGCGGACTCACAAGATACAACGCATGGCCCCACGAGATGCGGAAATGAACATGACTGAACCACATCGGTCTGTAGCACCCAGCCTGAGGGTCTGCAGCTGCCCCATAGAGAGGTCAAGCAGGTGGACAGCTATGCACAGCCGTCTCCCCAGAAACTAAGAGGGAATTCCTTCTGCCTGATGGGCTTTCAGCTGTGACATTGGTCTCCCTAGGCCTTCAGACTGGAACTCACACCCTCAGCTCTCCTGGGTCTCAGGCCTTCAGGCTCACACTAGAACTCACACCGTCAGCTCTCCTGGGTCTCAGGCTTTCAAACTCAGACAGGAACTCACCACCTCAGCTCTCCTGGGTCTCAGAAATTCAGACTCACACTAGAACTCACACCCTCAGCTCTCCTGGGTCTCAGGCCTTCAGGCTCACACTAGAACTCACACCGTCAGCTCTCCTGGGTCTCAGAAATTCAGACTCACACTAGAACTCACCACCTCAGCTCTCCTGGGTCTCAGAAATTCAGACTCACACTAGAACTCACACCCTCAGCTCTCCTGGGTCTCAGGCCTTCAGATTCAGACAGGAGCTCACACCCTCAGTTATCCTGGGTCTCAGGCCTTCAAACTCAGACAGGAACTCACACCCTCAGTTATTCTGGGTCTCAGGCCTTCAGACTCACACCAGAATTCACACCCTCTGCTCTCCTGGGTCTCAGGCCTTCAGACTCAGACAGGAACTCACCACCTCAGCTCTCCTGGGTCTCAGAAATTCACTCACACTAGAACTCACACCCTCAGCTCTCCTGGGTCTCAGGCCTTCAGACTCAGACTGGAACTCACACTCTTGGCTCTCCTGGGTCTCAGGTCTTCAGACTCAGATGGGAAGTCATACCCTCCACTCTCCTAGGTAGAAATTCAGACTCAGACGGGAACTCACACCCTTGGCTCTTTCAGGTCTCCAGCTTTTCACACAGCAGATTGTGGGACAGCTTAATCTCTATAATGCTATGAGTCAGTTTCTTCCAAGAAGTCGCATATATTGTATAGTTGTTAAAATATATATATGTGTGTATTTATAAATAAGTAATATGTATAGACTATATAAATATTTATAAATTCTATAAAAGAAATATATATGCATATGTCCTTATCTACCAAAAGATATATGTAATAAAACACATATATTTACATATATAAACATTGCACACCCAGATAAAAATTTATCTCTTATGTATATATAAAAAGATATTCTATTGATTCTTTTCCCTGGAGAACACCAATTCATATAACGATATATCTTTTTTCAGGGGGGTAAACAATTTTATTTTTTAAAATTTTATGTTGCAAAATTATATTATGCACATTTATAAATAACAAACTTGTCTTTAGGACATTAACCATCAGAATTTTTCACCTGACTCACATACTTTTTTCTTTTAACTTGCTATTGGGTTAACTGATATTTAGCATTTACTCTGATAAAAGAAAAAACACATCAATCTATTACGAGAGAGTTTACATCTTTTGCTAAGTGTTCTCTTGGCTTGCACGTACTCTTGACCAAACAAAAAACAAACACCCTTGGCTCCATACTCTAAACCATTTTTGGAGCCTACGTTATGAGATAGTGAAAACCAACATGAATCTTTTTTTTTTTTTTTTTGAGATGGAGTCTCGCTCTGTCACCCAGGCTGGAGTGCAGTGACGCGATCTCAGCTCACTGCAACCTCCACCTCCCAGGTTCAAGTGATTCTCCTGCCTCAGCCTCCTGAGTAGCTGGGACTACAGGTGCCCACCACCACGCCCAGCTAATTTTTGTATTTTTAGTAGAGATGGGGTTTCACCAGCCAACATGAATTTTTTTTTTTTTTTTTTTTTTTTGAGAGGGAGTCTCGCTCTTTTACCCAGGCTGGAGTGCAGTGGCGTGATCTTGGCTCACTGCAAGCTCCGCCCCCTGGGTTCAAGCAATTCTCCTACCTCAGCCTCCCGAGTAGCTGGAACTACAGGTGCCTGCCCCCACACCCAGCTAATTTTTGTATTTTTAGTAGAGACAGGGTCTCATCAGCTAACATGAATCTTTAAGATTGGAAGGACCCTTCAAACACCATGATGGAGCATTTCATAGTTTATCTTTAGACTTAGTGAAGGAAAAATAATAATAATAATTAGTCCCATACTGCATTTCACATCTCTGAAAAATACTGTTTTAGCAGCTTAAGGCTTTTTAATTACATAACCTACTACAGTAATATCTACCTTGAAATATCGCTTATAACCAAATCAAGTATTACACACATACACTGGTGCTTTAGCACAAGGGCAAACTTTAGAAACAAATGATTTTGGACCTTTAAAATTAGACCACAGGGCCGGGTGCAGTGGCTCACACCTGTAATCCCAGCACTTTGGGAGGCCGAGGCAGGCGGATTACCTGAGTTCAGGAGTTCAAGACCAGCCTGGCCAACATGGTGAAACCTCGTCTATACTAAAAATACAAAAATTAGCCAGGCGTGGTGGCAGGCGCCTGTAGTCCCAGCTACTCAGGAGGCTGAGGCAGAGAATCACTCGAACCCAGAAGTCGGAGGTTGCAGTGAGCTAGGATCATGCCACTGCACTCCAGCCTGGGCAACAGCAAGAAAGACTCCATCTCAAAAAAAAAAAAAATGAAAAAAGACTGCCGGATTTTCACTACCTGTTCTCTTGTTTGCTGCCAAGCCCAGGATAATAGCTGTTGCTTTCTGGTGAGTCCTTTCCTTTGTTAATACAGAAGTTTTCACAGGCCAACCTGCTGAGTTCAGCCTAGGAGCTGAGCCCAACATCTGAGTTTCCTCAGCACGAAGTTTCAGAGGTGTCCCAGTGACTTCCAGCTTGGAACGATGGCAGCAGTGGTGTTCTCTAGACTTTGAAGCCTCCTTCCTTTTCTTTTTTTTTTTTTTTTGAGACGGAGTCTCGCTCTGTCGCCCAGACTGGAGTTCAGTGCTGTGATCTCGGCTCACTGCAACCTCCGCCTCCCGGGTTCAAGTGATTCCCCTGCCTCAACCTCCACAGTACCCGAGATTACATGTGTCTGCCACCACACCTGGCTAATTTTTGTATTTTTAGTAGAGACGGGGTTTCACCATATTGGCCAGGCTGGTCCCGAACTCCTGACCTTGTGACCTGCCCACATGGCCTCCCAAAGTGCTGGGATGACAGGTGTGAGCCATTGTGCCCGGCTGCCTCCTGCCCTTTTTATGGGGAGAGAAGAGGCACGGATCCCACAAAACCCAGCAGCACCAACGAGCCAGCTGCTGACCACCCCGACATCTGCAACCGGATCTCCTCTTTCTGCCTCTCCCGACACAGTCCAGGGTTACGTATCTTAGAGACAGTGGATCTGGGCCTCGCAGCCCAAGCCCTCCTGGTCATACTCCCCCAGGTCTCACTGCAGCCTGGACCCCAAATGTCCGCCTGCAAGCTTGTAGCCAGAGAGCTCTGCTGGGACCGTCAGCTGCAACCATAGCCCAGTCTTGTCTGCTTCTCAATGCACCTCCCTCTTCCGTCTGAATGTCCAGCCCTTGACGACTGCAAGCCATAAGCTTCGTGTCTTTCTGACGGGAGCTGTCCCATCTGTGCACAGCTTTGCAAGGCGAAACTACATGATTCCGTTATGTAATTACATGATTTCAAGGTGAAAGGACATTACTTCGTTCTTTTTCACTGCTGCATACTATTCCACGGTATCTATGTACCCCATTTTCTTATTTATTTATTTATTTATTTTTGGACAGAGTTTCACTCTTGTTGCCCAGGCTGGAGCGCGATGATGCAATCTCAGCTCACTGCAACCTCCACCTCCCGGATCCAAGTGATTCTCCTGCCTCAGCCTCCCTAGTAGCTCGGATTACAGGCACCCGCCACCACGCCTGTAGTCCCAGCAGTTTGGGGGACCAAGGTGGGTGGATAACCTGAGGTCAGGAGTTCGAGACCAGCCTGGCCAACATGGCAAAACCCTGTCTCTACTAAAAATACAAAAAATTAGCCAGGTGTGGTGGCAGACACCTGTCATCCCAGCTACTCAGGAGGCTGAGGCAGGAGAATTGCTTGAACCGAAGAGGCGGAGGTGGCAGTGAGCTGAGATCACACCACTGCACTCCACCCTGGGTGACAGTGTGAGACTCCATCTCAATAATAATAATAATAATAATAGTAATAATAATAATAATACATAAGTGCTGGGATTACAGGCCATCCCCCTACTCCATGGGTCATCCTCACAGCAAGCTGAAGAAGGTGTCCAAATATTCCTACAACCTCCACTTATTTGAGCAACACTTGGGCAGAGAGAAGATCACAGCTTTCGCCGTGAAGAGCCCATTTTCAAAGGACTCTCTTCCAAATGCCACGTGACCCTGAGTCTGCCTTGGGACAGCTGTTTCACTTCTGTCTGATTAGCAAAGATAATCAATTCTCATGATTCCATCCATCCAGTGCAGTGGCTCATGTCTGTCACCCCAGAGCTTTGGGAGGCCAAGTCAGGAGGACGGCTTGAGCCCGGGAGGTCAAGACCAGCCAGGACAACACAGAGGATCCCATTTCTACAAAAAAAAAAAAATTTTTTTTTTTTTGAGACGGAGTCTCGCTCTGTCGGCCAGGCTGGAGGTCAGTGGCGTGATCTCAGCTCACTGCAAGCTCCGCCTCCCAGGTTCACGCCATTCTCCTGCCTCAGCCTCCCAAGTAGCTGGGACTACAGGTGCCCGCCACCACGCCCGGCTAATTTTTTGTATTTTTTAGTAGAGATGGGGTTTCACCGTGTTAGCCAGGATGGTCTTGATCTCCTGACCTCATGATCCACCTGCCTTGGCCTCCCAAAGTGCTGAGATTACAGGCATAAGCCATTACGCCCGGACTCCACAAAAAAATTTTTTTTTTAAATTAGCCAGGTGCGGCCAGGCAAGATGGCTCACACCTGTAATCCCAGCACTTTGGGAGGCCGAGGCGGGTGGATCACCTGAGGTCAGGAGTTCAAGACCAACCTGATCAACATGGTGAAACTACGTGTCTACTAAAAATAAAAAAAATTAGCTGGGCGTGGTAGTGCATGCCTGTAATCCCAGCTACTCCAGAGGCTGAGACAGGAGAATGGCTAGAACCCTGGAGATGGAGGTTGCAGTGAGCCAAGATTGTGCCACTGTACTCCAGCCTGGGCGACAGAGTGAGACTCTGTCTCAAAAAAAAAAAAAAAATTAGCCAGGTGTGGCAGAGTATGCTCCCATAGTCCCAGCTACTCAGGAGGCTGAGGAAGGAGGATTGCTTGAGGCCAGGAGTTGGAGGCTACAGTGAATTATGATCGCACCACTGCACTCCAGCCTGAGTGAGACAGACTGAATAAAGAAAGAAATGCAAATTATTCTCGACTTCTATATCTGTGAATTCCTCCACACACTAACATTTATTTGGAACCCCAAAACCAAGACTCATGACGATTTTGCAAACGTTCAAAAACAGATACACAGTGGTGAAAAATGGGGGCCTTCCGGGATCAGCTCATCCTTTTGGGGGTATACTGAGTGCCAGGTATTTTTACATTTTTGTGCATTTTGTTGGCGATTTCTGTTTCAAAAGCCCCAGAAGCTGCAAAGCTGCCTAGCATCCGTAAGCCCATGAAGACTGCAGCGCGTCTTCTGGAGAAAATAGGTGTGTTAGAGACGCTTTGCCCAGGCATGAATTATAATGCCGTTGGCTGTGAGTTCAATGTGACTGCGTCCACAATATCGACTCCATACGGCTTTTTAAACAGAAACACACGTAAAATAAGGTTATGTATGGATCAGCTGTGAAAAATTTGGGGACCAGAGGTACAAAAGCTACAGGCGTCTAAGTGTGGACTTTTTGCAGGACGGTTTGTATTTGTTAACTCAGCGTTTGCTCCGACTTTATGGACCACGTCTACCATGAAGAAGGAGGGACCACTGTAATCCTGAAGACAAACACTTCACAAACTGATGAATAGACTCTGCCTTTGATTTTCTTTCCTTTTTTTTTTTTTTTTTTTTTTTTTTTTTTGAGACAGAGTCTCACTCTGACGCCCAGGCTGGAGTGCAGTGGCATGATCTCGGCTCACTGCAATCTCTGCCTCCCGGGTTCAAGCAATTCTCCTGCCTCAGCGTTCCGAGTTGCTGAGACTACAGGCATATGCCACCACGCCTGGTTAATTTTTGTATTTTTGGTAGAGACTGCAACCTCCACTTCCCGGGTTCAAGCGATTCTCCTGCCTTAGCCTCTCTAGTAGCTGAGATTACAGGTGTCTGTGACCATACCCGGCTAATTTTTGTATTTTTAGTACAGACAGTATTTCACCATGTTGGCCAGGCTGGTCTTGAACTCCTGACCTCAGGTGATCCGCCCACCTCGGCCTCCCAAAGTCCTGGGATTATAGGCATGAGCCACTGTGCCCAGCCTTTACTTTATTTTAGATTCCGGGGGTACATGTGCAGGTTTGTTACAAGGGTATCTTGTGTGATGCTGAGATTTTGGGTATGAATGATCTCATGACCTAGCTACTGAGTTTAGCACCCAGTAGGTAGTTTTTCAGCCCTTCATCTCCCTCCCTCCCCACTCTAGGAGTCTGTAACGCCTCTTCTTCCCATCTTTTTTTTTTTTTTTGAGACAGAATTTTCACTCCTGTTGCCCAGGCTGGAGTGCAGTGGTGCGATCTTGGCTCACTGCAACCTCCACCTCCAGGGTTCAAGCGATTCTCCTGCCTCAGCCTCCTGAGTAGCTGGGATTACAGGCATGTGCCACCATGCTCGAGTAATTTTTGTACTTTTAGTAGCGACTGCAACCTCCTCTTCCCGGGTTCAAGCGATTCTCCTGCCTCAGCCTCCCGAGTAGCTGAGATTACAGGTGTCTGTGACCATGCCCAGCTAATTTTTGTGTTTTTAGTACAGACAGGGTTTCATCATGTTGGTCAGGCTGGTCTCAAACTCCTCACCTCAGGTGATCCACCCACCTCGGCCTCCCACAGTGCTGGGATTACAGGCATGAGCCACCACGCCTGGCCTGTTGTTCCCATCTTTATGTCCATGAGTACCCTGTGTTTACCTCCTGCTTATAAGTGAGAACATGCGGTATTTGGCTTTCTGTCTCTGTATTAATTTACTTTGGAGAATGGCCTCCGGCTGGATCCAAGTTGCTGCAAAGGACATGATTTCATTCTTTTTCACAGCTTTGTACTATTCCATGGTGTCTATGTACCCCATTTTATTATTTTTTATTTTTATTTGTTTATTTATTTATTTTTTGAGACAGAGTTTCGCTCTTGTTGCCCAGGCTGGGGTGCAGCGGCATGATCTCGGCTCACTGCAACCTCCGCCTCCCGGGTTCAAGCGATCCTCCTGACTCAGTCTCCCAAATAGCTGGGATTACAGGTGTCTTTCACCACGCCAAGATTATTTTTTGTATTTTTAGTAGAGAGGGGGTTTCTCCATGTTGACCAGTCTGGTCTCGAACTCCTGACCTCAGGTGATCCACCTGCCTCGGCCTCCCAGACTGCTGGGATTACAGGCGTGAGCCTCTGCACCCGCCGGTCACGTACCCTATTTTCTTTATCCGATGCATGGTGGATAAGCACCTGGGTTGACTCTGTGTCTTTGCTATGGTGAATAGTGCTGTGATGAACTGTGAGTGTGGATGTCCTTTTACAGAACGATTTCCTTAATAAGGTGTTTTCAAACAGAAACACACATAATATAAAGCTACTTATTGATCTGTTGAAGAAAACACTGTGACCAGGGGCCTGAAGGATTCTTTTGATTTTTTTTTTTTTTTTTTTTGAGACAGGGTCTCTCTCTGTTGCCCAGGCTGGAGTGCAGTGGCATGATCTCGGCTCTCTGCAACCTCTGCCTCTCTGGTTCAAGTCATTCTCTTGCCTCAGCCTCCCCAGTAGCTGGAACTACAGGCCCCCACCATCACACCCAGCTAATTTTTGTATTTTTAGTAGAGACAGGGTTTCGCCATGTTGGCCAGGCTAGTCTTGAACTGCTGATCTCAAGTGATCCACCCGCCTTGGCCTCCCAAAGTGCTGGGATTATAGGCGTGAGCCACCAGGCCTGGCCTTTTTTTTTTTTTTTTTTTGAGACAGTCTCACTCTGTCACCCAGGCTGGGGTACAATGGCCCAATCTGGGCTCACTGCCACCTCCACCTCCTAGGTTCACATGCTTCTCCTGCCTCAGCCTCCCCAGTAGCTGGGATTACAGGCGTCCACCACCACGCCTAGCTAATTTTTGTATTTTTAAGGGACAGGTTTCGCTATGTTGGCCAGGCTGGTCTCGAACTCCTGACCTCAAGTGATCCGGCCCACCTTGGCACCTCAAAGTGCTGGGAATACAGGTGTGAGCCACCAGGCCTCGACTTTTTTTTTTTTTTTGAGACAGTCTCACTCTGTTACCCAGGCTGGAGTGCAATGGCCTGATCTTGGCTCACTGCAACCTCCAGCTCCCGGGTTCAAGTGATTCTCCTGCCTCAGCCTCCCCAGTAGCTAGGATTACAGGCATCCACCACCATGCCCAGCTAATTTTTGTATTTTTAGTAGGGACGGGATTTCGCTATGTTGGCCAGGCTGGTCTCGAACTCCTGACCTCAAGTGATCCACCCGCCTTGGCCTCCCAAAGTGCTGGGATTATAGGCGTGAGCCAGCAGGCCTGGTCTTTTTGTTTGTTTGTTTGTTTTTTGGGACAGTCTCACTGTCACCCAGACTGGAGTGCAATGGCCTGATCTTGGCTCACTGCAACCTCCACCTCCCAGGTTCAAGTGATTCTCCTGCCTCAGCCTCCCCAGTAGCTGGGACTACAGGTGTCCACCACCACACCCAGCTAATTTTTGTGTTTTTAGTAGGGACGGGATTTCGCCATGTTGGCCAGGCTGGTCTCAAACTCCTGACCTGAAGTGATCCACCCGCCTTGGCCTCCCAAAGTGCTGGGACTACAGGCGTGAGCCACCACACCCAGCCTGGCTTGAGGGATTGATTCTACCATGTCTTTTCCCTGAGCAGTGGTTCAATATTCATTCATTCTTTCTCAGTGACAGATCCTTCCCTCTCAACCTCCTCCCACGAGTGACAAGAACCAACCGTTGCTCCTCACAAGCAAGGATACCAGAGCTCGGAAACCTGGTTCTCATTCCTGAAACTGGCCGATCCCCCATGGGATGTTGAGGATATGAGCCTGCAGCGCCCGTGACCAACTGTGAGAGCCGGAATGATCAGTGCCCAAGGTCTGTTCGCTTGTCACAGTCTGGCTGTGTACCAAGAGATGTCGCAATGAGCACAGCTTTAGAGTCTAAAAGGAAACGTGTTCTGTTCTTTCTTTGTTTTGTTTTGTTATTTCAGAAGAAACAGGAATCGGTTCTGGAGCATGCCACGGCTCTTCACTGCTGGTTACAAAATTTAGAAAAATCATTCTCCCTCTTTTCCTCACTCTCAGGGTTCTCTTAAGAGTAGGGCCCCCTGCGAGCCAGTGATAGGGAGGTGGGCGGTTAACGGTGCTGCCCAGAGACACAGCGACGTTACTCCAGTGGGCTCAGCCCTGCACATGAGTGTTCAGACAGTTACAGAGGAAATGTCACAACACACTTCCTTTCCACCTAAGCCTGAGTCGCAACCGTGGTGGTGCGCTGGGAGGTGGAGTTTGCAGAATTTGCATTCGGAGACAGTCGTGCCAGCCGGTGGGCCACCCAGCGAAGCGGCCGCCTTTGCAAGGTTGCTGGACAGATGGAACTGGAAGGGCAGCCGTCTGCCGCCCACGAACACCTTCTCAAGCACTTTGAGTGACCACGGCTTGCAAGCTGGTGGCTGGCCCCCCGAGTCCCGGGCTCTGAGGCACGGCCGTCGACTTAAGCGTTGCATCCTGTTACCTGGAGACCCTCTGAGCTCTCACCTGCTACTTCTGCCGCTGCTTCTGCACAGGTGAGCCGCCGAGCTGGACTTTTATGCTTGTCCTGCACTGTCAAGGGAGAAGACAGGGTCGCTGGGAGGGTCCGTGTACGGTGAGAACATGGGGGAAGACGGTGCAAACTCCATGAGGCGTGTTCTCCTCACGCTAGAGCAGACCAGGAGTGCAAATTTCCTGGGAGGAAGACTTTGCACAGCCGCTTCGTCACTTAGGGGAGAAATGCTCAAATTTTCCAGGGCTGCAAGCCACCCTTCCTTTAATAACTCATTCCATGAACTTTCAGAGGCCGAGGTGGGCGGATCACGAGGTCAGGAGTTCGAGACCATCCTGGCTAACACGGTGAAACCCCGTCTCTACTAAAAATACAAAAATTAGCCAGGCGTGGTGGCAGGTGCCTGTAATCCCAGCACTTTGGGGGACCGAGGTGGGTGGATCATCTGAGGTCAGGAGTTCGAGACCATCCTGGCTAACACGGTGAAACCCCGTCTCTACTAAAAATACAAAAATTAGCTGGGCTTGGTGGTGGGCGCCTGCGGTCCCAGCTACTCGGGAGGCTGAGGCAGGAGAATGGCATGATCCCTGGAGGTGGAGCTTGCAGTGAGCAGAGATCACGCCACTGCACTCCAGCCTGGGCGACAGAGCGAGACTCTGTTTAGAAAAAAAAAAACAAAAAAAAACTCATTCCATGAAATGCGCCTCTCTTGAGGTTAACCTTAGAGAGGGTAAGCAGCTGCGGCTGCTGCACGTAACCCATTTACGCCTGAGATTGCAGTTTTTTCAATGTTTGCAATGAGACCTTGGCGATGACCTTGAGCCGTGGGATATAAATAACTCCCAAATGCTTAGCGTTCCAATAATGGAAGAGTAAGCATAAATTAAACGGGTTTTAAAGCCCTATGGGTGCCTGGATGAGCACGGTGGCCCCTCGTCACCCCCTCGGTGCCAGGGAGACCCCAGACCCGGGTCTCACGGCCACCTCAGACCTCATTTGTACAGGTCCGCTTAGAAACCCCAATTCCTTGGGTCTTGTCAGATCTGTCCCCTAAAAAGCTGAGAAAAGGCAGAGGGAGCTGCTCTGGGAATTTCAGGCCACACACAACAAGGCCTGCTGTGGCGCTTTAGGTCCCATTTCTATAAAGGGGAACCATGGTCACGTGGCTCTGTTCCCAAAAAGAAAAGGGTTTGTGTGTGTGTGTGTGTGTGTGTCTGTGTGTGTGTCTGTGTGTGTGTGTGTGTGTGTGGTTGTTTCTTCCCATGTTGTTATCTTTACGTAACGTGGATGAGAAGTCTGAAGCGCGAGAGCCCTAAGTGAAAACCGCTGAGGAGCTGAAGCCCGTGGGGAAGCAGGTGCACCTGACTGCGCCGTTCAATCTCTCCTTCCCGTTCCGTTCCTCCTTGCATAGCCCACTTGACTTTGGCAAGCAGCGCCAGATAGTAGCATATTTTGTGTTTACGGCGGTGACAGACGCCTGTAATCCCAGCACTTTGGGAGGCCGAGGTGGGTGGATCACTTGAGGTCAGGGGTTTGAGACCAGCCTGGCCAACATAGTGAAACCCCGTCTCTACTAAAAATACCAAAATTAGCCGAGTGTGGCGGCGGGCACCTGTCATCCCAGTTACTCGGCACGCTAAGGCAGCAGAATCACTTGAACCCAGGAGGCGGAGGTTGCGGTGAGCCAAGATCGCGCCACTGCACTCCAGCCTGGGTGACAGAGTGAGACTCTGTCTCAAAAAAAAAAAAAAAAAAAAAGGAATTATCCCACATTGGAAAAGCAGTACTTTCATTTAGGCACTGCCAGACAGGTGCCAGCGTCCTACGTGCACCAGGATGCTGCCCCTTTTCCCAAATATTGGCCTCCCCCACCCCACAAGAGGACAATTAGGTCAGAGGCTGAGAGAGGCGTGCATGGGACGTACGGGACGGTGGGCAACCCTGTGTTTGTAAAAGCACATGCTTTTCAGATGCCTTCTGCCAGGTCCCCGCCTGGCTGCACCATTCAGACTGACCAACCTTGGGGTGGGTGGGAGAGGTGAGGTCCCCTTGGAGAACCACAGAGACGCTCCCTCCCTCCAACCCTACCCACACTGCAGTTCTGAGTTTGTCCCTTAAAGTTCCAGGGAAGAAGCGATGGCTTAGGATTAACAACAGCAGGGTAGCTGTTGCCAGTGGTGCATACGTACAGCCCTGCGCTTGGAGAGGCCCTTTCCCCGGGCAGATGGCCCCCTCTCGTCTGAGTCTCTCTCCTGCGCCCTCTCCTTCAGCCCTGCCTCTCCATCAGGACCTCCTCATTGGCTGTGTCTGGGCATGGTCCCCAACCTCCCTCCCCCAGCCCCTCTTCTGTCCCTAGAGGCAGTGGGGTGGGCGGGGCAGGGTCCAGGGATCCCAGTGTCCACCTGGAACCCTGCTCTTCCTCTCTCGGGTTAGGAGATTCTGCACGGCCCCTGGGAGACACACAACACCCTGCCTACACCTGTTAAGGTACGGAAAGGGCGTGGGCGTGATGGGTGCCCCCAGGATCACCCCCAAGGACCAGACTGAGCTCAGGGGACTGCAGGGAGTGTTCTGCGGTTCACAATGTCGCTCCCTAGTGATGCAGTATCTGTGTTCACTTAGGATAAAGCAACAGATACACCTATCTGTGTGTGTGTATATATATATGTATTACATATATAATTATATAAATAATTATATATAAATAATATATAATATATAAATAGTAAGTATATAAATATATATGTAAATATATATAAATATATAATATATGTAAATATATTGTATATAAATATATATGTAAATATATATAAATATATAATATATGTAAATATATTATATATAAATATATATGTAAATATATTATATATAAATAATATACAAATATATATGTAAATAATAAATAGATAAGTATATAATATATGTAAATATGTAATATATAAATAATATATAAATATATAATATATTTAAGTTATAAATATATAACTATGTAATATGTAAATAATAAATAATATATGAATATATAATATATTTAAATAATACATATATAAGTATATAATATATAAATAATAAATAATATATAAATACATAATATATTTAAATAAATATAAGTATATAATATATAAATAATAAATAATATATGAATATATAGTATATTTAAATAATAAATATATAAGTATATAATATATAAATAATAAATAATATATGAATAATATATTTAAATAATGAATATATAAGTATATAATATATAAATAATATATAAATATAAAATATATTTAAATAATAAATATGTAAATAATAAATATGTAAATAATAATATATAAATATATAATATATTTAAATAATAAATATATAAGTATATAATATATTTAAATAATAAATATATAAGTATATAATATATAAATAATAAATAAAATATAAATATACAATACATTTAAATAATAAATATATAAGTATATAAGATATAAAGAATAAATAATATATAAATATACAATATATTTAAATAATAAATATATAAATATATAATATATAAATAATAAAAAATACATAAATATATGTTTAAATAATAAATATGTAAATATGTAATATATGAATATATATATATTATTTTTGGCAATCTCTTTTATTTGCCTCAAGAAAGCACACTCCTCAGAAGATTTTTTCAGAAGCTGATGTGTGTTTTTGTTGGTTTGTTTTACACTTTTTACTTCCATAGGTTTTGGGGAAACACGTGCCATTTGGTTACACGAGGAAGTTCTTTAGTGGTGATGTGTGAGATTTCAGGGTATCCGTCACCCAAGCAGTATACACTGAACCCGGTTTGTGGCCTTTTATCCCTCATCCTCTCCCCAATCTTTGCCCTGGAGTTCCCAAAGTCCTTTGTGTCATTCCTTTTTTTTTCTTTTTTCTTTCTTTCGTTTTTTTTTTTTTTTTTTTTTTTGAGACAGAGTTTCACTCTGTTGCCCAGGCTGGAGAGCAGTGGCGCGATCTCGGCTCACTGCAACCTCCTTCTCCCGGATTCAAGCGATTCTCCTGCCTCAGCCTCCTCCTGAGTAACTGGGATTACACGCATGTGCCACCACACCCGGTTAATTTTTGTATTTTTAGTAGAGACGGGGTTTCACCATATTGGCCAGGCTGGTCTCAAACTCCTGACCTTGTGATCTGCCCACCTCGACCTCCCAAAGTGCTGGGATGACAGGTGTGAGCCACCGCATCCGGCCGTTGTGGCATTCTTATGCCTTTGCATCCTCATAGCTTAGCTCTCACTTATGAGTGAGAACATACGATGTTTGGGTTTCCATTCCTGAGTTACTTCACTTAGAATAATAGTCTCCAATCTCATCCAGGCCACTCCAAATGCTATTCTTTTTCATGACTGAGTAGTATTCCATCATAAGTATATGTATATATATATACACATCATATACATCTATACATATATGTGTATATATACACATATACATCTATACATATATGTGTATATATACACATATACATATATACATATATGTGTATATATACACATCATATACATATATACATATATGTGCATATACACACATCATATACGTATATGTGTATATATACACATCATATACATATATGTGTATATATACGTGTGTGTATATATATGGCACACATATATATGACATATATGTGTGTGTGTTTGTGTGTGTGTCAGTGCCGGCATTTATATATATAAATACACCACAGTTTCTTTATCCACCTGTTGATTGATGGGCATTTGGGTTGGTTCCACATTTTTGCAATTGCAAATTGTGCTGCTATAAACATGCCTGTGCAAGTATCTTTTTCGTATAATGAGTTACTTTCCTCTAAGTATCTTTTTCATATAATGAGTTACTTTCCTCTACCTAGATACCCAGCAGTGGGATTGCTGGATCAAATGGTAGTTCTACATTTAGCTCTTTAAGGACTCTCCACACTGTCTTCTATAGTGGCTGTACTAGTTTACGTTCCCACCAGCAGTGCAGACGTGTTCCCTGTTCGCCACATCCACACTAGCATTTGCTATTTCTTGATGTTTTGATTGTGGCCATTCTTGCAGGAGTGAGGTGATGTCACATTCTGCTTTTGATTTGCATTTCCCTGATCATTCGTGATGTTGAGCGTGTTTTCATGCCGCTGAGCCGGGCTGGGACCTTGAGGACTGCGTTGATGCTTTTGTGCAGAGTGCCCTGCTCCAGGGGAAAGGTGCTGGTGCCCTGAGCAGAGGGACTTTGTGGAAGCAGGATGTGTGATTTTCTAGCCAAGAAGGTCTCCATGGGAGGGAGGAGTCCTATGAGACTCTCCATGGCTGGGCAGGGAGTGGCACAGACAGAAGCAGGTGGCAGGTGCCAGGCTGTGTTGGTTTCGGATGATGAGTTGGTGGAATGGCAATGTGCTGTCCAGGCTCCCCAGGAGTTCATGAGCTGGGGGTGGGCTGAGCATGCTAACCCCTCGGGCTGGGCACAGTCAGGCTGGGAGGGGGCCTGGACATTGTTTACGGGGGACCCTGTAAGCAGGGGGACCCCTGATGGAGAGGGCATGCAGGAAGATGGGGCAAGGACAGATCTTGGGATAGAACCATTCATGAGACACAAAAGGCACAGGCTGTCTGCTGGAGCACTAGTGACATTTGGGGCGGGGGAATTCCCTGTGGTGGGGCCATCCTGGGGATTGTAGGGTGTAGAGCAGCGTCCCTGGGCTCCAGCCACAAGGTGCCAGGAGCACCCACAGTTGTGACAATCAGAAATGTCTCCAGATATTACTCAATGTCTCCAGGTAGCAAAATCACTTGCTCATCTATCACTGTCTTAAAGATAGATGGGTGACAAATTAGATAGATAGATAGATAGATAGATAGATAGACAGACAGACAGACAGATAGATAGAATCGATAAATAGATACATAGAATAGATAGATATATACATACATACATAAATTAGATAGGTACATACATACATACATACATGGATAAATAGATTAGATAGATAGATACATAGATACATGCATAGATTAGATAGATAGATGATAGATTAAAGAGATATATAGATAGATGAGAGATAGAATAGACAATACATACATAGATATAGATAGATAATGGTGATGATAGACAGATAGATATATAGATAATAGAGATAGATAGAAAAGATACATACGTAAATTAGATAGATATATACATACATAGATTAGATAGATACATACATACATGGATAAATAGATTAGATAGATAGATATATAGATGCATAGATTAAATAGATGATAGATTAGAGAGATACATAGATAGATGAGAGATAGATAGATAGGATAGATAGATACACACATACATATAGATAGATAATGGTGATGATAGAGAGATAGATCAATCAGATAGATAGATACATAGATAGAATAGATACATACATATGTACGTACATAAATTAGATACATATATACATACATACATAGATTAGATAGGTAGATACATACATACATACATGGATAAATAGATTAGATAGATAGATACATAGATACATACATAGGTGCATTAATAGATTAGAGAGATAGATGATAGATTAGAGAGATACCTAGATAGATGAGCAATAGATAAGATAGATAGATATGTACATACATATAGATAGATGACAGATAGATAGATAGATAGATAGATAGATAGATAGATAGATAATGGTGATGATAGGTAATAGAGATAGATAGATACATACATAGATACATGGATACATAGATAGATAGATAGATAGATAGATAGATAGATAGATAGATAGATAGATAGATAGATCATACATACATACATACATACATACATACATAGATGCATAGATACATAGATACATGGATACATAGATGGATGACGGAGAGAGAGAGAGAGAGGAGAGATTCTCTATACTAAAAGCAGGATCTTTCCACGTCAACACTATAGACATTTGGGGCCGGGTGATTCTCTGTGGTGGGGCCATCCTGTGCAGTGTAAGGTATTGAGAAGCATCCCCGGGATCCACCCACCAGATGCCAGGAGCACCCCCACAGTTGCGACAACCAGAACTGTCCTCAGACATTACCCAGTGTGCCGTGATGAGAAAAATCACCCCTAGTTGAAACCACTGTCAAATGGTAGGCAGATAAATGATAGAGATGAGAGATAAATGCTAGAAAGGTATAGATAGATGACAGACAGAGAAGATTAATAAATAAATAGATATAGGTGCCAGAGAGCTAGATATGATATATAGATAAATTGATAAATGATAGATATGATAGATAGATATAGATGGATAGATAGTCACTAACAGAGACTCTCTCATGCTCAGGCAGGGTGTCAGCCTCAGCACTGCTGCCATGTAGGGCTGGAGGATTCTCTGTGTTGAGCCTATCCTGTGCACTGCAGGGCACTGAGCATCTTCCCAGGCTCCACCCACCACGCCCCAGGAGTACACCCTCCAGTTGTGACACCCCAAACTGCCCAAGATATAGACAAGCATCCCCACTGGAACAGAATCTCCCGCAATTCTGAACCACAGGGTGAGAGGCAGGCAAGATAAGACAAGATGATCCTTCCAGAGACCTGGAAGGAGAAGCAAGATCATGTCCCATCCCCCAGGTCTCAGGGAGAGAATGGGCTGGGTCAAGGGACTCTGGATCACTTCCTTCCATTTCTCCATCTCCCAATGTGCTGTATGCATGCTCTTGTTACTATAATAAAGTAAGTAGAATTGAAGAGACTCTGTCGTTACAAGCCACACATGTGTAGATTAAGCAGATATTCCCTGTGCAGGTCAGGTCTCAGGGGAAATGGAGGATTTATTCTCCACCTTTCCAAGACCAAGGGCCCCGCTGTGTGTACGTGTTATTCTCATCAAACATGCTTATCTGCCCGAGGACTAAATGCTGGCTTCCACATGTGACATTTTTACTTGCAAAACTGGATCAATGGGGAGCGTCATTTATACTGTCCCATGCAACAAAGGGAACTGAAAAAGTGCAGGAATGAGGAGACTCAAATCCACGCACATTCAGAGACTCCAATCCACACTCAAAGAGACTCAAATCCAACTCATTCAAAGAGACTCAAGTCCACACTCATTCAAAGAGACTCAAATCCACACTCATTCAAAGAGACTCAAACCCACACGCAATCAAAGAGACTCAAATCCATACTCATTCAAACAGACTCAAGTCCACTCATTCAGAGACTCAAACCTACACGAATTCAAAGAGACTCAAATCCACACTCATTCAAAGAGACTCAAGTCCACAATCATTCAAAGAGGCTCAAACCCACACGCATTCAAAGAGACTCAAATCCACACTCATTCAAAGAAACTCAAATCCACACTCATTCAAAGAGACTCAAATCCACACTCAATCCAAAGACCAGAGCCAGCCTCTTGGAAGCACTTGCTCCTCCGGGCTTCCCTGGGACGTTTAAAGTGGTTTTGAAGATGTCGTATGAGGATGAATGCAAGACTTTGAGTTCACACGGTGCTGACTGGCAGCGCCTGCTGCTCAGAGCTGTGATGGCCTCCTCAAGGGGCAGTTGTGCAGCAGTAGCTCTGATGGAATCTCCAGGAACCCACTCTCCAGCAAGGAGCCCTGTCACATGCATACCTGCATGAGCCTCTCAGCCAGTGGTTGAAATGGGCATGTTGCAGACAGCCTCTCTGTGAGATGCAATAGATGAAACCTGAGGCTCAGTGAAGCTGGAGGCCTCCCAGGCACTAGCTGCTCAGTGAAGGCGCTGTTGTCCATCTACAGTGTCCATATGTCCATCACAAGCTCTTGGCATGAACACAGGAAACTTCTAGGATACTCAGGCTATTACCCTGGGGTTGGAGGCATTCTGTCTCCAGGTATTTATTTATCACTCATCTGTTCTTGGGGTGGAGGAGAATGAGACTACTCCTGCACTCAGGACAGGGACAGACCAGCAGGTGGCCACACGTGGAATAGAAACAGGAGATACCCCTTCAGTCTCAGCCACAGGGAATGAATGAGCAGGGTCCCTGTAGGGGCTGTGACTTTGTAGATGAGAGACCAGAATAGATTAACATGGCCTCAGTACTGTTTGTTGGATGGTTGAATGGATGGCTGCATAAATAGATGGGTGAATGAATAAATGAATGAATGAGTGAATGAGTGGATTAGTACATTAGTGAGTGGATGGATGGATATGTAGACAGGTGAATGAAGAGTGGATGAATGGATGAATGGATGGATGGATGGATGGATGGATAGATGAGTAAATGGATAAGGAATGAATGAGTGGATGAATGAATGAATGAAGGGATGATTGGATGGATGAATGAATGAGTAGATGAATGAATAAATGGATGGATGGATGAACAGATGGATAGATAGGTGGATGAATAAGGAATAAATGATTGAATGAATAGATACATGAATGGGTGAATGATAGTGGGTGTATTGATAAATGGGTGGATGACTGAATGGATGGATTGAAGGATGAACGGATGGATGGATGAGTGGATGGATAAGGAATAAATGAATGAATGAATAGATAAATGAATGAGTGAATGAATGGATCATGAATAAATGAATGGGCAAATGAATAGTGGATGTATGGATAAGTGGATGGATAAACGGATGGATGGATGGATGGATAGATGAGTGGATGGATAAGGAATGAATAAGTGGATGAATGAATGAATGAGTAGATGAATGAATAAATAGATGGACGGATGAACAGATGGATAGGTAGGTGGATGGATAAGAAATGAATGAATAGGCTGGGCGCGGTGGCTCACGCCTGTAATCCCAGCACTTTGGGAGTCTGAGGTAGGCGGATCACCTGAGGTCAGGAATTTAAGACCAGCCTGGCCAGCGTGGTGAAACCCCGTCTCTACTAAAAAATACAAAAATTAGCCAGGCGTGGTAGTGGGCGCCTGTAATCCCAGCTACTTGGGAGGCTGAGGCAGGAGAATCCCTTGAACCCGGGAGGCAGATGTTGCAATGAGCCAAGATCGAGCTGTTGCACATCAGCCTGGGCAACAGGAGTGAAACTCGGTCTCAAAAAGAAAAGAAAAGAAAAGAAATGAATGAATAGATGAATAAATGATTTAGTGAATAAATAGATGCTGAATGAATGCGTGGGTAAATGAATGAGTGAATTCATCGATGCATGAATAAACACATGGATAAATGAATTAATGGATGGATGAGTAAGTAAATGGATGAATGAATGAGTAGATGGCTGTATAGATGGATAGATGGATGAATTGGATGGATGGATGGATGGATGAATGCTGAATAAGTGGATGGATAAGGAATGAATGAGTGGATAAATGAGTGGATGCATAAATGAATTACTGAATAAATGGGTGAATGATTAAAGGCATAAATGAATGAATGGATGAATGAGTGAGTTTTGGATGGATGAGTGGTGGATGCATCCATCCATCCATGCATGGATGACTGAATGGATGGATGGATGGATAAATGGATGGATGGATGAGTGGCTGGATAAGGAATAAATGAGCGAATGAATGAATGAATGAATGAATGGATGCATGAATAAATGAATGGGTGAGTGAATAGTGGGTGTATTGATAAATGGATGGATGACTGAGTAGATGGATGGATGGATGAATGAATGGATGGGTGGATGAGCGGCTGGATAAGGAATGAATGAATGAGTGAATGAATGGATGCATGAAAGAATGGGTGAATGAATAGTGGATGTATGGATAAATGGATGGATGGATGAACAGATGGATGGATGAGTGGATGGATAAGGAATGAATGAGTGGATGAATGAATGAATGAATGAGTGAACGAATGGATTCATGAATAAATGAATGGGTGTCTGAATAGTGGGTGTATTGATAAATGGATGGATGACTGAGTAGATGGATGGATGGATGAATAGATGGATGGATGAGCGGCTGGATAAGGAATGAATGAATAAATGAATGAGTGAGTGAATGGATGCATGAATAAATGAATGGGTGAGTGAATAGTGGGTGTATTGATAAGTGGATGGATGACTGAATGGATGGATGGATGGATGAATGGAAGGATGGATGAGTGGATGGATAAGGAATAAATGAATGAATGAATAGATGAATGAGTGAATGAATGGATGCATGAATAAATGAATGGGCGAATGAATAGTGGATGTATGGATAAATGGATGGATGGATGGATGGACAGATGGATGGATGAGTGGATGGATAAGGAATGAGTGAGTGGATGAATGAACCGATGGATAAATGAATGAGTGAATGAATGGATGCATGAATACATACATGGATAAATGAATTCATGGGTGGATGGATGGATGAATGGATGAATGGATGGATGCATGATTGAGTCAATAGGTGAATAGACGGATGAAACAAGAAAGGAGCTGATTTCCAGTCAATTGCCCCGAATTAATGCATACTGTTTCTGAGGCTTTGGGGAGAATCTTTCCTGCGTCTCTCCAGCTTCTGATCCTCTGCCATCCTTGACGTCCCTGGGCTTGGGAATGCCTCCCTCCAATCTCTGCCTCTGTCTTCACACAGCAATCTTCCCTCTGTGCATGTCTGCGTCCCAGTCTCTTCTTAGAAGGACCCCAGTCCCATAGGATTAAGTCCCCACCCAAATGCAGTATGATGTCATCCTAACTTACACCTTAATCCCATCTGCAAAGATCCTATTTCCAAATAAGGTCCTATATTCACAGGTACCTATGTTGAGGCTTTGAATGTGTCTTTCAAAGGGATGCAATCCAACTCAAAACACTCTCCAAACAAATTCTTCACAAAACACTGAGCTCCTTGGCCTAATCAGAGGAGGAGAGAGGATTTATTGCACCAATAGGGATTTTGGGGGGTCCCCACTCAAACCCTCTGCACTGCTGTGGAGCACAACTCCCTGCAAGGTGACAGACCCTGGCTACAGGACTATGAGAGGGTGAAGAAGCTGCCCCCACCCTGAGACCACCTTCTTGAGCAGCTGAATGGACACAGACCCTCACTGTAGACAGGTGAATGAATGAGTGGATGGATGGGTGGGTGGATGGATGGATGGATGGATGGATGGATGGATAGATGGATGGATGGATGAGTGGATGGTTGAATGGATGAGTGGATGGATGGATGGATGGATGGATGGATGGATGGATGGATGGATGAGTGGATGGATGAATGGATGAGTGGATGGATGGATGGATGGATGGATGGATGGATGGATGGATGCATGGATGTATGGATGGATGGATGAATGGATGAGTGGATGGATGGATGGATGGATGGATGGATGGATGGATGAATGGATGGATGGATGGATGGATGTATGGATGGATGGATGGATGAATGGATGGATGGATGGATAGATGGATGAATGGATGGATGGATGGATGGATGGATGGATGGATGGATGCATGCATGGATGGATGGATGGATGGATGAATGGATGGATGGATGGATGGATGGATGCGTGGATGTATGGATGGATGAGTGGATGAATGGATGGATGGATGGATGGATAGATGGATGAATGGATGGATGGATGGATGGATGGATGGATGCATGCATGGATGGAGGGATGGATGGATGGATGGATGAGTGGATGGATGGATGGATGGATGAATGGATGGATGCATGGATGGATGAGGAATGAATGAGCGGATGAATGAGTGAATAAAGGGATGAGTGGATCCGCAGAAGAGAGGGGGGTAAGCAGCTGGCAAGTGTGACAAGCCTACTGTGTACAAAGGGACATTCTCAATGCTCCCCCCACACCATCAAACTCTTGAAACAACCCTGAGTACAAGACCCAATTCTACCCCATCGCTACATTGCAGATGAGAAAATCAAACAGGAACGGGGTTACGGGGAGACGTGTAGACACTCCAATGCCAAAAAACTCAGTCACCAAAATAAATACTGCTGTTTTATTTGTTTTAATTTATTGAGGTGAAATTCACATAACAAAATTCACCATCTTTGCCGGGCACAGTGGCTCATGCCTGTAATCCCAGCTCTTTGGGAGGCCAAGGCAGGTGGGTCACTTGAGGTCAGGAGTTCCAGACCAGCCTGGCCAACAGGGTTTTTTAGTGAAATCCTGTCTCTACTAAAAATACAAAATTAGCCGGGCGTGGTGGTGCGGCACCTATAATCCCAGCTACTGGGGAGGCTGAGGCAGGAGAATCGCTTGAACCCGGGAGGCGGAAGTTGTGATGAACACAGATCGTGCCACTGCACTCCAGGCTGGACGACAGAGGGAGGCTCCGTCTCAAGAAATAAATAATAATAATAATAAATTTACCATCTTCAATACAACGCAGTGGTATTTAGCTCGTTCAGAGTGTTGTACAATCATCACCTCTGTGTACTTCCAATACATTTTTATGACGCTCAGAAGGAGACCTGTACCTATTTGCAATCGCTCCCACTTCTCCCTTCCCTCCTCCCTCTGGCAATCACAAATCTGCAATATTTTTCAGCCTAAATGGGAAGAAAGTATTGATACCGCTACAATATGGATGAACCTCAAAAATTCTATGCTAAATGCAAGAATTGTGAAACTCAGAGAATATTGGGGACCAGGGAGATGATTAGGGACCAAGGAGACGATTAGGTACCAGGGAGAATATTGGGGAACAGGGAAGATTTTAGGGACTAAAGTGACACCCTTTGAGAAAGCTCTGCTGACATCCCCATTTTGCTTAGGGGAAACTGAGGGACACAGAAAGGAAGGCACACCCTCACCTGGCTGGGGCATTACCTCCAACTGCACCAGCCACAAAGGTCACACCCTTAACTGCTACTCCAAACTATTTGCTATATCTTTTTTTTATTTTTTTCAATTTTTGTTTTATTTATTTATTTATTTATTTATTTATTTATTTATTTATTTTTGGCAGTGGGGGATGGAGTCTCTCTCTGTCGCCCAGGCTGGAGTGCAGTAGTGCAATCTCGGCTTTCTGCAACCTCTGCCTCCCGGGTTCAAGTGACTCTCCTGCCTCAGCCTCCCGAGTAGCTGGGATTATAGGCATGTGGCACCATGCCCAGCTAATGTTTGTATTTTTAGTAGAGATGGGGTTTCGCCATATTGGACAGGCTGGTCTCGAACTCTTGACCTCGAGTGATCCGCCTGTCTTAGCCTCCCAAAGTGCTGCGATAACAGGTGTGAGCCACCACGCCCGGCCTTAATTTTTATTTTTAGGGGCAGAGTCTTGCTCTGTTGCCCAGGCTGGAGTGCAGTGACTTCATCATAGCTCACTGCAGCCTCTAACTCCTGGCCTCAAGCAATCCTTCCACCTCAGCCTCCCAAGTAGCTGGGATTACAGGCACTGACCACGCCCGGCTAATGAAAGTGTCTTGCTATGTTGCCTAGGCTCATCTTGAACTCCTGGCCTGAAGCCACTCTCCTGCCTTGGCCTCCCAAGGTGCTGGGACTAGAGGCATGAGACAACGTGCCTGGCCAGTGTACTATAATTATCGCATCTTGGTTGTTGAATCTCTGTGCGTGCACGACGATTCCGAGCCTTGTCATCTGAGGATTGCATTTAAAGTTACAATACACACGTGTGTGGGAGGTGAGGAAAATATTCTGAAACTACATCGAGGTATTGGCTGCACGGAGGCATGAATGCAATAAATCCCCCTGAGGTATTCCGTTTACAATGATTGATTTCATTATGTAAACCTCACCTTTTTTTTTTTAAGCGAGAAAAAGAGGGCGGGGCATGGTGGCTCACGCCTGTCATCCCAGCACTTTGGGAGGTTGAGGCGGGTGGATCACCTGAGGTCAGGGGTTCGAGACTAGCCTGGCTAACATGGTGAAACCCCCGTCTCTACTAAAAATACAAAAAATTAGCTGGGCATGGTGGTGCATGCCTGTAATCCCAGCTACTCGGGAGGCTGAGGCAGGAGAATCACCTGAACCCGGGAGGCGGAGGTTGCGGTGAGCCGAGATCGCACCATTGCACTCCAGCCTGGGCAGCAAGAGCAAAACTCCATCTCAAAAAAAAAAAAAAAAAAAAAAAAAGAGAGCGAGAGAGAAAGAGAAAGACATAAGAAAAAATAACCATGCAATACCCCTTGTCTCACTTCCTCATTCTGGGCTATAAACACTCTTCGCGGGACCCTTTTCGGGCTGCACAGGAATTAGGAGGTTGTCCGTCACGCTCACCGGAAGCAAAGGAAGGGGAGTTTCTGAAACCTCCACCAAATACCACCAAATACCCAGCTGAGGTGCGGCTGACTGGCTTCCTTCACCCCATGCAACTCACTTCTAAGTAAACACACCTTCCTTTGCCGTTTCTAAGCACTCATGCAAATGACTGACGGTCCACATTCCTGCAGGCAGGGTCCAAGTGAATTGACTTCCTGCAGACAAATGCAGAGTGTCCTCCGGCCTGTGACTTTGATGCCAAGGTTCCTGCTGATGCCAGGGTGACAGTGGTTGCAAGCCGTGTTCCATGCTGGGTACTCAATGATCTTAGGGTTTGTCCATACTGGGACGGATTAAAGTGGAGCATAAGGATTACAGTGGACCATAAGAGAGGGGTGATGGATCAGAGAGAATATTGGGGACCAGAGATATTATTGGGGACAGAGAGAATATTAGAAATCAGAGAGGATAAAGGCCGGGCGCGGTGGCTCATGCCTGTAATCCCAGCACTTTGGGAGGCCAAGGCGGGCGGATGACGAGGTCAGGAGATGGAGACCATCCTGGCCAATATAGTGAAACTCCGTCTCTACTAAAATACAAAAATTAGCTGGACGTGGTGGAGCATGCCTGTAAACCCAGCTCTGTAATCCCAGCTACTCAGGAGGCTAAGGCAGGAGAATCCCTTGAACCAGAGAGTTGGAGGCTGCAGTGAGCTCAGATCGCACCGCTGCAGTCCAGCCTGGCGACAGTGTGAGACTCTGTCTCAAAAAAAAAAAAAAAAAAAGAAAAGAAAAATCAGAGAGGATATTGGGGAGCAGGGTGATGATTGGGGGCCAAGGAGATGATTGGGGGCCAAAGAGGTGATTGGGGACCAGGAAGATAATTAGGTACCAAGGAGATGATTGGGGATCAAGGAGATTATTGGGGACAAGGGAAATTATTGGGAACCAGGGACATTTGGGGGTACTATGGAGATTATTGGGGACCAGAGACAATATTAGAAATCAGAGAAAATATTGAGGATGAGGGAGATTATTGGGGATCAGGGAGATTATTGGGAGACAAGAAGATGATTGAGGACCAGAGATAATATTAGAAATCAGACAGAATATTGGAGACCAGGGAGATTATTAGAGAACAAAGAGATGACTGAGGATCAGAGAGAATATTGGGATCAGAGAGATTATTGGGGATCAGGGAGAGGATTGGGGACCAGAGAAATTATTAGGGACCAATGAGATAATTGAGGATCGGAGATAATATTGGGGATCAGAGAGATTATTGGGGATCAGAGAGATGATTGGGGACCAGAGAGAATATTGGGGATCAGGGAGATTATTAGAGGCTAAGAAGATGATTGGGGACCAGAGAGAATATTGGGGACCAGAGAGATTATTAGAGACCGAGGAGATGATTGGGGATCAGAGAGAATACTTGGGACCAGAGATAATGTTGGAAACCAGGGACATTATTGGGGTTAAGAAGATGATTGAGGACTAGAGACAATATTAGAGATCAGAGAGAATATTGGAGACCAAGCAGATGACTGGGGACCAGAGAGAATATTGGGATCAGAGAGATTATTGGGGATCAGAAAGATGATTGGGGACCAGACAGATTATTAGGGACCAAGGACATAATTGAGGAGCACAGAGAATATTGGGGACCACAGAGATTATTGGGGGTCAGAAAGATGATTAGGGACCAGAGATTATTAGGGACCAAGGTGATAATTGGAGATCAGAGAGAATATTGGGGACCAGAGAGATTATTGGGGACCAGAGAGAGATGATTGAGGACCAGAGAGATTATTAGGGACCAAGGTGATAATTGGAGATCAGAGAAAATATTGGGGACCAGAGAGATTATTGGGGACCAGAGAGATGATTGGGGACCAGAGAGACTATTGGGAACCAGGGAGATTTTTGGGGACCAGAGAGATTATTAGAGATCAAGAAGATGATGGGGATCAGGGAGATTATTAGGGACCAAGTATATGATTGGGGATCCGAGAAAATATTGGGAACTAGGGAGATTTGGGGGAGATCAGAGACAATATTAGAAATCAGAGAAAATCTTGGGGACCAGGGAGATGATTGGTAACCAGAGAGATGATTAGGGACCAAGGGGATGATTGTGGATCAGAGAGAATATTGGGGAACAGAGATAATATTAGAAACCAGGGAGGTGATTGGGAGCCAAGAAGATAATTGGGGATTAGAGACAATATTAGAAATTGGAGAGAATATTGGAGACCAAGGAGATGACTGGGGACCAGAGAGAATATTGGGACCAGAGAGATTACTGGGAATCAGAAAGATGATTGGGGACCAGAGAGATTATTGGGAACCAGAGAGAATATTGGGATCAGAGATATTATTGGAGATCAGAGAGAATATTGGGGAGCAGGGAGATTATTGGGGACCAGAGAGAATATTGGGGACCAGAGAGAATATTGGAATCAGAAAGATGATTGGAGACCAGAGAGATTATTAGGGACCAAGGAGATAATTGGAGATCGGAGAGAATATTGGGGAGCAGGGAGATTATTAGGGACCAGAGAGATTATTGGGGACAAGAGAGAACATTGAGACTCAGAGAGAATATTGAGGCTCAGAGAGAATATTGAGATCTCAGAGATTACTGGGGATCAGGGAGGTGATTGGGGACCAGAGAGATTATTAGGGACCAAGGAGATGATTGGGGATCAGAGAGAATATTGGGGAGCCGAAAGATTATTGGGGACCAGAGGAATATTGGGGATCAGAAATATTACTGGGGACCAGAGAGATTAGGGACCAAGGAGATGATTGGGGACCACAGAGAATATTGGGGATCTGAGAAAATACTGAGGACCAGGGAGATTACTGGGGGCAGGAAGATTATTGGGGGCCAAGGAGATGATTGGGGATCAGGAAGATTATTGCAGACCAGATAAAATATTGGGGCTTAATGGAAGTATTGGAAATTAGACAGGCTTTGGGAGTTAGGCAGGATTTGGGGGACTAGAAAGATTTTGGGGAACCAGAAAGAATACTGGAGACTGGAAAGATTATTGTGAACCACAGAGAATATTGAGGATTAGAGAGAATATTGGCGGCCAGGGAGAACCAAACAGATTTGAGGGGACTGGAGAGATTTTAGGGAACCAGAGAGAAGATTGGGGACAAACAAGATGATCAGGGCCCAGCAAGGATATTGAGGATCAGGGAGACCATTGGGCCCAGCAAGAATATTAAAGACCAGAAAGATTTTGGGGAAACAGACAGGTTTTGGGGGACTAGGGAGCTTTTGGGGAATCAGAGAATATTACAGACCAGAGAGATTATTATTTTTTATTATATATATTAAATATTTAATATTTTATTATATTATTATTATTTTTTTTTTTTTGAGACGGAGTCTCGCTCTGTCACCCACGCTGGAGTGCAGTGGCACAGTCTCAGCTCACTGCAAGCTCCGCCTCCTGGGTTCACGCCATTCTCCTGCCTCAGCCTCCCGAGTAGCTGGGATTGCAGGCACCTGCCACCATGCCTGGCTAATTTTTGTATTTTTAGTAGAGACGGGGTTTCACCATGTTGGCCAGGATGGTCTCGAACTCCTGACCTCAGGTGATCCACCCATCTCAGCCTCCCAAAGTGCTGAGATGACGGGCGTGAGCCACCGCGCCCGGCCAAGATTATTTTTATTTATTTTTTTATTTTTTTTTGAGATGGAGTTTCGCTGTTGTTGCCCAGGCTGGAGTGCAGTGACAAAATCTCGGCTCACTGCAACCTCCGCCTCCCAGGTTCAAGCAATTCTCCCGCCTCAGCCTCCTGAGTAGCTGGGATTACAGGTGCGCACCACCACGCCCAGCTAATTTTTGTATTTTTAGTAGAGATGGGGTTTCACCATGTTGGCCAGGCTGGTCTCGAACTCCTGACCTCAGGTGGTCTGCCCACCTCAGCCTCTTAAAGCGCTGGAATGACAGGCGTGAGCCACCGCGTGTGGCCGAGAGATTACTAAGAACCAGAAAATATTGAGGACCAGGGAGAATATTGGGGGCCAGATATTACTGGAAACCAGAGACACGTGTGAAGATTGAACTTCCCTTAAATCTTCTGAGACCTCGCTTGGGTCTGAGCATGCTTCCTGTTAACATTACCTGGCCCCACAGGCTCAGGCAGAAGGACCCTGACACCAGGCTTCTTCTCTGCCGGAGCTCAACAGACTCACTCACTGCAGATCCTCTTTTCCCACTGAAATTAGTTTCCATTTTGCTCAGAGCCCTCAGATGACTTCCTTAATACCTTCCAGTTCATCCTGAGACTCTGGAGGGTGGAACAGCAGTCTAAGGCCATGTACTGGGGACTGCCCACAAGGCACACAGAGGCGGACAAGGTTGGGGGTGTTTGTGGGATGGGGCGGGGGCCCAAGCTGAAGGCTGAGGTGGTTTAAAAGCCAGACCTTGATTCTCCTGGAGGCTGGACATCAGGTGTGGACAGGGCTGGTTCCTCCTGAGGCCTCTCTCCTGGGCTTGTAGATGCTGTCTCCTCCCTGTGTCCTCACGGGGTCGTCCCTCTCTGTGTGTCTGTGCCCTCATCTCCTCCTCTTATGAGATGTCTTAGTCCATCTCAGGCTGCTACCACAGAATACCATAGACTGGGTGGCTTAGAAACAAGAGACATTGATTCTCCCACAGCCCTGGAGGCTGGAAATCCAAGATTAAGGTGTGGGCAGGGGTGGTTCCTCCTAAGGCTTGTCTCTTTGGCTTGTAGATGCTGTTTTCTCCCTGTGTCCTCACAGAGTCGTCCATCTGTGTGTGTCTGTGTCCTCATCTCCTCTTCTTATGAGGTGTCTTAGTCCACTTCAGGCTGCTAACACAGAATACCATAGACTGCGTGGCTTATACACAACAGACATTGATTGTCCCACAGCCCTGGAGGCTGGAAGTCTGAGATCAGCGAACGGGCAGGGCTGGTTCCTCCTGAGGACTCTCTCCTTGGCTTGTAGATGACGTCTTCCCCCTGTGTCCTCACAGGGTCGCCCCTCTGTGTGTGTCTGTGTCCTCATCTCCTCTTCTTATGAGATGTTCTCGTCCATTTCAGGCTGCTATCACAGAATACCATAGACTGCGTGACTTATACACAACAAACGTTGATTCTCCCACAATCCTGGAGCTGGAGGTCTGAGATCCAGGTGTAGGCAGGGCTGGTTCCTCCTGAGGCCTCTCTCCTGGACTTGGAGACGCCATCTTCTCCCTGTGTCCTCACAGGATCATCCCTCTGTGTGTGTCTGTGTCCTCATCTCCTCTTCTTATGAGATCTCTTAGTCCATTTCAGGCTGCTATCACAGAACACCATAGACTGGGCGGCTTAGAAACGACAGACATTGATTCTCCCACAGTCCTGGAGGCTGGAAGTCTGAGATCCAGGTGTGGGCAGGGCTGGTTCCTCCTGAGGCCTCTCTCCTGGGCTTGTAGACACCGTCTTCTCCCTGTGTCCCCACAGGGTTGTTCTCTGTGCTTATATTTGTGGGAGAGGGGTGAAGAAGGGAGGAATGGAGGGAGGGAGAGAAGGAGGGAGTACGTGGATGCTCTGCGGTCTCTTCCTGTTTTTTTTTTGTTGTTGTTTTGTTTTTCTGAGGTGGAGTTTCACTCTTTTTGCCCAGGCTGGAGTGCAGTGGTGCAACCTCCGCTCACTGCAACCTCCGCCTCCCAGGTTCAAGCGATTCTCCTGCCTCAGCCTCCCAAGTAGGTGGGATTACAGGTGCCTGCCACCGCGCCTGGCTAATTTTTAGTATTTTTTTTTTTTTTTTTTAGTAGAGACAGGGTTTCACCATATTGGCCAGGCTGGTCTCGAACTCCTGACCTCAGGTGATCCACCACCCCCCGACCCCTCGGCCTCCCAAAGTGCTGGGATTACAGGCATGAGCCCCCATGCCTGGCCCTCTTCCTGTTCTTATAAGGAAATTTGTCTCATCATGGAGCATCTCTGCTGTAAACTCATCCCACCCTAATCTCCCCCAGAGCTCTCACCTCCTGACAGCATACTGAGGTTTAGGGTTGAAACCTATATATTTTGGGGTGATATAAACCTTCAGACAATAGCAGTGAGTAAGAGCCAGAGGGTATAGGATTTCTTTTTGGGGTGATGAAAATATCCTAAATGGCTGGGTACAGTGGCTGATGCCTGTAATCCCAGCACTTTGGGAGGCCGAGGCGGGTGGATCACGTGAGGTCAGGAGTTCGAGACCAGCCTGGGCAACATGGAGAAATCCCATCTCTTCTAAAAATACAAAATTAGCCGGGTGTGATGGCGGGCACCTGTAGTCCCAGCTACTCGGGAAGCTGAGGCAGGGGAATCGCTTGAACCTGGGAGGCGGAGGTTGCGGTGAGCAGAGATTGTGCCATTGCACTCCAGCCTGGGCAACAAGAGCAAAACTGTCTCAAAAAAAAAAAAAAGAAAGAAAGAAAATATCCTAAAATAGACTGCGGAGGTGTTTGCACAACTTAACGTTCTAAACCCAATGAACTGTAGATGGGTGAATTGCATGCTGTAGGAATTCTATCTCTACAAAGTTGTTTTTATCTTTAAAAAATAATAATAATAAAAGAAAAGAAAAAGGCAGGTTGGGCGCGGTGGCTGATGCCTGTAATCCCAGCACTTTGGGAGGCCGAGGTGGGTGGATTGTTTGAGGTTAGGAGTTCGAGACCAGCCTGGGCAACATATGGTGAAACCCCATCTCTACTAAAAATACAAAAATTAGCTGGGTGTGGTGGTGGGTGCCTGTAATCCCAGCTACTCTACTCGGGAGGCTGAGGCAGGAGAATTGCTTGAACCAGGGAGGCTGAGGTTACAGTGAGCTGAGGTAGTGTCACCGCACTTCAGCCAGGACAGCAGAGCAAGTCTCTGTCAAAGGGAAGGGAAGGGGAGGGGAGGGGAAGGGGAGGGGAGAGGAAGACAGGGGAAGGGGAGGGGGAGGGGGAGGGAAAGGGAAAGGGAAGGAAAGGGAAAGGGAAGGAAAGGAAAGGAAGGGAAGGGAAGGAAAAGGAAGGGAGGGGAGGAAAGGAAAGGGAAGGGAAGGGAAGGAAGGGAAGGAAGGGAAGGAAGGGAAGGGAAGGGAAGGAAGGGAAGGAAGGGAAGGAAGGGAAGGGAAGGGAAAGGAAGGGAAGGGAAGGGAGGGGAGGAAAGGGAAGGGAAGGGAAAGGAAAAGGAAGGGAAGGGAGGGGAGGAAAGGGAAGGGAAGGGAAAGGAAAAGGAAGGGAAGGGAGGGAAGGGAAGGGAAGAGAAGGGAAAGGAAGGGAAGGGAAGGGAGGGGAGGAAAGGGAAGGGAAGGGAGGGAAGGGAAAGGAAAAGGAAAAGGAAAGGAAAAGGAGGGGAAGGGAGGGAAGGGAAGGGAAGAGAAGGGAAAGGAAGGGAAGGGAAGGGAGGGGAGGAAAGGGAAGGGAAGGGAGGGAAGGGAAAGGAAAAGGAAAAGGAAAATAAAAGGGAAGGGAAGGAAAGGAAAGAAATGGAAAGGAAAGGAAAAGGAAAGGAAAGGGGCGGGTGTCCATACCAAGCACAGAACCCAGCTGTGGTAGGCAGAGAGAAGAGCCAGCCTGAGCAGACATCAAGATTAAACAGAATTGTACTTACCTGTGCAGGTGTTGGATGTGGGGAGATAATCCATCTTGGTTTGCCCTGGATTTATAAGGTATTTTCAGGACACAAGAACCTCAGGGCTAAAAGTGGGACAATTAAAGGAAAACGGGCACAAGTTGTTAACGCTATGTGTAGTGGGTTCAATGGTGCGTACCTGCAAAAGATAGGACCATGCCCTAACCCCCTGGAACCTGGAAACAGGACTTTGTTTGCTGAAAAAGTCTTTGAAGATGTGATTTAAGGGTTTGGGATGAGATCATCCTGGATTAGGGTGGGCCCAAAATCCAATGACAGGTTCACTTCTGAGAGACAGAAGAGGAGACACAGACACAGAGGAGGAGGCCATGGGGAGACAGAGGCAGAGACTGGAGTGATGGGGCCACAAGCCCAGGGACGCCTGGAGCCCCCAGGAGCTGGGAGAGGCAGGAGGGATCCTCCCTTAGAGCCTCCCAGAAGGAACTGGATACAATTGTAGTGGATTGAATAGTGGCCACCAGAAACATTTGTCCATATCCTAATGCTCAGAGTCTGTAAGACCTTATTTGGAAATAGGGTCTTTGCAGATGTCATTAAGTTAAGGACCTTGAGATTGGATCATTCTGGATTAGAGTGGGCCCAAAATGCAATGACAGCTGTCCTTGTAAGAGACAGAAGAGGAGACACAGACACAGAGGAGAAGGCCACGTGGAGACAGAGGCAGACACTGGAGTGATGCGGCCACAAGCCCAGGGATGCCTGGAGCCCCCAGGAGCTTGGAGAGGCAGGAGGGATCCTCCCCTAGAGCCTCCACAGGGAGGATGGTTGATATGGTTTGACTATATCCCCACCCAAATCTCACCTGGAATTGTAATAATCTTCACGGGTCTATGTTTATTGCAGCACTATTTACAATAGCAAAGACTTGGGACCAATCCAAATGCCCATCAATGATAGACTGGATAAAAAAAAAAGTGGCACATAGACACCATGGAATACTATGCAGTCATAAAAAAGGATGAGTTCATATCCTTTGCAGGGACGTGGATAAAGCCAGAAAGTCACTCTCAGCAAACTAACACAAGAACAGAAAATGAAATGCCGCATGTTCTCACTCATAAGTGGGAGTTGAACAATGAGAACACACAGACACAGGGAGGGGAACATCACACACCGGGGCCTGTTGGGGGGTGGGGGGGCAAGGGGAGGGAGAGCATTAGGACAAATACCCAATGCATGTGGGGCTTAAAACCTAGATAATGGGTTGACAGGTGCAGCAAACCACCATGGCATACGGATACCTATGCAACAAACCTGCAGGTTCTGCACATGTATCTCACAACTTAAAGTAAAATTAAATAATAATAATAATAATAATAATAATTTCCACATGTGAAGGGCAGGACCAGGCAGAGATAATTGAACTTTATGGGCAGTTTTCTCCCATACTGTTCCTGTGAGAGTAAATAAGTCTCAGGAGATCTGATGGTTTTATAAAGGGGACTTTCCCCTTTTCTCTTGCTTGCCACCATGTAAGACATGACTTTGCTCCTCCTTTGCCTTCCGCCATGATTGCGAGGTCTCCCTAGCCATGTGGAACTGTGAGTCCATTAAACCTCTTTCCTTTATAAATTACCCAGTCTTGGGTATGTCTCTTTTTTTTTTTTTTTTTTTGAGACGGAGTCTCACTCTGTTGCCCAGGCTGGAGTGCAATGGCATGATCTCAGCCCACTGCAACCTCCACCTCCCAGGTTCAAGCGATTCTCCTGCTTCAGCCTCCCGAGTAGCTGGGATGACAGGTACCCACCACCACGCCTGGCTAATTTTTGTGTTTTTAGTAGAGATGGGGTTTCACCATGTTGGCCAGGATGGTCTCAAACGCCTGACCTCAGGTGATCCACCCACCTCGGCCTCCCAGTGCGCTGGGATTACAGGCTTGAGCCACTGCGCCCAGCCAGGTATGTCTTTATTAGCAGCGTGAGAACAGACTAATACCGTGGGCCTGCCTGCACCTTAATCTCAGACTCTTCACCTCCAGGACTGGGAGATGATGAATTTCTGTTGTTTAAGTACCCCCAGTGTGGGGTCATTGTTTGCTATATCCCCAGGACACTCTTACACAGGAGACCCTGGACAGGAGACCCCCCCGCCAGCCTGGGAGCCTCTTCTCTTTGCTTACATATCTGGTGTGATGAGCCCTGGACCAAGGAGCTAGGAAAAAAAGGCAGAGGAACAGGTGGGCCCCCATATCACCGAAGGCAGAACACTTGCTCACCTGGAATTCCAGAAGGACACACCTGGCCATTGTGGGTGTTGTCAGCGAGTGATGTGGGACAGACGAGAGGACTCAGGTGGGGGAAGTTATAAGGCAGGAGGCCATGTGTCAATCAGGAAGAACTCTCAGACAACAGACAGCTAAGAGAATCGTGTCTGGAGCCCCAGAAGGGACCCAGCTGGCCATCCGTAGACATGCCGTTGAAGGCAATGCTCAGTGCCGTCAAGAGAATGGAAGGTGTCAACTTAAAATCACGAGATTGGTTGGGCAAGGTGGCTCCTGTCTTTCACCCCAGTGCTTTGGGAGGTTGAAGTGGGAGGACAGTTTGAACCCAGGAGTTGGAGGCTGCAGTGGGCTGTGATCACACCACTGCATTCCAGCCTAGGTGACAGACCGAGATCTCGTCGCTTAAAGAAACAAAAAATGACAAGATGTACACATTTGGAGAGGGGAGCTTGATTTGTATAGCCTAACAGGCTGGGAAATGTAGCCTCTGGCAGAAACTAAAAGTAGACATTTCGAAGAAGAAAAGACAGAGATGGGAATTTATGTTGAATGAGATGACCAAGCATACTTGTATTCAACAGGTTACAGGAGGAGCTATGAATTTTAATGAAGGGCATCCTGACACGTGGATACAGGACAAACATGCCTGTGGCAGAAGTTCCACATTCACTTGGGGGTAGAGACTTTTAACCTTTAATGTGCCCCAATGAGGCTGTCTATATCAAAAGGTGTTTTCTTTTTTTCTTTTCTTTTTCTTTTTGAGACAGAGTCTCACTCTGTCGCCCAGGCTGGAGTGCAGTGGTGCGATCTTGGCTCACTGCAACCTCTGCCTTCCAGCTTCATGCCATTCTCCTGCCTCAGCCTCCTGAGTAGCTGGGACTACAGGCACCTGCCACCACAGCTGGCTAATTTTTTTGTATTTTTTAGTAGAGACGGGGTTTCACTGTGTTAGCCAGGATGGTCTCAATCTCCTGACCCCGTGATCCACCCGCCTTGGCCTTCCAAAGTGTTGGGATTACAGGCGGGAGCCACTGTGCCTGGCCTCTTTTCTTTTTCTTTTTGAGACGGAGTCACACTCTGTTGCCCAGGCTGGAGTGCAGTGACGCGATCACGGCTCACTGCAACCTCCGCCTCCCAGGTTCCAGCAATTCTCCTGCCTCAGCCTACTGAGTAGCTTGGATTACAGGTGCACGCCACCGTGCCTGGCTTAATTTTTGTGTTTTTAGTAGAGATAGGGTTTCACTGTGGTCGCCAGGCTGGTCTTGAACTCCTGACGTCAAGTGATCCACCCATCTCAGCCTCCCAAAGTGCTGGTATTACAGGCATGAGCCACTGCGCCTGGCTGTCAAAAGGGGCTTCCAGAACACAGAGGCACTGAGTGTGCAGCCTCTGTCAACCATCCAGAACCAGCCCATTGTCAGAGTCTCTTACCAGGAGAAAGTGGCTGAAATTAATCTCTTGTGCGATCAAAGTTGTAGTTATGGCTGGTGGAGCAGGGGATCCGTGAGTGAGCATCTGTGAGCTGGACGAGCTTCACCAGTTTTCATATTGTTCATCTCCAAGCCAGGGCTCGTTCAGCTGCTAGAGAAAAACAAAAAGCTTGTATTAGTGAGGACACTGGTGGTGTTCCTCGCAGCTACTCTCCCAGAGTAGTGAGTCCATCACGCTCTAAGCCAGGTGTAGACAGATAGATGAATAGATATAGCTATTCGATGATTGATAGATATTGAGGTAGACGGATGAATAGATTAGATGATAGATGATTGATAGCTAGCTATTGAGATAGATAGGTAATACATAGATATAGATGACAGATTGACAGATATTGAGACAGATAGGTGGTAGATGATAGATGTATAAAGATGATAGATGAGATAGATAGATAGATGATAGATAGAGGATAGTTAGATACATGGTAGATACAATGAATGGATAGATACATAGATACATAGATGATGGATGGATGGATGGATGCATAGATAATATTTACATAGATGGATGGATACATAGATACATAGATGATAGAGAAGATAGATAGATACATACATAGATAGATAGAATGGATAGATACATAGATACATAGATGATAGATAGATAATAGAGATAGATAGATAGATAGATAGATAGATAGATAGATAGATAGGATGGATACATAGATGATAGATAGATAGATAGATAGATAGATAGACAGATAGATACATAGATAGATACATAGATGCATAGATAGAATAAATGGATGGATGGATGGATGGATGGATGGATGGATGGATGAACACATACAGGATAGACAGATGGATGAATAGATGGATAGATACATACATGATAGATACATAATAGATACATGATAGATACAATGAATGGATGGATACATAGATACATAGATGATAGAATAGATGGATGGATGGATGGATGGATGGATGGATGAATGGATGGATGGAGGGATGGATGGATGGATGCATAGATGATAGACACATACATGGATGGATAGATACATAGATACATAGATGATAGATAGATAATAGAAATAGATAGATAGATAGATAGATAGATAGATAGATAGATAGAATAGATGGATGGATGGATGGATGGATGGATGATGGATAGATAAATACATACAGGATAGATAGATGGATGAATAGATGGATAGATACATAGATGATGGATAGATAGATAGATGGCTAGACAGATAGATACATAGATGATAGAGAGATAAATAGATGGATGGCTAGATAGGTAGATACATAGATGGATAGATAGATAGATAGATAGATAGATAGAATGGATGGATACATAGATGATAGATAGATAGATAGATAGATAGATAGATAGATAGATAGATACATAGATACATAGATAGATACATAGATAGATACATAGATAGATGCATAGATAGAATAAATGGATGGATGGATGGATGGATGGATGGATGGATGGATGAACACATACAGGATAGACAGATGGATGAATAGATGGATAGATACATACAGGATAGATAGATAATAGATACATGATAGATACAATGAATGGATGGATACATAGATACATAGATGATAGAATAGATGGATGGATGGATGGATGGATGGATGAATGGATGGATGGAGGGATGGATGGATGGATGCATAGATGATAGACACATACATGGATGGATAGATACATAGATACATAGATGATAGATAGATAATAGAAATAGATAGATAGATAGATAGATAGATAGATAGATAGATAGATAGATAGAATGGATGGATGGATGGATGGATGATGGATAGATAAATACATACAGGATAGATAGATGGATGAATAGATGGATAGATACATAGATGATGGATAGATAGATAGATGGCTAGACAGATAGATACATAGATGATAGATAGAGAGATAAATAGATGGATGGCTAGATAGGTAGATACATAGATGGATACATAGATAACCAATATAAGGAGTCTCTCATGTGGGGATAACCGATATGTGGAGTTTCTCAGCCTCAGCACTGCTGACATTTTGGGGCTGGATGACACTCTGTGGCAGGGCCGTCCCGTGCAGTGTAGTGTGTTGAACGGTGTCCCTGGGCTGCACCCACCAGATGCCAGGAGCTCCTCCACCCCGTCATGACAGCCAGAGATGTCGCTGCTGCCCAGCGTCCCCTGGGGACCACAGTGGCCCCAGTTGAAAACCTTTGATCAACACTCAGCCTGGTTAATGGCAGCATGAACGCCACCTCCCCAGCTGACTGCCTGCAGCTCTGCCAGCCCCTGGGGCTTTCCATGGTTTTAGAGACACTCAGCAATACTGCCAGAACATCAGAGTCTGTTGTGAGGAATCTTATGTGACCTGCCCTAGGCCATTGCTGGATTTTTCCCCCAAACCCACAGGGCGTCGGGGGGACAGGGGCATCGTGATGAGAGGTCATCAGGCACACGCCATACGGGGTGAAAGAGGTGGGGGAGGCGGCAGGGAGGTCTCCTGAGGGATGGCGGTGTGGGTCCCGCCTGGTCCCGCCCGGCTGCAAAGACGTGGGGTGTGTGTTGAGTGCCAGACGGGGCTGGCTTGATTCAGGCGTGCCTTTACATGTTATCAGCCGTGGGTCTGACCACGGCCATGCCATGACCTAATAGCTAACCTCAATTTCCTCTTCTGTCAAGTGAGAAAAACCTTTACTTTCCCTCCCGTCACCACAGGGGTAGTGTACCCAGAAGCAGGCTCAAACTCAACATGAAGCTACTCATGAATGTGGCAGGGAGACATGGGAAGTCAGGCAGGGGGGCGGAAATCGCGCGTCGCCAACAGGAGGGGCCGGCACGTGGGGACTCCGCCGGGTGCTGTGACCGGGTGCCGTCACGGCCCCGAGCCTCAGTTTAGCAATCCACACAACAGGTATGTCGCCAGTACTGCAGGGACTCATGAGCTACCCCAGCTCCGAACCACCGTCGGCGGTCACCGGGGATATGAGCGACAGCTTTTCTGGCTCAGTGATGATTTTCAGCTAGGAAGGCTTGGGTGGGGTCCTGGCGTGTCTCCCGGGACAACTCCTCATCCAACGAGAGATGAGGTTGACTATTTCCAGGACTCAGGAAGTAGTGGGTGCTGACTGACAGGTGTTCAAGGACAATGTGGAATGTCAGGTCTCATCTCGTCCGGTGAAATCTAGGGGACTTCATCTTGGACACGCACAGAGAGAGCAAGTGAGGACGCCTGCCCTGATCATGCCTCTGAACTTAGACCCTCCTTGCTTCGCTCAGAGGCAGCTGGGGGTGTTGCATGTACGCAAGGGCTTCGGGAGGCTTTTGGAAACAGTAGACCACGGAACTTTGGGGCCCATGAGGACTCCGATTTGAACAAACAGGGACCTGATACCTTGAGACTTGACCAGGTCTGAGTTATTCTTGGTGGCCAGCTCCTAGGACCCCTGAATCCATGGACTCCTAGGACCCGTCCATTGCCTACAGAAATGAAAATGGCCAGAAAGTGGCCGGGCGCGGTGGCTCACGCCTGTCATCCCAGCACTTTGGGAGGCCTAGGTGGGCGGATCACGAGGTCAGGAGATCGAGACCATCCTGGCTAACACGGTGAAACCCCGTCTCTACTAAAAATACAAAAATTAGCCGGGCGTGGTGGCGGGTGCCTGTAATCCCAGGTACTCGGGAGGCTGAGGCAGAAGAATCACTTCAACCAGGGAGGCAGAGGTTGTAGTGAGCCAAGATTGCGCCACTGCACTCCAGCCTGGGCGACAGAGCAAGACTCCATCTCAAAAAAAAAAAAAGAAAGAAAGAAAGTGGCCAGCAAGTGACAAACGTCCAAAATGTCCAGGGTCCCTCTGAGTCACGGAGCTCATGGTGATGTCGTCAAGATTCTGGTCAACGTGGTAGATACATCTTTACATCCAAACACCTCTCTCTCTCCTCTGCCTTCTTTCTTTCCTGGACTCCTGATACCCCCAGCTCAGGGCTGAAAAGGAAGCATTTTCTCAATGGAAAGGACAAAGAGGCAGTCTTCTCTCAGAAGAGACATCTCCATCTATAGCCTGGTGGGCCACACCAGTTCTGTCTAGAAGGACACAAACTTCTGTCTTCTTTTGTCTACCCAATTAGCCTCCTGGCTCATCTTAGAAGGGGAAGGGCACAGGGGAGCATGTTTTAAGAAGGAAATTAAGCATCAGGCATGGTGGCTCACACCCGTCATCCCAGCAGTTTGGGAGGCTCAGGCAGGCGGGTCGTCTAAGGTCAGGAGTTCGAGACCAGCCTGGCCAACATGGCAAAACCCCGTCTCTACTAAAAATACAAAAATTAGCCAGGTGTGGTGGCGGGTGCCTATAATCCCAGCTACTAGGGAGGCTGAGGCAGGAGAATCACTTGAACCCGGGAGGCGGAGCTTGCAGTGAGCCAAGACTGTGCCACTGCACTCCAGCCTGGGTGACGGAGTGTGACTCTGTGTCAAAAAAAAAAAAAAAAAAAAAAAGAAGAAAGAAATTAAGATGCTTTGTTCAATGTAAAAAAGATATTCTTTTGTTACAAAGTTTAGAAATGGGAAATGATTTTTAAAAATGCAATACTCAAGGAATTTTACACAGGGGTAGAAATGGAAACTCTACTTGCAAGTCCTCCTCCTGGATTCTTTTGTTTTTTGTTTTTTGTGTTTTATTGTTTGTTTGTTTTTGAGACGCAGTCTTGCTCTGTCGCCCAAGCTGGAGTGCAATGGCGCCATGTCGGCTCACTGCAACCTCCGCCTCCCTGGTTCAAGCGATTCTCCTGCCTCAGCCTCCCGAGTAGCTGGGATGACAGGCGCCCGCCACCACACCCAGCTAAGTTTTATATTTTGAGTAGAGATGGAGTTTCACCATGTTGGCCAGGCTGGTCTCCAACTCCTGACCTCAGGTGATCGACCCGCCTCGGCCTCCCAGAAGGCTTTTTGTATCTTCCGAAGCTAGTGGATAATATTCTGAAATTGTTGATGAGACACCTAGCTTCATCTTCAGTTGTCTGCAGACACTCATCCAGTGCCTCCATGTGGAGTGGTTCCATTTTTCAGCCCTGTCCTTGCTGGCCACGAGGAAACTCAGTCCATGGACACTATCTGTGGTCATTAAGACGCCAAGGCCAACGGAAAGGCCGGTGACGAGGCCCTCTGTTGCTTCCTTCTCAGAAAGATAAAGATCTGCTTTCCACAGTCTCATCCGTTTTTGTGATGGGCAAGTGGCCAGAGTACCACGTCAGTCACAGAAACCCAGCTCAGGTCCTCTGAGACGCCCTGATTCACGTTTCCAATTTGAGGTTGAGCATGAGATTTTCTTCCTTTTTTTTTTTTTTTTGAGACAGAGTCTCTCTCTGTCACCCAGGCTGGAGTGCAGTGGTACGATCTCGGCTCACTGCAACCTCTGCCTCCCGGGTTCACGCCATTCTCCTGCCTCAGCCTCCCAAGTAGCTGGGACTACAGGCGCCTGCCACCACGCCCGGCTAATTTATTTTTGTATTTTTTTTAGTAGAGACAGGGTTTCACCGTGTTAGCCAGGATGGTCTCGATCTCCTGACCTTGTGATCCACCCGCCTCGGCTTCCCAAAGTGCTGGGATGACAGGCGTGAGCCACCACGCCTGGCCAATGCCCGGCTAATTTTTGTATTATTAGTAGAGACAGGGTTTCAGCATGTTGGCCAGGCTGGCCTCGAACTCCTGACCTCAGGTGATCCGCCCGCATCAGCCTCCCAAAGTGCTGGGATTACAGGCGTGAGCCACAACACCCGACCTAATTTTGTATTTTTAGTAGAGATGGGATTTCACCATGTTGGCCAGGCTGGTCTCAAACTCCTAACCTCAAGTGATCCACCTGCCTCAGACTCCCAAAATGCTGGGATGACAGGCATGAGCCACTGCACCCAGCCTGATCAGTTTTGACCACAGAGAACATTTCAACAGAGGGAAGTTTCCAGCACGTGGGATCCTTATGGTAGCAGGAAGTGAAACCTATGTTTAAATTTCAACACATGAACTGTTTTGCTGTCATGAGGTGGACAGGGTCACCACTAAAAGGCTTTCAAATCCAGGTCTACATCACATCAGGAGGCAATAAGATTGAAACAGAAGCTTCAAGGGGGGCAAAGAAGCATGTGGAATTCCCAAATCTTTTTTTTTTTTTGACACAGAGTCTTGGTCTGTTGCCCAGGCTGGAGTGCAGTGGCGCCATCTCGGCTCACCGCAACCTCCGCCTCCCGGGTTCCAGCGATTCTCCTGCCTCAGCCTCCCGAGTAGCTGGGACTACAGGCGCCTGCAACTACGCCCAGCTAATTTTTGTATTTTTAGTAGAGACGGGGTTTCATCATATTGGACAGGCTGGTCTCGAATTCCTGACCTCATGATCCGCCCGCCTCGGCCTCCCAAAGTGCTGGGATTACAGGCGTGAGCCACCACGTCCAGCAGAATTCCCAAATCTTTAAAGACAGTTCCTTTACAGGTTATTTAAGTGGATAATTGCCTGTAAAACACCAACATGATTACAGTCTATTCAGTTCCTCCAGAACAGCGACAAAGCAGCTGTGTTTGGTTTTTCTTGTTTTTTGTTTTGTTTGAGACTAAGTCTCACCCAGGCTGGAGTACAGTGGCATGATCTCAGCTCACTGCAACCTCTGCCTCCCGGGTTCAAGTGATTCTCCTGCCTCAGCCTCCTGATTAGCTGGGACTACAGGTGCCTGCCACCATGCCCAGCTAATTTTTGTATTTTTAGCAGAGACGGGGTTTTGCCACATTGGCCAGGCTGTTCTCGAACTCCTGACCTCAGATGATCCACCCGCCTCGGCCTCCCAAAGTGCTGGGATTACAGGTGTGAGCCACCACACCTGGCTAATTTTTGTATTTTTAGTAGAGACGGGGTTTACCACGTTGGCCAGGCTGGTCTCGAACTCCTGACCTCAGGTGATCTGCTCGCCCTGGCCTCCCGAAGTGCTGGGATGACAGGTGTGAACCACTACGCCCAGCTGGCAGTTGTATTTTAAGTAACAAAGCTCGTGGCATGTCAGAAAGTGCCTGCATCTTTCAAACTTGTTCAGTAGTAACATTAAAATTATTTTAGGGGTGCAGAGACAAAGCCATTTCTGTGAGTCCCCTGAGGCTGACACAAAAAATGCCACAAACTGGGGAGTTCGACAACAGGAATTTACTTTCTTACAGTTCCGGGGGCCAGAAGTCTGAGATCAAAATGTCTCAGGTCCGTGCTCCCTCAAGGAGCTCTAGGGGAGGGTCCTTCCTGTCTCTCCCAGCTCCTGGGGGCTCCAGGCATCCCTGGGCTTGTGGCCGCGTCATTCCAGGCTCTGTCTCCGTCTCCACGTGGCCTTCTCCTCTGTGTCTGCGTCTCCTCTTCTGTCTTTTACCAGGGCACCTGTCATTGGATTTAGGGCCCAGCCTAATCCAGGAGTATCTCATCTTGAGATCCTTAACTCATTAAATCTGCAAAGTTCTTATTTCCAAATAAGGTCTCATTCCAGGTTCTGGGCTCTAGGATATGGACATATCTTTCCAGGATCCGCTGTTCAACCCATTACAATTGGATCCAGTTCCCTCCGGAGGCTCCTTCCTGTCTCTCCCAGCTCCTGGGGGCTCCAGGCATCCCTGGGCTTGTGGCCGCGTCATTCCAGGCTCTGTCTCCGTCTCCACGTGGCCTTCTCCTCTGTGTCTGTGTCTCCTCTCCTGTCTCTTAGAAGGACACCTGTCATTGCATTTAAGGCCCACCCAGACAATGCAGGATTATTTTCTCTCAAGATCCACAACGGAATGAATCTGCAAAGACCCTCTTTTCCAAATGAAACCCCCTCCCCAAATAGCAGGGCTCAGGACACGGACATATCTCTGGGGGCCACCATCCAACCCAGCATGGGAGGCCCTCGATCTGGGTTTGCAGGTGGGGAAGGCTGCTGAGAGTAGGGACAGGGGCGGCTCACGTGGCAGCCAGCACAGGGGCTCTTCGGCAAAGCGTGTTGCCGGGAGGCAAACAGGGTCCCCAGAGAGTCAGTAGAAAGAGGAACCTGGCTCGCAGCGGGGTCCTGTCCCTGGCTGAGTGTCACCAACACTCACTCTGTGTTCGAAGTGGGGGAGGGAGGGGAGGAGGTTTGCCACCCCCACCCCTGCCCCCCGGGAGGACATGACCAAAACAGAGATAAGCAAATCCATGTTCTTGCTCGTGTATCTTCAGTGATGTGGTCCCACTCCTCATAAACCTAGACAGGACTTTATTTCCAAATAGAAAAATGAGGCCAGGCGTGGTGGCTCACGTCTGTCATCCCAGCACTTTGAGAGGCCGAGGTGGGTGGATCACCTGAGGTCAGGAGTTCAAGACCAGCCTGGCCACCACAGTAAAACCCTGTGTCTACTAATAATACAAAAATGAGCTGGATGTGGTGGCACACGCCTGTAGTTCCAGATATTCAAGAGGCCGAGGCAGGACAATCGTTTGAACCCGGGAGGCGGAGGTTGCAGTGAGGCAAGATCACAGCGCTGCACTCCAATCTGGGTGACAGAGCGAGATTTCGTCTCAAAAAATAATAATAATAATCAATAAAAATGAAAACTCGCCGGGCGTGGTGGCTCATGCCTGTAATCCCAGCACTTTGGGAGGCCGAGACAGGCAGATCACAAGGTCCAGATATCGAGACCATCCTGGCTAACACGGTGAAACCCCATCTCTACTAAAAATACAAAAAATTAGCCGGGCGTGGTGGTGCGCGCCTGTAATCCCAGCTACTCGGGAGGCTGAGGCAGGAGAATCACTTGAACCCGGGAGATGGAGGTTGCAGTGAGCCAAGATCGCACCACTGCACTCCAGCCTGGGCAACAGAGTGAAACTTTGTCTCAAATAATAATAATAATAAAAAATAAAAATGAAAACTAAGACGGGGCAATATAGTGAGACCCCTATGTCTACAAAAATAAATAATTAGCCAGCCATGGTGGTGAGCACCTGTGGTCCCAGCTGCTCAGGAGGCTGAGGTGGGAGGATCGGTTCAGGCCAGGAAGTTGAGGTTGCAGTGAGCTATATAATGTCACCATGGCACTCTAGCCTGGGGCAACAGAGCAAGACCTTATGTCTCCATAAATAAATACAGAAAAACGAAAGTGAAAATGAAAACGCATCAGAAAGTCAAACACAGGCCAAAAGTCTGCAAAGCACCGTCACAGGGATGCACAGAGTGCTTCCAGGGGTCTGATATTTACGTCCCTTGAAGTCGGACCGAAAACATTCAGATGTAAGCCTGGACATGGTATCTGAGAAGACACAGCCACCTCCTTCCAAGACGTAGTTCACAAGAGGGCCCTGGGACTCTCCGGCCAGCTCTGTGAGCTTTGGAAGATGGGCGTAGAGTCTGTCACAGGAAGGAAGGCTGGATAGCAGCCCTGTGGTAAAGTTAAAAGGTCAGGCTTAAAAATCCCCACCTCTCCCAGGACAGAACCGAGAGATTCAGGCCACCCTGGGCCAGACAGGCGGCCCCAGCTGCTTGGCCTGGAAAACCACCCAGGGGATTGTAATGGGTCATTTCCCTCTGGCGGGGAGGTTGTGTCTCCCAGAACCTCGGAGCCTGGGTGCTGCTGGGGGCTTTCCTGGTTTTAGCACACCCAAAATCCTATGTCCACGGCAGCCCATTGGTCGTCACAAACAGGGCTGGGGGTGGCGGCGGCTCAGAGCAATGGGCCTCTGTTGACTTCTAAAGAATTAACGTGGCCGGGCGCAGGGCCTCTCGCCTGTAATCCCAAGACTTTGGGAGGGCTAGGTTGGAGGATCACCTGGGGTCAGGAGTTCGAGACCAGCCTGGCCAACATTTAGTAGAAACCCCGTCTCTACCAAAAATACAAAAATTAGCTGGGTGTGGTGGCGTGTACCTGGAATCCCAGCTACTCGGGAGGCTGAGGCAGGAGAATCACTTGAACTCGGGAGGCGGAGGTTGCAGTGAGCCGAGATCACACCACTGCACTCCAGCCTAGATGACAGAGTGAGACTCCGTCTCAAAAAACAAAAAAAAAAATTAGCTGGGCATGGTGGTGCACGCCTGTAGTCCCAGCTACTTGAGAAGCTGAGGTGGGAGGATCACTAGAACCCAGGAGTTCAAGGCTGCTGTGAGCCATGATTGTGCCAATGCACTCCAGCCTGGGCAACAGAGTGAGACCCTACCTCAAAATAAGTACATAAATAAGAGAATAAGAAAACAATTACATTAACAATAACACCAAAAAGAATAAAACAGTTAGAAATTAATCATGAAAGTAGATTTGTACACCGAAAACTAAAAAAAAACATTAAAAAACAACAACAGGCCGGGCGCGGTGGCTCACGCCTGTCATCCCAGCACTTTGGGAGGCCGAGGCAGGCGGATCATGAGGTCAGGAGATCGAGACCATCCTGGCTAACACGGTGAAACCCCGTCTCTACTAAAAATACAAAAAATTAGCTGGGCATGGTGGTACACGCCTGTAGTCCCAGCTACTCGGGAGGCTGAGGCAGGAGAATGGCGGGAACCCGGGAGGCGGAGCTTGCAGTGAGCTGAGATCACACCACTGCACTCCAGCCTGGGCCACAGAGCGAGACTCCGTCTCAAAAAGAAAAACAAAACAAAACAAAACAAAACAAAAAAACAGATTCAAAAAATTAGAGATATAAATAAATAGAAAGACATCCCAGGTTGCCTCTTGTCTTGTTCCCAAGTTACTTACGGCTCTGTTTTGGGGAAATCATTTAGAAAGTTTTGGTCAGGTTGTTTGAATGTAGTATTTTAAATTATAGGGTTTTTTTGTTTTGTTTTGTTTTTATTTCTTTTTTTTCCTTATTAATACGTTTCACCTAATGACACATTTCCCATAAGTTATAGTTTTAATATACGCAGTAAATACATAGTACGTGAAACATTGCATTAAAGTTTGGGCGTAAGAGGCGATCTGGTGATAGTTTGCAGGAACATAACCAGTAGGTGTGGCAAGCATTACCTCATGCGTAAGAAAAGGCCAGGGCCACCAGGCATGGTGGTTCACGTCTGTAATCCCAGCATTTTGGGGGCCAAGGCAGGAGGATCACCTGAGGTCAGGAGTTCGAGATCAGCCTGGCCAACATGGTGAAACCCCGTCTCTACTAAAAATATAAAAATTGGCCAGGCGTGGTGGCACACACCTCGTGTAATCCCAGCTACTCAGGAGGCTGAGGCAGGAAAATCGCTTGAACCTGGGAGGCAGAGGTTTCACTGAACCGAGATCGTGCCATTGCACTCCAGCCTGGGGGACAAGAGTGAAACTGTCTCAAAAAAAAAAAAAAAAAAGAAAAGAAAAAGAAAAAGAAAAAAAACAGAGGGTTGGGTGCAGGGGCTCATGCCTGTAATCCCAGCACTTTGGAAGGCTGAGGCGGGTGGATCACAAGATAAGGAGTTCAAGATCAGCCTGGGCAACATGGTGAAACCCTGTCTCTACTAAAAATACAAAAATTAGCTAGGCATTATGGCACGCGCCTGTAATCCCAGCTACTCAGGAGGCTGAGGCAGGAGAATCGCTTGAACTCAGGAGGCGGAAGTTGCAGTGAGCCAAGATCGTGCCACTGCACTCCAGCCTGGGTGACAAGAGTGAGACTCCATCTCAAAAAATAACAGAGGGCCAGGTGCGGTGGTTCGCACCTGTCATCCCAGAACTTTGGGAGGCTGAGGAGGGCGGATCACAAGATCAGGAGTTCGAGACCAGGAGTTCAAGATCAGGAGTTCAGCCTGTGCAACATGGTGAAACCGCATCTTTACTAAAAATACAAAAATTAGCCGGGCATGGTGGCGCGTGCCTGTAATCCCAGCTACTCAGGAGGCTGAGGCAGGAGAATCGCTTGAACCTGGGAGGCAGATGTTGCAGTGAACCAAGATTGTGCCACTGCACTCTAGCCTGGGTGACAAGAGGAAAACTCCGTCTGAAAAAAAAAAAATACAGAGTTGGCTGTTGCAGGTCCCATAGTGTTGGGAGGTCACCTCTTGTGGGCTGTAACCAAGATGGGCTGGCCCTCTTCAAGTTTTCTTTCTTTTTCTTTTTTTTTTTTTTTTTTGAGACAGAGTCTCGCTCTGTCGCCCAGGCTGGAGTGCAGTGGCGCGATCTCGGCTCACTGCAAGCTCCGCCTCCCAGGTTCACGCCATTCTCCTGCCTCAGCCTCCCGAGTAGCTGGGACTACAGGCACCCGCCACCACACCCGGCTAATTTTTTGTGTTTTCAGTAGAGACGGGGTTTCAGCATGTTGGCCAGGATGGTCTTGATCTCCTGACCTCGCGATCTGCCCGCCTCGGCCTCCCAAAGTGCTGGGATGACAGGCGTGAGCCACCGCGCCCGGCCTCATCAACAGTTTTCTGACACTGTGGGTGCTGTTTAAAGTTCAGGAGCAGCTTGAGTCTCCAGGGCAAACCAGGAATCAGCTCGCAGGGAGCAGTTGGTCTTTTATTTTTATCCTTCATGCTCTCCGTGTCTGTTGGCTGGCACCCGGCGGGAGTGTACTGCTCATCCCTCTCTGCTTCTTACCTCCTCAGTCCTGCTTCCTGGGTTCAGCTGCCCCAAACCAAATACTCACAGCTTCCTGGATGGCAAGGACCCGCTAGGCTGCAGGTCTGACACCCACAGGCCTCCAAGCCGGTCCCAACAAGCCCCTCGCCGCCCCACTGCACCCCAAACCAACCATCTCTCACCAGCCTGGATGCTACTCCACACCTCAGCAAGTCCGGTACCTTCTTGGAGATGCCAGGCGTAATAACAAACAGAAAAGGCCATATTTGCTTGTCAGCATACTATTTATTTATTTATTTATTTTGAGACAGAGTTTACTCGTCACCCAGGCTGGAGTGCCGTGGCACGGTCTCGGCTCACCGCAACCTCCGCCTCCCGGGTTCAAGCGATTCTCCTGCCTCGGCCTCCTGAGTAGCTGGGATTACAGGCACCCGCCACCATGCCCGGCTAATTTGTGTATCTTTAGTAGACACAGGGTTTCACCGTCTTGGCCAGGCTGGTCTCAAACTCCCAACCTCAGGCGATCTGCCCACCTCGGCCTCCCAAAATGCTGGGATTACAGGTGTGAGCCACCGTGCCCGGCCTACACTCCAGCTTGGGCCACAGAGTGAGACCTTGTCTTGAAAAAAAAAAAGAGAAAACCCTAATTAACATGCTATTTAAAAAAAAAAACATTGATCTCTCTCTGTGATGTTTGAGTTTCTTTTTTTTCTTTTTCTTTTCTTTTTTTTTTTTTTTGAGACGGAGTCCCACTCTGTCCCCCAGGCTGGAGTGCAGTGGCGCGATCTCAGCTCACTGCAACCTCCACCTCCCGGGTTGAAGTGATTCTCCTGCCTCAGTCTCCTGAATAGCTGGGATTACAGGCACCCGCCACCACCACGCCTGGCTAATTTTTGTATTTTAAGTAGAGACAGGGTTTCACCATGTTGATCAGACTGGTCTCGAACTCCTGATCTCAAGTGATCCACCCGCCTCGGCCTCCCAAAGTGCTGGGATTACAGGCGTGAGCCACCACGCCCGGCCTGATGTTTGCATTTCTATCCATACTGGTTTACTAGCGGAGTGACTGAGTTTCTAAAATACTAATATTAAAAATACTTGGCCAGGTGCGGTGGGTGCCTGTCATCCCAGCTACTCGGGAGCCTGAGGCAGGAGAATTGCTTGAACCAGGGAGGCGGAGGTTGCAGGGAGCCGACATCGCGCTACTGCACTCCAACCTGGGAGACAGAGTGAGACTCCATCTCACAAAAAAGAAAGAAAGAAAGAAAAAAAACTCCCAGGAAGCAGTGTTGAATATCTTCCCAAGTCCTAGTTACCTACAAATGACTGCTCCGTCTGAAGCCGCGGCTGACTGAATGTTTTAAGGGGACACCACCTTCCTTCCCAGCCTGTTCCCTCCAGGAAAATAGTAGAGGACAGAGGCTCCAAGAAGTAGATTTGGGAACTGCAGACAAGTTGCTTCCTGTGAACTGAGCGGAGAGAGAGAGAAACCCTCTGAGAGGGCAGAGGGCAGGATCCCAGGGAGTCGCACCCGGGAGGGCTGTGGCTGTGGCTGTGAGCCTTCTCATGTGGCTCCCCAACGCCAAGGCAGGCAGCCACTGAACAATTGTGAATAACCATTTCCCACCCTGTAACGTGCTGTCTCTACTGAGAAGCTGGCGGGGGAGCATGACTCCAGATGGCCTCGAGATGGTCTTTGGGATTCAACAGCAGGGAGAAGCCAGTGGTACCCAAGTTGACGTCCATTCAGCCTAGGTCTCAGCAGCATCCCAAGTTCACTTCCATTCAGCCTAGGTTTCGGCAGCATCTCTGACGTCTGCCTTCTCCCAACTGCTTCAGAGTGGATGGGTAGTCAGCTCGGCCGCCGTAATAAAACACTGCAAACTGGGTGGACTGTAAACAACAGACATTGTTTCTCCCACAGTCCTGGAGGCTGGAGGTCTGAGATCCAGGTGTGGGCAGGGCTGGTTCCTCCTGAGGCCTCTCTTGTGGACTTAGAGACATCGACTTCTCCCTGTGTCCTCACAGGGTCATCTCTCTGTGTGTGTCTGTGTCCTCATCTCCTCTTCTTATGAGGTGTCTTAGTCCATCTCAGGCTGCTGTCACAGAATACCGTAGACTGGGGGGCTTATACACAACAGACATTGATTCTCCCACAGTCCTGGAGGGTGGAGGTCTGAGATCCAGGTATGGGCAGGGCTGGTTCCTCCTGAGGCCTCTCTCCTGGGCTTGGAGACGCCGTCTTCTCCCTGTGTCCTCACAGGGTCATCTCTCTGTATGTGTCTGTGTCCTCATCTCCTCTTCTTATGAGGTGTCTTTGTCCATTTCGAACGACTATCCCAGAATACCATAGACTGGGCAGCTTAGAAACAACAAACATTGATTCTCCCACAGTCCTGGAGGCTGGAGGTCTGAGATCCAGGTATGGGCAGGGCTGGTTCCTCCTGAGGCCTCTCTCCTGGGCTTGGAGATGCCGTCTTCTCCCTGTGTCCTCACAGTGTCGTCCCTCTGTGTGTGTCTGTGTCCTCATCTCCTCTTCTTATGAGGACACCGGTCCTATTGGATCAGGGCCCACTCCTGGTGACCTCATTTTACTGTAGTTAACTCTTTAAAGAGGTAACCTCCAAATACAGCCACATTGTGTGGTCCTAGGGGTTAGGACTTTAACGTATGAATTTGGGAGGGTACAATGCAGCCTGTAACAGACACAACACTCAGAAAATATATACTGAGCTCGCTGTTTGTAATAAAGGGCTCTCCCTTTAATTTTTAAGACAGGGTCCTGCTCTGTCACCCAGGCTGGAGTGCAGTGGTGTGAGTTCAATTCAGTTCCGAACAGTGAGTACAGTGCAGTTCAGCTCACTGCAGCCTCAAGCTTCCAAATAAAAAACTGTCTTAGCATCATCCAATGAGTACTGACTACTTTTAAATAGTGAATACGCAGCCGGGCGCAGTGGCTCATGCCCGTAATCCCAGCACTTTGGGAGGCCGAGGCGGGTGGATCACCTGAGGTCAGGAGTTCAAGACCAGCCTGACCAACATGATGAAACCCTGTCTCTACTAAAAAAAAAATACAAAAAAAAAAAAAAATTAGCCAGGTGTGGTGATGTATGCCTGTCTTCCCAGCTACTTGGGAGGCTGAGGCAGAATCATTTGAACCTGGGAGGAGGAAGTGACAGTGAGCGGAGACGGTGCCATTGCACTCCAGGTTGGGAGGCAGAGCGAGACTCAGTCTCAAAAGAAAACAAATAGTGACTATGGACATACATATTTTTAAAAATTAGTATTTTCACATAAAGCATAAAGTAATATCCAATATATCCAAGAGAAGCTGTCCTTAAGTTTAACCCATTTTCTAATCCTAAACTAACCCTTCTGAGGCAATGGTCCCGCATACATGGAGGCCAAACTCATTTTTTTTTTTTAAAGCCTAATTGAAAAATACCGCATTAGGAGAAAAACACATAAAATCCCCCTCGGATTACCTGACCTCGCTCCCTGGGGCCCAGGGCCAAAAAGAGGAAGCTTTTCCATCTATTGTTGCTCTGGCCAGTTTCATAACCGCCATGCACCAAGCTCAGTCTGCAGATGACAGATCGCAGCTAAGAGCAGCTTGCTGGGTCTCCGGAGGCTGCTGGTGTCTGTCTCAAGGTGCGGTGCAGGCACAGCCAGTGGGATTTTTTTCCCAGCAGAGCAGAGAGCTGGCCCTCCACTCCTGCTCCTGTGCGGAGCTCACTCCCATAGGGCAGCCGCCTCTGGCCCAGGAGGAGGGTCCCCCAGGACCCCCTGCCTAGCTTGACGGCTGCTCAGACAAGCACCACCAGACCAGCATCACCCAGGACGTCTGCCCTCCCTGCAGCCACCGTTGTAAGTCACGGGGACCTGGGAGTGTTCGGGTAGGAGAGGCTGCTCTGCAGAAATACCCCAGCTAGCAGGGCATATCCAGGCCAGAGACGCTGCTGAATGCCAGAGAAAGCCCTCAGCTCAGCCTCCCTTTGGGGTGTGTGATTTTTAACCCGGGCTCACCAGAGTGCTGCAAAAGGACACACAGCCTCCAGGCAGGAGCTGTGCCATTTGCACAAGCTCTCGAGGGTCGCAGAGAGGGCTGAGGTTGGCCTAAAACAGACCCCCTTCTTGCACATCTTCAGACGTTGCCGCAAGAAAAGAGCAAAATCGTCTTGTCCGTTTTAACGGAGATTCCCAGTTTGCAAGCCAATTGTTCCTTTGACGAGGGGTACAGGCCGGCCCACGCCGAGATGCTGGGTTGGGTGGCTCTCGGATGAAGAAAGTCCCACCTTCTTTAAAATGCGCTCTCCCAGAAATCTTCTTCACACCTGTCTTTGGCTTTTATTTTGCTTTTGTTTTGTGGGGAGGAGACGTTGTTCTTGGTTTTTCGCTAATAAAAATAGTTCACGTCGACTGAGTGAGGAGGAAGCAGCAGCCACTTTTACAAGGGCTTTATCTCTGCGATCTTTCCTTCCTTCCCTCCCTCCCTCCTCCCTCCTTCCTCCTTCCTCCTCCTTCCCTCCCTCCTCCTTCCTCCTTCCTCCTCCTTCCTCCTTCCCTCCCTCCCTCCTTCCTCCTTCCTCCCTCCCCCTCCCCTCCCCTCCCCTCCCCTCCCCTCCCCTCCCCTCCCCTCCTCTCCTGTCCTCTCTTCTCCTCTCCTTTCTTTCCTTTCTTGTCTCGCACTGTTGCCCAGGCTGGAGTGCAGTGGCGTGACCTCTGCTCACTGCAACCTCCGCCTCCCGGGTTCAAGTGATTCTCCTGCCTCAGCCTCCCACGTAGCTGGGATTACAGGCGCCCACCCCAACGCCCGGCTAATTTTTTGTATTTTTTAGTAGAGATGGGGTCTCACTATGTTGACCAGGCTGATCTCGAACTCCCGACCTCATGATCCACCCGCTTCGGCCTCCCAAAGTGCGCCTGGCCTGATCTCTGGGATTTTCGAAACTTCGTGAGACAGGTGCTGTTACAATCATCCCTGTTTTACCAGTAACGGAAACTGAGGCAGACATGGAGGCGGGGGTGTGTTCAAGACCTACAACCAGAAAGAGGCAGAGGTGGGCGCTGAGTGCTGCTCGTTAGCCTTGAACCACTGCACTGGGGAATTAGTGATGAATGATACGTGACTGCCTTTGAAACAACCATGTCTCAGCCCAGGGCAGGTGGCCTGGGCTCCGTGGGCCCTCTCTCTGGAACTAGGACAATTCTGTCCCTCAACTGGGAGCCCAACCTGCCTACCCCTAGTGCTTGAGGCATAACTGTCTTCTATGGCCAGCAATAGAAACTTGAGTCGAGCTAGCTGAAGTCAAGGTGGAAATTGTCAAATTGGATAATTAGGATTTCTATGGGGGCTTCAGGCATGGCTGGATCCAGGAGCTTACATGGTTGTCAGTTTCTCCTCTTTCTCTTTCTCTCTTCCCACGTTTCAGCCCCACCTTTTTCTGCCTCCCTCAGCTGCAGGGTGTGGAATCACTGGAGGAAGACCACTTTCTCTATAGGGATGGAAAGAGGGTCTCTGGTAGCCTGGGGTCCCCATCTTTTCAGAGCAGAATCAAATGGGAAAAGAGACACCCTCTCTCTCCTGGCACCCACAAGTTACACCTCCTGAAGGGTTCCGACCAGCCATGTCAGAAACAAATGACCACTGCTTGAGATAATTTTTATGAACAGGGTGAGGGTGGCCCCCTAACTGGCCAGGCTTGGGCCACACCCCTCTCTTGGGTGATTGACAGGCTTTGGCCACACACCCCCATCTTCAGTGATTGACAGGCTTGGACCACACCCCCCTATCCTCAGTGATTGAAAGGCTTGGACCACACCCCTCTCCTCATTGATTGGCAGTCCTGGAGAACCACACAGCCCAGACAGGGAGTGACCCCAGGGGCGAGGGGTGCTGGGTGCACAGTTTCCATGGATGCAGCAGAGAGGTCAGGGCCAGTAGCAAGCTGGACCAAAGTGGACCGGAGGGAGGCGGTGGGGCTAACGTCCACACTGCCCCTGCCGCCTTCTGTCCATTCCATCACTCATTCACTCTGCATTCTCAGAGTGGCATTCATTCATGCATTCATTCATGCATTCATTCATTTACTCATTTGCTCCACACATTCCATCACTCATTCGCTCTGCATTCTCAGAGTGGCATTCATTCATTCATTCATTCATTTACTCATTTGCTCCACACATTCCGTCACTCATTGGCTGTGCATTCTCAGAGTGGCATTCATTCATTCACTCATTTACTCATTTGCTCCACACATTCCATCACTCATTCGCTCTGTATTCTCAGAGTGGCATTCATTCATTCATTCATTCATTTACTCATTTGCTCCACACATTCCGTCACTCATTGGCTGTGCATTCTCAGAGTGGCATTCATTCATTCACTCATTTACTCATTTGCTCCACACTTGTCAGGAACTAGTGGGCATCATGCATTCACTCTTTCATTTATTCACTCCACTTTTAGGGAGAAAACCCTACACGTCATTGATTTATGTATTCACCCATTCGTTTATCAAGCAAGTCCTGTGTGCTACTCATTCCTTCATTCCCTCCACATTTGCAGGAATGAATCTCTGTGTGTCATTCATTAATTCCCTTCACATTTGTGGGGAATCCCCGGATGTCATTCATTAATTCCCCCCACATTTGTGGGGAATATCTGGGTATCATTCATTCATTCTCTCTACATTTGCAGAAGTGAATCTGGGGTATCATTCATTCATTCCCCCCACATTTGCAGTGAATATCTGGGTATCATTCATTCATTCTCTCTACATTTGCAGAAGTGAATCTGGGGTATCATTCATTCATTCCCTCCACATTTGTGGAGAATCCCTGGATGTCATTCATTCATTCCCCCCACATTTGCAGGGAATATCTGGGTATCATTCATTCATTCTCTCTACATTTGCAGAAGTGAATCTGGGGTATCATTCATTCATTCCCCCCACATTTGTGGGGAATATCTGGGTATCATTCATTCATTCTCTCTACATTTGCAGAAGTGAATCTGGGGTATCATTCATTCATTCATTCCCCCCACATTTGCAGGGAATATCTGGGTATCATTCATTCATTCTCTCTACATTTGCAGAAGTGAATCTGGGGTATCATTCATTCATTCCCCCCACATTTGCAGGGAATATCTGGGTATCATTCATTCATTCTCTCTACGTTTGCAGAAGTGAATCTGGGGTATCATTCATTCATTCCCCCCACATTTGTGGGGAATATCTGGGTATCATTCATTCATTCTCTCTACATTTGCAGAAGTGAATCTGGGGTATCATTCATTCATTCCCTCCACATTTGTGGAGAATCCCTGGATGTCATTCATTCATTCCCCCCACATTTGCAGGGAATATCTGGGTATCATTCATTCATTCTCTCTACATTTGCAGAAGTGAATCCGGGGTATCATTCATTCATTCCCTCCACATTTGTGGAGAATCCCTGGATGTCATTCATTCATTCCCCCCACATTTGCAGGGAATATCTGGGTATCATTCATTCATTCTCTCTACATTTGCAGAACTGAATCTGGGGTATCATTCATTCATTCCCTCCACATTTGCAGGGAATATCTGGGTATCATTCATTCATTCTCTCTACATTTGCAGAAGTGAATCTGGGGTATCATTCATTCATTCCCTCCACATTTGTGGAGAATCCCTGGATGTCATTCATTCATTCCCCCCACATTTGTGGGGAATATCTGGGTATCATTCATTCATTCTCTCTACATTTGCAGAAGTGAATCTGGGGTATCATTCATTCATTCCCCCCACATTTGTGGGGAATATCTGGGTATCATTCATTCATTCTCTCTACATTTGCAGAAGTGAATCTGGGGTATCATTCATTCATTCCCTCCACATTTGTGGAGAATCCCTGGATGTCATTCATTCATTCCCCCCACATTTGTGGGGAATATCTGGGTATCATTCATTCATTCTCTCTACATTTGCAGAAGTGAATCTGGGGTATCATTCATTCATTCCCCCCACATTTGTGGGGAATATCTGGGTATCATTCATTCTCTCTACATTTGCAGAAGTGAATCTGGGGTATCATTCATTCATTCCCTCCACATTTGTGGAGAATCCCTGGATGTCATTCATTCATTCCCCCCACATTTGCAGGGAATATCTGGGTATCATTCATTCATTCTCTCTACATTTGCAGAAGTGAATCTGGGGTATCATTCATTCATTCCCCCCACATTTGCGGGGAATATCTGGGTATCATTCATTCATTCTCTCTACATTTGCAGAAGTGAATCTGGGGTATCATTCATTCGTTCCCTCCACATTTGCAGGGAAGCCCTGGATGTCATTCATTCGTTCCCTCCACATTTGCAGGGAATATCTGGGTATCATTCATTCATTCTCTCTACATTTGCAGAAGTGAATCCTGGGTGTCAGTCATTCATTCCCTCCACATTTGTGAGGAATCCTTAGGTGTCATTCATTCATTCATTCTCTCCACTGTTGCAGGAGTAAATCTCTGAGTGATATTCATTCTCTCTACATTTACGGAAGTGAATCCTGGGTGTCAGTCATTCATTCCCTCCACATTTGTGAGGAATCCTTAGGTGTCGTTCATTCATTCATTCTCTCCACTGTTGCAGGAGTAAATCTCTGAGTGATATTCATTCCCTCTACATTTGTAGGGAATCCTTAGGTGTCAGTCATTCATTCCCTCCACATTTGTGGGGAATCTCTGGGTATCATTTATTCATTCTCTCTACATTTGCCGAAGTGAATCCTGGGTGTCATTCATTCATTCCCTCCACTTTTGTGGGGAAGCCCTGGGCATCATTCATTACTTTTCTCTACATTTGCAGAAGAGAATCTTGGGTGTCATTCATTCTTTCCCTGCACATTTGTGGGAATGAATCTCTGGGTGTCATTCATTCTTTCCCTCCACATTTGTGGGAGTGAATCCTAGGTATCATCCATTCATTCCCTCCACATTTGCAGGAGTGTACCCTGGATGCCATTCATTCATTCATTCCCTCCACATTTGTGGGAGTGAACCCTGGGTATCATTCATTCATTCCCTCCACATTTGCATAACTGAATCCTGGATGTCATTCATTCATTCTCTCCACATTTGTGTGGACGCTCTGAGTGTTATTCATACATGCACCCATTCATTCCCTCCACAGTCATTGGGAATGTCCTGTATCACACACACACACACACACACACACACACACCCTGCATTTACCAAGACCATCCTGGGTGCACAGCTCTAAGCTAAGGACAGCAGACCCAAAGGAGTTTGCAGCAGGTACCTGGTGGGGAGGAGAGGGTCTTCATGGAGGCAGGAGCTGGCACCCATGGGCTGGAATGAAATGCAGACTTCCAAGAGGCTCTGGCAGGTCCATGGTGGGCTGATGCCCCAAGAAGGAGGGTTGAAGGTGTCACTCAAGACTGTGCTGGGTGCAGACAGGCATAAGGAGCTGCATGGGCCAGAGGAATCACAGGAGCTAGGGCAAGGAGATATCTGTGAGTTGGTCCCACCGCTGTGGGGACACAGCTTTCTGCAGGGCCAGGTAGACCACTGTACCAAGGAAACTGGCATAAGCACATCATCTGTGCCTGACAGCGAGCAGGGGAAACACCACCCCAGCCTTTGAGTAGTAGTCACTTGGTAGCTTTGCATTCACCCCTTCCCAGGAGGGTGGTTTAGGGCAGAACCAGGCAGTGAGATTCCTCAGCTCGTTCTGCCTCTCCAGGAATAACTCAGGCAGGCTGAGGGGCTCCTGGGGGCTCAGCTGTTAGTGATACACTGGGGACCCTGTTGAGACCCACTTCTCTTCTTCTTCTTTTTTTTTTTTAGACAGAGTTTTGCTCTTGTTGGCCAGGCTGGAGTGCAGCGGCACGATCTTGGCTCACCGCAACCTCCACCTCCCAGGTTCAAGCGATTCTCATGCCTCAGCCTCCCAAGTTGCTGGGATTACAGACGCCCACCACCACGCCTGGCTAATTTTTTATAGTTTTAGTAGAGACGGGGTTTCACCGTGTTAGCCAGGATGGTCTCGATCTCCTGACCTCGTGATCCACCCGCCTCGGCCTCCCAAAGTGCTGGGATGACAGGCGTGAGCCACCGCGCCTGGCCCGGCCTTCTTTTTTACCCGTATTCTGACTTGTCCCCAACCCCTGCAAAGAGCAGGTGCAAATGCACCTGCCCAGCAGGCCAGGACTATGCTCCAGCCTCAGGGAGCACCAGGATGATACACTTCAGGTCTCTTCTCCTTGGGGAGCTCTCAGTATGCAGTATGGTCCCTGAAATCCCCTTGGGAGGGCAGGGAGGATGAGACAGGCAGCCAGAGACAGGTGCAGAGTTCAGGCTCAGAGGCGCAGGTGTGTTTCCACTCAGATGCGTGTATTTGGAGATTATTGCAAGGCAGAGTGCGGCATCTTCTACATGCCCAGAAAACCTACAGTCTGGGTCCCAAGCACCACGCCCCTTGTCACTCATGGCCCAGGTTCCTTATGCCCTCTGCCCCTCAGTGTCCCCATATGTAAAGCAAAGATGATAAGCGCGTCTTCCTAGGACGGGTGCACAAAAAAACGTTTGCAAACATTCAATGTGACGTCTGCTCTAAGAACAGGCGATGTCACCTGAGGACTCAAGCACACTTGACCTTCTCCTTCCCTGTCATCTCCAGGCAGCTAGGAAGGAAGCTCTGTGTGGCCGGGAAAGACAAGGAGGAAATTGAAACAATGCTGGACTTGAGAACTTGGACGCCTTTCACTGTGGCTCCCTGAGGGACACCGTGAGGTCACTGGTTCACACAGTGGTGGCCACTGCTTCCCCTCCACTCAGGCCCAGCCAAGCTCAAATCAGCCATAGTGACCACAGACAGGGAAGGCTTGCGCAGCCGGCCCCAGACACCCCGGTAGGGACCTGAGGGATGAGGAGGCCAGGCTGGCTACGGCCCCAGTGACGACTGCATCCCCCAAAAGCGGAAGCTCGGCCCTGGGGCTGCCCTGTCCCGGGGAGAAAGGGTCAGCCTGGCTGTGACCGGGGCTCTCTGAGGGACAGGAAGACCCAAGCAACAAGCGGGGGAGCACTGAGACTGCAGGAGCATTCAGGACTCAGCGCGGGCAGGGAGTCAGCCAGGAGGGTGTAGGGGAAGGGCCAGCTCAGACGCAGGAAGTAAACCAGAAACCTGAGGAATGTCCTTCCTGCTTCAAGAGACAATTGTTTCTTGTTGAGATTATGCTTGACATGAACTCACCGTTTTAAAGCGAATAACTGGGGGACATTTAGGACCTTCACAGTGCTGGGCAACAGCCGCCTCTGTCTATTTCCACCACTTTGTCATTCCTGCAAAAGGAAACACCCCCTTTAGGGGGAAAGTCACTCCCCGTTTCCCCATCCCCAGTCCCAGCCATGGTCATCTGCTTTCTCTCTATATGGATCAGCATGTTCTGGGCATTTTATTGAAATGGAGTCCTACACCATGTGGCCTTCTGTGTCTGGCTTCTCTCCCTGAGCATGATGTCTTCAAGGTTCATCCACAGTGTAGCCTCGGTCACAGCCTTCTTCCTTTTCATGGCTGTATACTATTCCACTGTGTGCATGGGGGGGCCACGTTGTGTTTATCTGTCTGTCTGTTGACGGACACTTGGGCTGTTTCCACCTTTTGGCTGTTGTGAAGAGTGCTGCAGGGAACGTTCATATGCAAGTTTTTATGGGTGCAACCATTTTTTGTTGTTGTTGAGACAGAGTTTCACTCTTTTCACCCAGCCTGGAGTGCAATGGCATGATCTCCGCTCACTGCAACCTCCGCCTCCCGGGTTCAAGCGATTCTCCTGCCTCAGCCTCCCAAGTGGCTGGGATGACAGGTGCCTGCCACCACTCCCAGATAATTTTGTATTTTTAGTAAAGACAGGGTTTCACCATGTTGGCCAGGCTGGTCTTGAACTCCTGGCCTCAGGTGATCCACCTGTCTCAGCTTCCCAAAGTGCTGGGATTATAGGTGTGAGCCACCACACCTAGCCCCTTTTTATACATTTTCTAATGCTACCTTCACTTACCAAAATGACATGCAGAAATAATGTATTATACATATAATTATATATACACATAAGGTGATCTATAAAATATGTTGTATATAATTTTATATATGCTATGTTCAATATGTTACATATAATACACAAATTATATATAACATATAAATGATACTATACAATATATCGTATATAATTATTAAATATACATACAATATAACATGTTTAATTTATAATAAAATAAGTTGTAAATAAATTATTATATAACAATAATATATATAAATAATATATGTAATATTATATAATAATAATTTATACATTATATCACTTTATATGATTATGTATATTATTTACATATTAAATTTACATATCCATATAGCCTTAATTACAATATAAAAGAGAAACAAAAGTAAATAAAATGTTAATAAGGTAATATTTAATTTAATGTGTACACATTTACCCATAATTTACAGTAAGGCATCATTAAGGGGCTGGGCGCAGTGGCTCACGCCTGTAATCCTAGCATTTTGGGTGGCCAAGGCAAGTGGATTGCCTGACCTCAGGAATTTGAGACCAGCCTGGGCAACATGGTACAATGCCCATCTTTGCTAAAATTCAAAAATGTAGCTGGGCGTGGTGGTGCACACCTGTAGTTCCAGCTACTCGGGAGGCTGAGGCACGAGAACTGCTTGAAGCCCAGAGGTGAAGGTTGCCGTGAGCCGCCATGAAGCCACTGCACTCCAGCCTGGACGACCGAGTGAGAAACCACCTTCAAAAGAAGAAAAAAGACATTACTAAGGGCTGGGTGCAGTGGCTCAGACCTGTAATCTCAACACTTTTGGAGGCTGAGGCAGGAGGATTTCTTGAGTCTAGGACTTGGAGACCAGCCTGAGCAACAAACTGCAATCCTGTCTCTAAAAAAAAAAAAAAAAAAAAAAAAAGACATTATTACATCATTAAGGAATCAGATGTTTGCTTAACAAATTCTCCACCTGTCTTTATTTGTCTCCAGCTTTTACCTAGGAGGAGAATTGGTGCATGACATGGTTAACTATTTGAGGACACACCAGGTGATTTTTGGAGTCAATTTGCAAACACGCAGGACTTGAATGGGACACAGAGGATTCTAGTTTTTGCTCAGGAAGGTTCCCCAGCTGCCGCTTCTTCTTCTTCTTCTTCTTTTTTTTTTTTTTTTTTTTTTTTACAGGGTTTTGCTCTGTCACGCAGGCTGGAGTGCAGTGGTGTGATCTCAGCTCACTGCAACCTCCGCCTCCCGGGTTCCAGCAATTCTCCCGTCTCAGCCTCCCGAGTAGCTGGAATGACAGGCACCTGCCATGACACCCGGCTAATTTTTTTTGTATTTTTAGTACAGACGAGGCTTTGCCTTGTTGACCAGGCTGGTCTCGAACTTCCGACCTCATGATCCGCCCGCCTCAGCCTCCCAAAGTGCTGGGATGACTGGCGTGAGCCACCGCGCCCGGCCTGTAATGTTAATTTCTTGTGCTGAGGGGTAGCCTAGGATGGGTACTGCTTTGAAATCTTTTAAAATATCCTTTTCTGTGGGCCTGAGAACCTCCCTTAGGTCACAAAGAGAACAAAGAAATGAGTCTCTGTCTATGATCACTGCTACCTTGGGACCCTTTCACCTTTCAGAGGAGAGAGATTGAAACTGGCTCACACGTGGGGAAATACGTATACTGGAGGCTTGTCACAGCTGAGGGTTCCCGTCATTGGGGGTTTGGGTCCAGGGAGCAAGAGAAAAACACACTCCTTTGTGTTCAAAGATGAAAATCTTTCCTGAGTTTAGGGGAGCCCAGCTTTGGGTTTAGGGGAACCCAGCTTTTTAGGTATATAAGGGCCCAGCTTTGGGTTTAGGGGAGTCCAGCTTTGGGTCTAAGGGAGCCCAGCTTTGAGTTGAGGGGAGCCCAGCTTTGGGTTTAGGGGAACCCAGCTTTGGGTTTAGGGGATCCCAGCTTTGAGTTTTAGGGAAACCCAGCTTTGGGTTTAAGGGAGCTCAGGTTTGGGTTTAGGAGAGCCCAGCTTTTGGTCTAAGGCAGCCCAGCTTCAGGTTTAAAGGAGGTCAGCATTGGGTTTAGGAGAGCCCAGCTCTGTGGTTAAGGGAGCTCAGCTTTGGGTTTAGGGGAGTCCAACTTTGGGTTTTGGGGAGCTCAGCTCTGGGTCTAAGGGAGCCCCTCTTTGGGTTTTAAGGAAGCCTGTTTTTGAGTCTAAGGGAGGGTAGCTTTGGGTTTTAATGGAGCTCCTGTTTGGGTTGTTTCTTTTTTTTCTCTCTCTTTAGACAAAGTTTTGTTCTTGTTGCCCAGGCTGGAGTGCAGTGGCGCAATGTTGGCTCACCGCGACCTCTGCCTCCCGGGTTCAAGCAATTCTCCTGCCTCAGCCTCCTGAGTAGCTGGGATTACAGGCATGCGCCTCCATGCCTGGCTAATTTTGTATTTTTAGTAGAGATGGGGTTTCTCCATGTTGGTCAGGCTGGTCTCGAACTCCCAGCCTCAGGTGATCCACCCACCTCAGCCTCCCAAAGTGCTGGGATTACAGGCATGAGCCACCACGCCTGGCTCCTGTTTGGGTTTTAAGGAAACCCCGCTTTGGATCTAAGGGAGCCCAGCTTTGACTTCGGGCAGGAACAAGGTAGTTGAGACCGTCTCGGTTTCTTCTCCAGGGATCTTTCTCTTTGACTGCTTTGCTGAGCACATGGCTGGAAACAGGATGAGCAGAATCCACCAGATCACAATTAAAGTATCCTAAGGCAAGTCCGCGTCAACTCACACTGAGCAACGATCTTTATTTATTTATTTAAATTAAAATAATTGATTTTATCTTTCATTTAAGTTTTAGGGTACATGTGCACAACGTGCAGGTTTGTTACATATGTATACATGTGCCATGTTGGTGTGCTGCACCCATTAACTCGTCATTTAGCATTAGGTATATCTCCTAATGCTATCCCTCCCCCGTCCCCCCACCCCACAACAGTCCCCGGTGTGTGATGTTCTCCTTCCTGTGTCCATGTGTTCTCATGGTTCAATTCCCACCTATGAGTGAGAACATGCAGTGTTTGGTTTTTTGTCCTTGCGATAGTTTGCTGAGAATGATGGTTTCGAGCTTCATCCATGTCCCTACAAAGGACATGAACTCATCATTTTTGATGGCTGCATAGTATTCCATGGTGTATATGTGCCACATTTTCATAAATGGTGCTGGGAAAACTGACTAGCCATATGTTGAAAGCTGAAACTGGATCCCTTCCTTACACCTTATACTAAAATTAATTCAAGATGGATTAAATACTTAAATTTAGATCTAAAACCATAAAATCCCTAGAAGAAAACCTAGGCACTACCATTCAGGACATAGGCATGGGCAAGGACTTCATGTCTAGAGCAACGATCTTTAAACAGAGAGCAGCTGTTAGGAAGTCAAGCCTGCGAACCTTCCTGTCACCTCTCTCTCATCTGTTAAATGAATCTGTCTGCCATAACCTGCTAAAACCATGGGCACTGTGGCTCAGTAACGGCAGAAGTGCTTAAATTTCAGCATACGTGCTATTTCCACACTCTTCTTTTGCAGCAGGGCAGGAGCCACACACTCAACCACTTTGGGTTTTTTTTTTTTTTTTCACCAAATGGCATTTCATGTTAATTAGCTTAATTCCACGTACAGTGGCTTCCTGCCTTCCAGAGTGAGGCCGATTTTGCTGCTGTTGAGACATCCTCACCCATACACACACACACACACACACACACACACACCACACACACAAATTAATTTTGTTTCAAAAAGGGGCTTCTTATGTTTCTCAGAATCTGCTCTCTGGCCAGCGATGAAGCCCCGTGCTATATACTCTGAGAATGAGATACAGAAATCAGAGAAACGCGGCCGCTGCCTTTGCAGAAGACGCAGATCAAAATCTCCACGGGGCGTCTGCGGAGGACAGCATGCAAATCTCGCTGGGCAAACGGTCTGCTTCGTTGGGTGATGCAATACAGGAAAATCAACACACAGCGGCAGAGCTCAGAGCATTTCCTACGCGTTTTTGTGCTTAGCTAGGAGGATTCTTGCCTTGTGATCTGAGGCCGACGCCAGCAGGTCCTCTATCCCCTGACGCCTGCCAGCTGCCAGTTCACTGGGGCTGGTGGGTCACTTTGAAGTCAGTAGAACACAGAGTTCGTTCAGAGGCAGGTGTTATCACAGAAACAGGGGTCACTGGGTCTACAAAGATGGGGAACTTTGAGGGTGCGAGGGTTGGAAGCTGAGCTCCACTAAACCCAAAGCTGGACTCTCCTAATCCCAAAGCTGGACTCTCCTAATCCCAAAGCTGGACTCTCCTAATCCCAAAGCTGGACTCTCCTAAACCCAAAGCTGGGCTCCTTAAACCCAAAGCTGGGATCCCTTAAGCCCAAAGCTGGGATCCCTTAAACCCAAAGCTTGAAGAAAATGTGACTACCTGGCCGGGCACGGTGGCTCACGCCTGTAATCCCAGCACTTTGGGAGGTCGAGGCAGGTGGATCACCTGAGGTCGGGAGTTCAAGACCAGCCCGGCTAACATAGTGAAATCCCATCTCTGCTAAAAACACAAAACTTAGCCAGGCGTGGTGGCAGGTGCCTGTCAGCTACTCTGGAGGCTGAGGCAGGAGAATGGCTTGAACCCGGGAGGCGGAGGTTGCAGGGAGCCGACGTTGTGCCATTGCACTCCAGCCTGGACCACAGAGCAAGACTCAGCCTCAAGAAAAAAAAAAAATGTATTGCGTGCTGCAGAGTGACCTAAAGGTCAGAGGGTGCAGGGACCGTCTTCTTGTGACCAGCATTCAATGAGAGTTCCGGTACTTCATCTGTTGGTATCTCTAGATCTTAGTCACCCTGAGACCTGTCGGCCGGCATGTCTCGGCGGTATTAATTTGCAATTCCCTGATGAGCTACGACATGGAGTGATTTTTCGTAGGTGAATTTGCCACCTGCAAAGCATCTTTCGTGAGGTGGCCCATGTTTAAATGGTTTTTTTTTTTTCCAGTGGTTGAATCTTAAGAGTTTTTTTTGGCACATTTTGCATACTGGTTCTTTGTTTTAAAAAAAGTTCTTTTATTTTCTTTTTATTTTACTTTAAGTTCTGGGGTACATGTGCAGAACATGCAGGTTTGTTACATAGGTGTACAGGTGCCAGGGTGGTTTGCTGCACCCATCAACCCGTCATCTACATTAGGTATTTGTCCTAATGCTCTCCCTCCTCTATCCCCTCACCCCCCGACAGGCCCTGGTGTGTGACGTTCCCCTCCCTGTGTCCATGTGTTCTCATTGTTCAACTCCCACTTATGAGTGACAACATGCAGTGTTTGGTTTTCTGTTCCTCTGTTAGTTTCTCAGAATGATGGCTTCCAGCTTCATCCATGTCCCAGCTTACACAGGAGGCTGAGACAGAAGGATCTCTTGAGGCCAGGAGTTCGAGGCTGCAGTGAGCGGTCATTGCACTACTGCCCCCAGCTTGGTTGACAGAGAAAGGCCCTGTCTCAAAAAAAAAAAAACCCGGGAAGCGCAAGCTGCAGTGAGCCAAGGTCGTGCCACTGCAGTCCAGCTCAGGAGACAGAGGGAAACTCTGACTCAGCCAATAAAAAAAAAAAAGAAAGAAAAGAAAGAAACATGTCAACCTCTGTTGCTGTGATGAAAATATGAGTTGAAACCTCTCACCCTTCAGGCTAGTTGCTGTCACCCTTGTTGATGAGGGTGTGAGAATGAGTGTTGCCCTTGTCTATCAGCTGTAAGCACATATTGGTGAAATTTATTGGGTGGATATTTGGTGATATTCCCTGTGTTTCTATCTTCTGGAAGGAATGGTAGAGAATCAATATAATTTCTTCCTTAAATGTTGGGGAAAATTCATCAGTAAACCCATCTGGGCCTGGAGCCTTTTGTTTGGGAAGGTTATTAAATTATCGATTCAATTTCTTTAAGAGATATAGGCTCACTCAGATTGGCTGTTTCTTCTTGTGTGAGTTGTCAGATTTTATCCTTTTGTTCTTTTCATCTAGGTGATCAATTTTATGGGCACAGAATTGTTTATAATATTTCTTTATGATCTTTTTAATGTCCATGGGATCTGTAGTGATGTCTCCTCTTTCATTTACAGTATTAGTAACTTGTGTCCTCATTCTTTGTTGTTGTTAGCCTGACTAGAAGCTTATTACTCTCATTGATTGTTATTTCAAAGAACAAGCCTATGGTTTTGATTTTTGTCTATTGACTTGCTGTTTTCAATTGCACTGATTTCTGTCCTCTATGGATTTCCTATTTTCAAATCCACTGATTTCTCCTCTAATCTAATATTTATGATTTATTTCTTTCTTCTTCCATTAGATTTAATTTGCTCTTCTTTTTCTAGTTTCTCGAGGTGGAAACTTAAATTATTGATTTTAGATCTTACTTCCTTTCTAATACATGCATTCCATTTAAAATATGCAAACCCTTCAAATCAGCAGATCTTCTCCTAGAAATCGATCCTAGAAAATGTTCTCACAGGTATGCATAAAAATACTTACAGAGGAGTGTGTGTAAGCACACAGGCTGAAGCAGAGTTGATCCATCCAAATCCCCTCACTGTGGGGCATATGGTTAGAGACACCACAAGACATTCACAAAAGTGGTGACGGGTGTATGTCCTACTATGCAAAATAAAACTTACCTGTGTATGAAAGGAGGCTCCAGAGCAAACGAACTCCCAGAGGTTACTTCTGAAGGGAAGTGGGACCTGGAGGGGAAAGATCCAAAGACAAACACGAATACAGAGCTCTCTATTTCTCTTTATTCTTTTACTCATAACAAGTGTGTGTGTGTGTTCTGTAATTGGAAGATCTAAAAATTAAACCAAAGTTGAAAACTCAATGGTGTCTGGAAGTTCAGAAGAGGTTGCATCTGCTTCTGTGGCTGAGGGGACTTGGAATGTGGGAACCTGGAAGTGGTGGTATCAACCCCGGTTTTATTAGGATAAGTTGCAGTTCAGTGGGGAGGGACCACCAGAAAGGCAGACAGCAGGGGGCAGGAGGCTTCTGGTATATTCCATGATAGTCTTTGCACCATGAGCCCACCACCTAGCTTCTCTGTTTTCCCAGCCCCTGCTATCTATGTTCACATAAAAAGATACCTGTACCGGGAGCAGTGGCTCACACCTGCAATCCCAGCACTTTGGGAGGCCGAGGTGGGTGGATCATAAGGTCAGGAGTTCGAGACCAGCCTGGCCAACATGCTGGAACCCCCATCTCTACTAAAAATACAAAAATTAGCCAAGCATGGTGGCAGGCGCCTGTAGTCCCAGATATTCAGGAGGCTGAGGCAAGAGAATCGCTTGAACCCGGGAGGCGGAGGTTGCAGTGAGCCGAGATCGTGCCACTTCACTCCAGCCTGGACAACAGAGCGAGACTCTGTCTCAAAAAAATAAATAAATAAATAAAAGATACCTGTGCCACTTCAGCTTCCCATATTGAAAACCACCAACTCTCTTCCTACTTCCTCCCTCCCAAAAGGACCTGTCTGTCACCCTACAACCTCTCTGCAATCTCTTATCTACAGTCTGCCTTCTGCAATCTCTCTAGTTTATATGATCCCTGTTTGCAAAAGATATGTTGGTAATAATTTCTGCTTCCCTGCTGGGCACACACACACACACACACACACATACGCCTGCCAGCACCATTTTTCATTTTAAAAGCATTGGTGTCCATCATACAGAGAAATGCTTAGGATTGGAAACAGGAGATACCAATGGAAGGTTCCACATGAGTCAAGAACTTCTCTTTGTTATTGCTTCTGGCCACAGCTCTGACGTCTGACCCCACCCCAGCTCAGGGGCCCAAGAGATGCTTTAGCTCATGTTCCATCTGTCTTCCTGAAGACCAGGTCTCCTCCTCTGTGATGGGGTGGGAGGTCCGTGACGGCAAGGCAATGAGGGGCACGTGCAGGCATTTTAAGGAATCGCTCTTCATCCACAGCTGGTCACTAACCATGATGAGACCACTGTCCCTTTCCACGACACCAGCTTCTTGCTAGGAACATCTGCCTGGGGTCTTTTCTCTCCCCGAAAGCCTCTTGCAGACATTCTTTGGAAAGTACTCCTGAGCTCTGTGTGTTTGTTGAAGGCTGCTCTTGTCACACAGTTGCTTGAGGGCAGGTTTCTCAGCCTTAGCACTGCTGACATTTCAGCCCAGATGATCCTCTGTGGTGGGGCCATCCTGTGTACTGTAGGGTGTTGAGCAGTGTCCCTGGGATCTACCCACCAGATGCCAGACGCATCTTCCCAATTATGATACCTGAATCATTCACATTTGCAAACTATTGAATGGATAAATAATTGATGCATAGATAAATAATTGATAGATTGATGAACACGTATATGTGATTGTTAGATAACTGATTCACAGATGATAGATGTAATTAATAGATAACTGATTGGTAGGTAATTGATATGAATAGATGAAAGATCCATAGAAAGATGATTGATTCATAATTGATAGATATGATTGCTAGATAGATAAGTAATTGATAGAGAGAAAATTGATAGGTAGATAGATGATCGATTGATAGATAATTGATATAGATAGATGATAGATCAAGGGTTGCAAGACGATTGATATAGATAGATGATAGATGATAGATGGATGACAGGGGTTAGATCAACAAATGGATTCATGGATAGACAGATGGTGAATTTCTTCTTCTTCTTCTTCTTTTTTTTTTTTTGAGATGCAGTCTTGCTCTGTCGCCCAGGCTGGGGTGCAATGGCACAATCTCAGCTCACTGCAACCTCCGCCTCCCAGGTCCAAGTGCTTCTCCTGCCTCAGCCTCCCAAGTAGCTGGGATTAGAGGCACCCGCCACCACACCTGGCTAGTTTTTGTATTTTGAGTAGAGACGGGGCTTCACCGTGTTGGCCAAGCTGGTCTCAAACTCCTGACCTCAGGTGATCCACCCACCTCGGCCTCCCAAAGTGCTGAGATTACAGGTGTGAGCCACTGCTCCAGGCTGACGGTGAAGTTCTTATGCTCATGCCAGGTTGTCAACCTCAGCACTGTAGATATTTGAGGCTGGATGCTTCTCTGTGGTGGGGACCCTCCTGTGCATGGTAGGGTGTTGAGCACCATCCCTGGGCTCCACCCACCAGATCCCAGTAGCATCCTTCCTTAAGTTGTGGCAACCAGGGATGTTTCCTACATTTCCAACTATTCTTGAGGGTAGGGGAAGCCTTCTAGGTGACCCTTGTTCTTCTAGACCTGGCATCAGCCACCCTTGGCTACCTCTCAAACATCTATATGACCCATTATATTTCTTTTTTTTTTTTCTTTTTGAGGCAGAGTCTCACTTTGTCACCCAGGCTGGAGTGCAGTGGTGCCATCTAGGCTTACTGCAAGCTCTGCCTCCGGGGTTCATGCCATTCTCCTGCCTCAGCCTCCCGAGTAGCTGGGACTACAGGCACCCGCCACCACGCCCGGCTAATTTTTTTTTTCTTTTTTGTATTTTTAGTAGAGAAGGGGTTTCACCGTGTTAGCCAGGATGGTCTCCATCTCCTGACCTCATGATCTGCCCACCTCAGCCTCCCAAAGTGCTGGGATTACAGACATGAGCCACCGTGCCCAGCCGACCCATTATATTTCTAAATCGATATCAAGGACTCTTGCTCAAACAGGTCTGGGTGCACTAACAGTGACCCTGAGACCACATTGTAAAATCCTGAACAACTTGGTCATAGGAGGTGTCCCAAAGCTGGATTCTTCCTGTGACCCTTGTAGGTCAGCACCAGGTGTATACCTGTACCTCCTCCCTCCTGGAGCTGGAAGGGGTCTGATGCCTGGGTCATGGAGAGCTCTGGACAGCCCCTGTGCCATAGATCCACATGTCAAAGGTCAAGAAGATGTCTTGGCCCCTGCAGGGAGATGCTTGAGCAGGGAGCTCTGAGCCTTGCTTCCTTCCCTACCCTAGTGGTTCAATGCAACCATGGCAGGTGAGGAGAGGGTCCTATGCAGCCATTCCTCCTGGGCTTTGGCAAATCACATCATAATCTATATGCTCCACTCTGCTAGTGTTGGACATTTCTCAACAGTAAGTCAACCAAAGAAAGGGGGACTGCATGAATACATGTTGTTGTTGTTATTGCTTTGCAGTGCCGTCTTTATATCTTCAAGTCTTGAGATCCTTGTCTTCCATTGAGTTTCTGAGGCCCATTGGCTTGTTCCTCATTTCTTTCTCTTATCCTATAATCTTGTGCTTTTCATGCTTTATCTTTCTTTTAAGGTTCTTCCTCTCTTTTATTTGGTATGATGACGCTTTCTCTAATTTCTTTGAAGTCTGTTGGTTAAAACTTTTCCTCTCTTTTCTCGGTGTATTGGTTTGCGACAGCTGCCATAACTAATTACCACTGATGTGGTGGCTTAAATAACAGCAATGCATTCTCTCCCCATCCTGGAGACCAGAAGTCTGAGATGAAGGTATTGGCAGGGTTGGTTCCTCATTAGGGCTCTGAGGGAAAATCTGTTCCAAGCTTTGCTGCAGCTTCTGGTGATTTTCTGGAAACAATCGGCATTTCATGGTGGATAGAAGCATCCATCCATGCATCATCTATTCATCCATCCACCCATCTACCCACCCACCCATCTACCCACTCATCCATCCATCCACCCATCCATCCACCTACCCATCCACCCACTCATCCATCCATCCACCCATCCATACATCTGCCCATCCATCTACCCATCAACCCATCCATTCATCCACCCATAAATCCAGCCACCTAAACACTGATCCATCCATCCACCCACCCACCCACCCACTTATCCATCCCTCCACACAGGCATACACCTATTCATCTATCCATCCACCCGTCTATCCATCTACCCATCCATCTACCCATCCTCATCCATTCCTCATACATCCATTCACCCATCCTCCCACTCATCCATCTGTCCACCCATCCATCCACCCACACGTCCAACCACCTAAACACTGATTCATCCATCCACCCACCCACTTATCCATCCATCCATCCATCCATCCATCCACACACCCATACACCTATTCATCTATCCAGCCACCCATCTACACACCCATACACCTATTCATCTATCCAGCCACCCATCTATCCATCCACCCATCCATCTACCCATCCTCATCCATTCATCATACATCCATTCACCCATCCATCTACCCATCCTCATCCATTCATCATACATCCATTCACCCATCCTCCCACTCATCCATCTGTCCACCCATCCATCCACCCACACGTCCAACCACCTAAACACTGATCCATCCATCCACCCACCCACTTATCCATCCATCCATCCATCCATCCATCCATCCATCCATCCATCCATCCATCCACACACCCATACACCTATTCATCTATCCAGCCACCCATCTATCCATCTACCCATCCATCTACCCATCCTCATCCATTCATCATACATCCATTCACCCATCCTCCCACTCATCCATCTATCCACCCATCCATCCACTCACACGTCCATCCACCTAAACACTGATCCATCCATCCACCCACCCACTTATCCATCCATCCATCCATCCATCCATCCACACACCCATACACCTATTCATCTATCCAGCCACCCATCTATCCATCCACCCATCCATCTACCCATCCTCATCCATTCATCCTCCATCCACTCACCCATCCTCCCACTCATCCATCTATTCACCCTCCCATCCACCCACCCATCCACCTACTCATCTATTCATCCACCCATCCATACACCCACCCATCCATCTACCCATCAACCCATCCATTCATCCACCCACACATCCACCTATCTAAACACTGATCCATACATCCACCCATTCACCCACCTACCCACCCATTCACAAACCCGCCTACCATTCATCCACCCATCCACCCTCCCATCCACCCACCCATCCATCCACTCATCCATGCATCCGTCCATCCACCCACTCATCCATCTATCCACCCATCCATCCACCCACCCATCCACCTACTCATCTATACATCCACCAATCCATCTACCCATCAACCATCAATGCATCCACCCACATATCCACCTATCTAAACACTGATCCATCCATCCACCCATCCACCCACCCACCCACTCACCCATTCACAAACCCACCCACCATTCATCCACCCACCCATCCATCTACCCATCCCCATCCATTCATCATCCATCCACCCACCCATCCACCCAGTCATCCATCTATCCACCCATACATCCACCTACTCATCTATACATCCACCCATCCATCTACCCATCAATCCATCCATTCATCCACCCACACATCCACCTATCTAAACACTGATCCATCAATCCACCCATTCACCCACCTACCCACCCATTCACAAACCCACCTACCATTCATCCACCCACCCACCCATCCATCCACCCATCCATGCATCCATCCATTCACCCAGTCATCCACCTACTCATCCATACATCCACCCATCCATCTACCCATCAACTCATCCATTCATCCACCCACACATCCATCTATCTAAACACTGATCCATCCACCCACCCATCCACCCACCCACCCACTCACCCATTCAGAAACCCATCCACCATTCATCCACCCATGCATCCATCTACCCATCCCCATCCATTCATCATCCATCCAACCCCCCATCCACCCACTCATCCATCTATTCACCCATCCGTCCACGCACCCATCTACCTACTCATCTATCCATCTACCTACTCATCTATCCATCCACCCACCCATCCATCCACCCATCCATCTACCTACTCATCTATCCATCCACCCACCCATCCATCCACCCATCCATCTACCCATCAACCCATCAATTCATCCACCCACACTTCCAGTTATCTAAACACTAATCCATCCATCCACCCATCCACCCACCCACTCACCCATTCACAAACCCACCTACCATTCATCCACCCATCCACCCTCCCACCCACCCCCATCCATCCACCCACCCATCCGCCCACCCATGCACTCATCCACTCACCCGCCCATCCATCTACCCATCCACATCCATTCATCATCCATCCACCAACCCATCCACCCACTCATCCATCTAGCCACTCATCCATCCACCCACCCATCCACCTACTCATCTATACATCCACCCATCCATCTACCCATCAACCCATCAATTCATCCACCCACACATCTATCCACCTAAACACTGATCTATCCATCCACACATCCACCCACCCACCCACCATTCATCCACACATCCACCCTCCCACCCATCCACCCATCCATGCATTCATCCATACATCCTCCCATCCATCTACCCATCAACCCATCCATTCATCCACCCACACATCCTATCTAAACACTGATCCAGCCATCCACCCACTCACCCACCTACCCACCCATTCACAAACCCACCTACCATTCATCCGCACACCCACCCTCCCACCCACCCACCCATCCACCCATCCATCCACCCACCCATCTGCCCACCCATGCACTCATCCACTCACCCACCCATCCATCCATCCACCCACCCATGTACCCATTCATCCACCCATCTATGCATCTACCCATCCATCCACCCACCCATCCATCCATTTATTCATCCATCTACCCATCCATCCACTCTCGTCTCTGTCTTCATCTTTCCATGCCTTCTCTCTGTGTCTGTGCCTAAATTTCTCTTTCTCCTAAGGACGCCAGTGAATTTTATTAGGGCCTCTCCCTACTCTATTATGACCACATTTTGACTTCACTAATGACATAGACGCAGACCCTATTTCTAAGTAAGAAATGGCCATAATACCGAGAGTATCAGCCAGGGTGTGGCCCACGACAACTTCCTTCTACGTAATCAAAGTAGGTAATTGAAGCCAGCGTCTGTTTTGTCTTCCAAATCCACAGCTCCAACAGAGTGCCATTTGCTGTCTTTGGGGTTGAGGGCCTCCTGAGGCAGCCCTATCAAAAGAACCACAAACTGGGTGGTGCAAACACCCCCAGAAAACAGAAAGGAGAGCAGACGACAAGCACGGGGCTGGCTTGTGGTTCCTTAGGGCTGGGGCCTCTCACTCCCCTGTGTGTTCAACAGCTGGGACAGCCCCCAGCACTCAGGAAAGAGGGGTGGTTATAGCCAGAAGACAATAGCTGGCAAAAAAGGGTCTGTCACCGGCATGCAATCCCTGCTGCCCACGAGGAGATGCCTTTTGTCTATTTCTCATCCCAACCCTGTAAGGTCCACCCGGAACAAGACTGTAGTGATCACTGCACTCAGCATCTGAACCCTTTAGAAAGGGGTTCCCAGGGCTGGGAATGAGGGAAGAGCAGCTTTATGCACAATAGCCAAGAATCAGGAACACGCCAGGCGCGGTGGCTCACACCTGTCATCCCAGCACTTTGGGAGGCCGAGGCGGGCAGATCATGGGAGGTCAGGAGTTTGAGACCAGCCTGGCCAACATGATGAAAGCTTGTCGCTACTAAAATTATTAAAAAAAAAAAATGGGCTGGGTGTGATGGCTCGTGCCTGTAATCCCAGCACTTTGGGAGGCCGAGGAGGGTGGATCATACATCAGAGGTCAGGAGTTTGAGACCAGCCTGGCCAACATGATGAAACCCCGTCGTTACTAAAATTACAAAAAAAAAAAAAAAAAAAAAATGGGCTGGGCGCGGTGGCTCACGTCTGTAGTCCCAGCACTTTGGGAGACTGAGGAGGGTGGATCACCTGAGGTCAGCAGTTCACAACCAGCCTGGCCAACATGGTGAAACCCTGTCTCTACTAAAAATACAAAAATTAGCTGGGTGCGGTGATGCATGCCTGTAGTCCCAGCTACTCCAGAGGCTGAGGCAGGAAAATTGCTTGAACCGGGGAAGCGGAGGTTGCCGAGAGCCGAGATCACACCATTGCACTCCAGCCTGGGCAAAAAGAGCGAAACTCCCTCTCAAAAAAAAAATTACAAAAAAATTAGCCAGGCGTGGTGGCAGGTTCCTGTAGCCCCAGCTACTTGGGAGGCTGAGGCAGGAGAATTGCTTGAACCCAGGAGGCGGAGGTTGCACTGAGCCAAGATCGCACCACTACACTCCAGCCTGGGCAACAGAGCAAGACTCCATCTCAAAAAAAAAAAAAAAAATCAGAAAGAACAAAAATGTCCATCCACAGGAGAATGAATAAACAGAATGTGGTCTATCCACACAGTAGACTATTATGCACCCACTGAAAGGACTCAAGCTCTGACCCAGGCTGCAGCGTGGATGAACTTTGAAGACCCCTGGCTCAGTGACAGAAGCTAGACACAAAAGACCACATATTGTAGAATTTTATTCTTATAAAATATCTAGAATAGGCAGATCCACAGAGACAGGAAGCAGATTTGAGGTTCACAGGGGCTGGGGACAGGAACGAACAGGATTAGCAGTTGTGGGGTTCTGAAGGGTTTTTGTTTTGTTTTGAGATGGAGTTTTGCTTTTGTTGCCCAGGCTGGAGTGCAATGGTGTGATCTCGGCTCACTGCAACCTCTGCCCCCTACCCAGGTTCAAGCGATTCTCCTGCCTTAGCCTCTGGAGTAGCTGGGATTACAGGCATGTGCCACAACACCCGGTTAATTTTTTTTGTATTTTTAGTAGAGACAGGGTTTCACCATGTTGGGAAGGCTGGTCTTGAACTCCTGACCTCAGGTGATCCACCTGCCTCGGCCTCCCAAAGTGATGGGATTACAGACGTGAGTCACCGCGCCTGGCCCATTTGTTTTTGTTTGTTTGTTTGTTTAATTTTAGTAACAACAGGATTTCACCATGTTGGCCAGGCTGGTCTCGAACTCCTGACCTCAGGTGATCCACCTGCCTCGGCCTCCCAAAGTGCTGGAATTACAGGTGTGAGCCATGATGCCCGGCCAGGTCCTGAGTTTTGTTTAGGGATAAAAATGGTTCTGGAATTGCATTATGGTGTTGTTTGCACATCTGTGAATATATTAAAAACCATTGAACTGTATGAATGAGTGAAAGCTTATGGTACGTAACTCACGTCTTGGTAAAGCTGTTTTTTTGTTTGTTGGTTTTGTTTTGTTTTGAGACAGAGTCTCGCTCTGTTGCCCAGGCTGGATGGAGTACAGTGGTGCGATCTCGGCTCACTGCAAGCTCCGCCTCCCGGGTTCAGGCCATTCTCCTGCCTCAGCCTCCCGAGTAGCTGGGACTCGCCACCATGCCACCACGCCCGGCTAATTTTTTTGTTTTTTTGTTTTTTTAGTAGAGATGGGGTTTCACCGTGTTAGCCAGGATGGTCTTGATCTCCTGACCTCGTGATCTGCCCACCTCGGCCTTCCAAAGTGCTGGGATTACAGGTGTGAGCCACCGTGCCCGGCTGGCAAAGCTGTTTTAAGAAGAAATAAGTGAGAGGGCTGGAGGAGATACACACAGACCCTCAAGAGGAGAGAAACATTGCTGGATGCATTGCTGCCAGACAGGTGTGCATTTACCTGCAAAGCATAAGAAAAAGGGTCCAACCTGGCCAGGTGCAGTGGCTCACGACTGTCATCCCAGCACTTTAGGAGGCCGGGGCTGGTGGCTCACCTGAGGTCAGGAATTCAAGACCAGCCTGGTTAACATGGTGAAACTCTTTTTGGGGCTACAAAAAGTAAAAAATCAGCCAGGCGTGGTGGTGCATGCATGTAATCCCAGCTACTCAGGAGGCTGAGGCAGGAGAATCGCTTGAAGCAGGGAGACAGAGGTTGCAGTGAGCCGAGATCACGCCATTGCATTCCAGCCTGGATGACAGACTGCGAAAAGAAAAGAGGGGAGAGGGGAGAGGAAAGGAGAGGAGAGAGGGAAGGAGAGGAGAGAGGGAAGGAGAGGAGAGAGGGAAGGAGAGGAGAGAGGGAAGGAGAGGAGAGAGGGAAGGGGAGAGGGAAGGAGAGGGGAGAGGGAAGGAGAAGGAAGGGGAGGGGAGAGGGGAGAGGGAAGGGGAGGGGAGAGGGGAGAGGGAAGGAGAGGGGAGAGGGGAGAGGGGAGAGGGGAGAGGGGAGAGGGGAGAGGAGAGAGGGAAGGGGAGGGGAGAGGGGAGAGGGAAGGAGAGGGAAGGGGAGGGGAGAGGGGAGAGGGAAGGGGAGGGGAGAGGGGAGAGGGAAGGGGAGGGGTGAGGGGAGAGGGAAGGGGAGGGGTGAGGGGAGAGGGAAGGGGAGGGGAGAGGGGAGAGGGAGAGGGGAGAGGGGAGAGGGGAGAGGGGAGAGAGGAGAGAGGAGAGAGGAGAGGAGGGTCCCACCTACAGCCCCTGAGCGCCCACCTGTGGTCTGTCCGTTGCTTCAGACAATTCAGTGCCCAGAAATTTCTGGACAGCCACCTCTGCAGGCCAGACACCGCCAAGAACAACCGTTGTGCTGATTTTCTAAAATTTCCATCCTGCCCGCTGAGCCCCGGCGGGGCCCAAACCGCAAGCCTGTGCCTCCTGTGTCAGGGCAGCTGGCATCAGTTAGAGGTAATTTCTTGATTAGTCATGCGCGTTCCTCAGCAGTCCTGGCTGTCTGTCTTCCCCGGGGGCTGTCCGGTGGCCACAGGGCACAGACTCGAAATGGCAACAGATCTGGCTGCCAAGAGGCTGCTTGCTGGATCCCCAGACCACACAGGTACAGACACGAGGGTGGCCGGGTGAGGCCGCCACCGTAGGACTTTCAACAGCACGTGGTGTTTAAATGTGTGCGAGGCACTGCTGCCTACGTGGAGAGTTAAAGCAACAAATTCCAGCCCAGGTGTGTTGCTCACACCTGTAATCCCAATGCTTTGGGAGGCCGAGGCAGGAGGATTGCTTGAGGCCAGGAGTTTGAGACCAGCCTGGGCAACATAGCCAAACCCCATGTCTACAGAAAATAAAAATATTAGCTGGGCAGGGTGGCATGCACCTGCAGTCCCAGGTACTCAGGAGGATTGCTTGAGGCCAGGAGTTTGAGACCAGCCTGGGAAATGTAGCAAAACTGTGTATCTATAAAAAATAAAAATGTTAGCTGGGCACGGAGGTACTGTCACCTGTAGTCCCAGCTACTCAGGAGGCTGAGGCAGGAGGATTGCTTGAGGCCAGGAGTTTGAGACCAGCCTGGGAAACATAGCAAAACTCTGTATCTACAAAAAATAAAAATATTAGCTGGGCGTGGTTGTACTCTCACCTGTAGTCCCAACTACTCAGGAGGCTGAGGCAGGAGGATTGCTTGAGGCCAGGCGTTGGAGGCTGCAGTGAGTTACGTTTGCACTACTGCCCTCCAGCCTGGGCAACAAGGCAAGACCCCATATCTATAAAACAAACAAACAAAAGAACAATTCCAGGGCACCCCTGTTTCCAGCTCTGTCCACTTTACATTCTCAAAATAAAAGTAGTGTCCCTTTGACAGACACTTTTTCATCACCAGCTCATGGATAAAGCGTCTCTCCTTCCAGACGTCCCCCACGGCCACACCAAGCGGAACCCAAAGAAGGAAGGGTCTGCTTTTCCTCCTGAAGCCATAGGTGGCTGGAGGTGCCCAGCTGGCCGTGGGGAGCGGTGCTGACTCGTGCATAACTGTAGGTTTCACACCTGGGCACGGACCGGCGGGTCAGAAAACTTCTCCCTGAAACTGAAACGAAAACTCCGGGCCATTTTAAAGCCAGCTTGAGGAAGCTGTTTGTAGAGCAGTTGGTAAGAAGTCGCAGGTCTCCTCTGGAGGAAGAAAGAGCAGGGAGGAGCCGTGGGTTGACGCGGGTGTTAAAAGCTGGAAAGACTTTGGAGGCTGCGGGTTGGTCTCCTGGCACTCGGAGTGTGTGTTTTCTGCTGATAGACACTTTGTGGGTGGATGCCCCTGAGATGAGAGGACTCATACCCAGACTAATACTGCCAGGGTGTCAAGAATTCCCATTAAGACCACCCTGGGGGCTGACGGTGGCTTTGTGGTTTCCGTCCACGGGGGACACTGAGTCTTGAGGTTTGTATGACAATGCATTCAACCTGCCCAGGGGAGCCACAGCCCCACTGTGGATCATCTAAGAGTCTCAGCCTCTGACGTGGGCCGAGGTCTCCAATGACCTCCCTGATCCAAGGAAGGACGGGAGGGAGGGAGGGCGGGAAGGAAGGAAGGAAGGAAGGAAGGAGGGAAGAAGAGAAGGAAGGAGAGAGGAGGAAGGAAGAAGAAAGGGGAGAAGACAGGAAAGAAGAAAAGAATGACACAGGGTGAAGAAAGGAGGCAGAGAGGGAGGGAAGGAAGGAGGAGAGGGAAGGAGGAACTAAGGGAGGGAGGGAGGGAGGAGACAGCAGGCCCTGCTAAAGCATCTCCCCCGCCTTGGTCCCCGGGGAGCGGCGCTCAGGAGCCCTCCCGGCAGCCGCCTCTTTACCTGCGCCCCTGACCCGTACACCCTTCCCTCCTTCCCTTGCAGAGCCCGGGCGAGGACCCCTCCAGGATGCAGGTCCCGAACAGCACCGGCCCGGACAACGCGACGCTGCAGATGCTGCGGAACCCGGCGATCGCGGTGGCCCTGCCCGTGGTGTACTCGCTGGTGGCGGCGGTCAGCATCCCGGGCAACCTCTTCTCTCTGTGGGTGCTGTGCCGGCGCATGGGGCCCAGATCCCCGTCGGTCATCTTCATGATCAACCTGAGCGTCACGGACCTGATGCTGGCCAGCGTGTTGCCTTTCCAAATCTACTACCATTGCAACCGCCACCACTGGGTATTCGGGGTGCTGCTTTGCAACGTGGTGACCGTGGCCTTTTACGCAAACATGTATTCCAGCATCCTCACCATGACCTGTATCAGCGTGGAGCGCTTCCTGGGGGTCCTGTACCCGCTCAGCTCCAAGCGCTGGCGCCGCCGTCGTTACGCGGTGGCCGCGTGTGCAGGGACCTGGCTGCTGCTCCTGACCGCCCTGTCCCCGCTGGCGCGCACCGATCTCACCTACCCGGTGCACGCCCTGGGCATCATCACCTGCTTCGACGTCCTCAAGTGGACGATGCTCCCCAGCGTGGCCATGTGGGCCGTGTTCCTCTTCACCATCTTCATCCTGCTGTTCCTCATCCCGTTCGTGATCACCGTGGCTTGTTACACGGCCACCATCCTCAAGCTGTTGCGCACGGAGGAGGCGCACGGCCGGGAGCAGCGGAGGCGCGCGGTGGGCCTGGCCGCGGTGGTCTTGCTGGCCTTTGTCACCTGCTTCGCCCCCAACAACTTCGTGCTCCTGGCGCACATCGTGAGCCGCCTGTTCTACGGCAAGAGCTACTACCACGTGTACAAGCTCACGCTGTGTCTCAGCTGCCTCAACAACTGTCTGGACCCGTTTGTTTATTACTTTGCGTCCCGGGAATTCCAGCTGCGCCTGCGGGAATATTTGGGCTGCCGCCGGGTGCCCAGAGACACCCTGGACACGCGCCGCGAGAGCCTCTTCTCCGCCAGGACCACGTCCGTGCGCTCCGAGGCCGGTGCGCACCCTGAAGGGATGGAGGGAGCCACCAGGCCCGGCCTCCAGAGGCAGGAGAGTGTGTTCTGAGTCCCGGGGGCGCAGCTTGGAGAGCCGGGGGCGCAGCTTGGAGATCCAGGGGCGCATGGAGAGGCCACGGTGCCAGAGGTTCAGGGAGAACAGCTGCGTTGCTCCCAGGCACTGCAGAGGCCCGGTGGGGAAGGGTCTCCAGGCTTTATTCCTCCCAGGCACTGCAGAGGCACCGGTGAGGAAGGGTCTCCAGGCTTCACTCAGGGTAGAGAAACAAGCAAAGCCCAGCAGCGCACAGGGTGCTTGTTATCCTGCAGAGGGTGCCTCTGCCTCTCTGTGTCAGGGGACAGCTTGTGTCACCACGCCCGGCTAATTTTTGTATTTTTTTTAGTAGAGCTGGGCTGTCACCCCCGAGCTCCTTAGACACTCCTCACACCTGTCCATACCCGAGGGTGGATATTCAACCAGCCCCACCGCCTACCCGACTCGGTTTCTGGATATCCTCCGTGGGCGAACTGCGAGCCCCATTCCCAGCTCTTCTCCCTGCTGACATCGTCCCTTAGTTGTGGTTCTGGCCTTCTCCATTCTCCTCCAGGGGTTCTGGTCTCCGTAGCCCGGTGCACGCCGAAATTTCTGTTTATTTCACTCAGGGGCACTGTGGTTGCTGTGGTTGGAATTCTTCTTTCAGAGGAGCGCCTGGGGCTCCTGCAAGTCAGCTACTCTCCGTGCCCACTTCCCCCCACACACACACCCCACCCTGTTGCTGACCAAGGTGATTTTTGGCACATTTGTTCTGGCCTGGCTTGGTGGGACCCCACCCCTATTCTGCTTCTGTGAGTCCCTGATAGAGAAGGAGGTCCCATCAGGCCCCTGGAACACACTCAGGCTTCCCTGACTCAGGACAAGGACCACGGGAGGCCCAGGTGCGGAAAGGAGGCTCCGTGAGATGGGGTCCAGCCCATCCCAACACAAGGGTGCAGCTTGATTCGGGAGTTCCCCACCTCCTGCCCATTCTCCGCGTCCTTTTACCCCATGGAGAGCCTCAGCCATGGCAAGTCCATCTGGAGTCCAGGAAGCAGGCAACTGGCCTGACCCATGAGACCGTTTGGAGACCAAGCAGCAGATGCAGGTGTGGACCCCAGGAACCTACAGGGGTGTCAGCCGCTGAGCCCCCTCCCTGCTGTGTGGGTGGTGAGCAGGCTGGGTCTTTGTCTGTCTTCTTCTACACGGCATGTGCCTGCACCAGCCCCAACACCTGAGCTGGTTTAGCGCAAAGAAGAGCTCTGACTCTCCAGGGGTGCTGGGACATCACGTGGAATTGGATCCCAGGCTCTCTTGGGCGAGAAAGACCATTCTGGAGGTGGGAGTGGGAGAGCTGCCTGTCTGCCCACGGGCTCTGCGTCTCCGCAGTGGGTGGCCTTGGATGCCCGGCCCCTCCCTTTCTGTGCACTGGGGACGCTGATGGAGGCTGAAGCTGCTGTTCGGAGGCCCTCTATTGGTGCCTCTCTCCTGCCGTCATCACTATGGCAGGAAAACAGAGATGGTTTAGTAATGAATTATCATTCCCAAACCCGTGTCCACCTGGAACATCAGGATGGGACCATGTTTGAAAATCGGGTCTTTCCAAATGTAATTAAGTAAGGCGAGGCCATACTGCATTTACAATGGGCCCAATCCAGTGTCCCTATGAGAGACGGAAGAGGAGACACAGACACAAAGCAGGAGGCCACATAAAGACAGAGGCAGAGACTGAAGTGATGCTGCCCCAAGCCCAGGGATGCCTGGAGTCCCCAGGAGCTGGGAGAGGCAGGAAGGACCCTCCCCTAGAGTCTCTGGAGGGAACTGGATACAATTGCAGAGTGCACTAAACAGTTGCCCCAGAAAGACATGTCTTGTTTTAAAGCCCAGAACCTGAAATTATTATAGATTTTATTCGGTAATAAGGAACTTTGCATGTGTAATTACTTAAGGATATGAAGATGAGATTGTGCTGGATTATTAAGCACCCTAAATGCCATGACAGGTGTCCTTCCAAGAGACAGAAGAGGAGACACAGACACAGAGCAGGAGGACACGTGGAGACAGAGGCAGACTGGAGTGATGCGGCCACAAGCCCAGGGACACCTGGAGCCCCCAGGAGCTGGGAGAGGCAGGAAGGATCCTCCCCTAGAGCCTCCAGGGGGAACTGGAGGATGCGTAAGAGACCCAGAACTTCCACAGAAGGAGGAAAATTAACCTCCTGCTTCTCTAGACTGTTCCAAAGCTGAACCCTAGAAAGCAAAGCTGATACAGAAGCATCCAGGCTGCAGGAGTACAGGTCGCAAGTGCTGAGCGTGGGCCTTGGGTGTGTCTCATGGGGGAAAAAAAACTGTGAAAAACCTCAGAGTAGCATCTTCACAGTAACGCACGGACGATCCCTAAACTGCCTTGTAAACAAAAATGAGAGCTTGAGTCAGAGGAAGCCGAGACAATATCCTTCCTCGACAACGTGCGAGAACCCTGACGTCCCCCAGCAAAGGAAGACGTTGCAAGCAGGCAAAATGCGTCGATTTTTTTTTTTTGTCAGTATGATGATTTTTGCAGCCACTTGGCTATGGAGAGCAGCCGACACCCCCTCTTACAGCCGTGGATGTTTCCTGGAAGCTGACTCAGTCTGTTCACTGGTTGAGCTTTGAGTGAAAAGATAACACAGGTCTATTGACTCACACACATGTTTTAAGATGGAAAACTTTACTTCTGTTCTTGGCAGGACATGGAGAGAGGGAGGGATTCCAAAAAGTCTCAGCCTCCATCAAGGCGTGGCAGCTCATGCCGGTAATCTCAGCACTTTGGGAGGCTCAGGCGGGAGGACTGATTGAGTCCGGGTGTTCAAGGGCCAACCTAGGCAACACAGTGAGAACTCATCTCTGTAAAAAATAAAAATAAAACATTAAAAAAAAACATGAGCTTTGAAGTGCACAGGGCAAATGTGTTTCTGTCTCTGATTTCTGCAGGGCTTGCATTTTAAACACAGATCCCATTTTATGCTGGATCCAATGTCTTATCCTCTTCATAGGCTCCTTGTCTTGGTCCATTTATCCTGCTGGAAACAAACAAAAAACCAAACAAACAAAACACCATTGCATTACTCAGAGATCTCTAGAGGGACAGAACTAATAGGATAGATAGATAGATAGATAGACAGACAGATAGACAGACAGACAGACAGACAGATAGAAGATAGATTAGATAGATAGTAGATAGATTAGATAGATAGATAGATAGTAGATAGATTAGATAGTAGATAGATAGATGGATAGTAGATAGATTAGATAGATAGATAGTAGATAGATTAGATAGATAGTAGATAGATTAGATAGATAGGTAGATAGATAGTAGATAGATTAGATAGATAGATAGTAGATAGATTAGATAGGTAGATAGAGAGTGGATAGATTAGATAGTAGATAGATAGTAGATAGATTAGATAGATAGTAGATAGATTAGATAGATAGATAGTAGATAGATTAGATAGATAGGTAGATAGTAGATAGATTAGATAGATAGTAGATAGATTAGATAGATAGATTGACAGTAGATAGATTACATAGATAGATAGTAGATAGATCAGATAGATAGATCAGATAGATAGATTAGATAGATAGATAGATGATAGATCAGATAGTAGATATATTAGATAGATAGAGAGAGAGAGAGAGAGAGAGATTGAGAGAGAGAGAGAGGAGTTTCAGGCCAGGCACAGTGGCTCACACCTGTAATCCCAGCACTTTGGGAGGCCGAGGCAGGTGGATCACCTGAGGTCAGGAGTTCGAGACCAGCCTGACCAACATGGTGAAACCCCATCTCTACTGAAAATACAAAAATTAGCCGGGTGTGGTGGTGCATGCCTGTAATCCCAGCTACTCGGGAGGCTGAGGCAGGAGAATCGATTGAACCCGGGAGGTGGAGCTTGCAGTGAGCCGAGATCGCACCACTGCCCTCCAGCCTGGGTGACAGAGTGCAACTCAAAAATAAATAAATAAAAATAAATAAAGGGAAGTTTATTAAGTAAACTTCCTGGGTGACAGAGTGAATCTCAAAAATAAATAAATAAAAATAAATAAATAAATAAAGGGAAGTTGATTCAGTATTAACTCACATGATCATGAGGTCCCACAATAGGCCGTCTGCAGGCTGAGGAGCAAGGAGAACCCATCCCAGTCCCAAAACTGAAGAACTTGGAGTCAGATGTTCAAGGGCAGGAAGCATCCAGCATGGGAGAAAGATGGAGGCTGGGAAGCTAGGCCCGTCTCTCCTTTTCACATTTTTCTCCCTGCTTATATTCTAGCCTCGTTGGCAGCTGATTAGATGATGCCCACCCAGATTAAGGGGGGGGGGGTCTGCCTTTCCCAGTCCACTGACTCAAATGTTCATCTCCTTTGGCAACACCCTCACAGACACACCCAGGATCAATACTTTGTATCCTTCAATCCAATCACGTTGACTCTTGGTATTAACCATCGCAACCATCAACTGGGTGGCTCACAAACAATAGACATTGCTTGCCACAGTTCTAGAGGCTGGGGCCGGGTGTGGTGGCTCAAGCCTGTAATCTCAGCACTTTGGGAGGCTGAGGCAGGTGGATCACGAGGTCGGGAGTTCAAGACCAGCCTGGCCAACATGGTGAAACCTCGTCTCTACTAAAACCACAAAAATTAGCCGGGCATGGTGGCGGGCACCTGTAATCTCAGCTACTAGGGAGGCTGAGGCAGGAGGATTGCTTGAACCCAGGAGGCAGAGGTTGCAGTGAGCTGAGATCATGCCACTGCACTCCAGTCTGGGTGACAGAGCGAGACTCTGCCTCAAAAAAAAAAAAGACAAATGGATACATGATAGATGGATAGATAGGTACATACACAGGTAGATAGATGATAGATTGATAAATGGGTGATAAGAGATAGATAGATAGATAGATAGATAGATAGATAGATAGATGAATGATAGATGATAGATGGATAGATGAATATATAGATGATGGATAGATGGATAGATAGATGGATAACAGATTGATGATGGAAAGATAGACAGATGGATAGATAGATGGATAGAAGATAGATAGATAATAGATTGATGATGGAAAGATAGAAAGTTGGGTAGATGGATAGAAGATGATAGATAGATAGATGATAGACAGATGATAGATGGATAGTTATACAGATGATAGATAGATGGATACATAGATAAACAGAATGGATGGATAGATAGATAACAGATGATAGCTAGATAGATGATCGGTAGATAATGGATACACAGATGGATAATACATACATAGACAACATAAGGAGGGGATAAATGATAGATGAGATAGATAGGTAGATAAATAGATAGATGATAGGTAGGTAGAATAGATAGATGATAAATGGGTAGATTGATAGATGATATATCTAATGATAGATGATAGATACATAGATGATAGATTGATAGATGATAGACAGATGAATGATAGATAAATGATAATACTAAATACATAGATGGATAGATTGATAGATGATAGACATACAAATGATAGATACATAGATACATAGATGGATAGATAGATATATAGATAGATGATAGACACATACATACATACATACAGATGGATAGATACATACATAGATGATAGACACATACATACATACATACATAGATGATAGATACATACATAGATGGATACATAGGTGATAGATACATACATACATAGATGGATACATAGACGATAGATAGACAGATACATACATAGATAGATGGATAGATAGATGATAGACACATACATAGATAGATGGATAGATAGATGATAGATACATAGATACATAGATAGATGGATAGATAGATGATAGATACATGCATAGGTGGATAGATAGATGATAGATACATACATACATAGATAGATGGATAGATAGATGATAGACAGATACATACATATATACACAGATGGATAGATAGATGACAGATAGATACTTACATAGACAAATAGATGATAGACAGACACATACATACATAGATGGCTAGATAGACAGATGATAGATACATACATAGATAGATGATAGACAGATACATCCATACATAGATAGATGGATAGATACATAGGTAGGTGATAGATAGGCAGATATATACATACATACATAGATGGATACATAGATAGATGATAGATACATAGATAGATAGATAGATAGATAGATAGATAGATAGATGATAGATACCTACATACATAGATAGATGGATAGCTACATAGATAGATGATAGATACATACATAGATAGATAGATGGATGATAGGTAGATGATAGATTGATAGATGATAAATTAATATATAGATGATGGATAAATGGATAGATGGATAACAGATTGATGATGGAAAGATAGATGGATAGAAGATAGATAGATAATAGATTGATGATGGAAAGATAGAAAGATGGGTAGATGGATAGAAGATAGATAGATAGATGATAGTTAGATAGATAGATAATAGATGGATAGTTATACAGATGATAGATGGATACATAGATAAACAGAATGGATGGATAGATAGATAATAGATGATAGCTAGATAGATGATAGGTAGATAACGGATACACAGATGGATAATAAATACATAGACAACATAAGGAGGGGATAAATGATAGATGAGATAGGTAGGTAGATACAATAGATAGATGATAGGTAGGTAGAATAGATAGAAAGATAGATGATAGATGGGTAGATTGATAGATGATATATCTAATGATAGATGATAGATACATAGATGATAGATTGATAAATGATAGATAGACAGATGAATGATAGATAAATGATAATACATAGATACATAGATGGATAGATTGATAGATGATAGACAAATGATAGATGCATAGATGGATAGATTGATAGATGATAGACAAATGATAGATACATAGATGGATAGATAGATAGATAGATAGATAGATAGATAGATAGATAGATGATAGACAGATACATACAAACATACAGATGGATAGATACATGGATAGATGATAGACAGATACATACACACATAGATGGATAGATAGATAGATGATAGATAGACATACATACATACATAGATGGATACATAGATAGATGATAGATACATACATACATAGATGGATAGATAGATACATACATACATAGATAGATGGATAGATAGATGATAGATGCATACATAGATAGGTGGATAGATAGATGATAGATACATACATAGATGGATAGATAGATGATAGGTAGACAGATACATACATAGACGGATAGATAGATGATAGACAGACACATACATAGATAGATAGATGGATAGATAGATTGATAGATGATAGACAGATACATACATAGATGGATAGATTGATAGATGATAGACAGATACATACATAGATAGATAGATGGATAGACAGATGATAGACAGATACATACATACATACATAGAGGGATAGATACATAGATGATAGATTGACAGATACATACATACATAGACAGATGGATAGATACATAGATTGATAGATGATAGACAGACACATACATACATACATAGAGGGATAGATACATAGATGATAGTTTGACAGATACATACATACATAGACAGATGGATAGATACATAGATTGATAGATGATAGACACATACATACATACATAGAGGGATAGATACATAGATGATAGATTGACAGATACATACATACATAGACAGATGGATAGATACATAGATTGATAGATGATAGATACATACATACATAGATGGATAGATAGATGATAGATACATACATACATACATACATAGATGGATAGATAGATACATACATACATACATAGATGGATAGAGAGATACATAGATATTATGGCTAAATAGATGGAAGAGTGATAGATACATAGACAAGATAGATGGATACATGACAGATGAATAGCTGGATAAATGATGGATAACATGGATACATAGATAGATGATAGACAAACCCTCTCATGCTGACTCAGGGTTCCCCCACCTCAGCACAGCTGACATTTGGGGCTGGAGGACTCTCTGTGGTGGGGCCATCCTGGGCACTGTACGGTGCTGAGCAGAGACCCTGGGCTCCACCCACCAGATGGGAGCAGCACCCCTGCACTGCACGCACACCTCCAGACGTGATGGCCAAAAATATCTTCAGACATTGCCAGGTGTCTCCTGGACGGTAGGATCTCCTCAGTTGCTGGCAACTGAATTACACAAAACCCACACACATGCACACATTTGAGAATCTTTGAACCTCCAACCATGCAATGCTGGCTCAATGCAAAACAGAACATTAAGGATGGAAGCCCAGCCTGGTGGGACGGGGTGTATGAGTTTGCTGGGGTTGCCATAGCAAAGTCCTGTACGCTGTACAGCTTAGACAACAGACATCGATTCTTCCACAGTCCTGGAGGCTGGAGGTCTGAGGTCAAGGTGTGGGCAAGGCTGGCTCCTCCTGAGGCCTCTCTCCTGGGCTTGGAGACGCTGTCTTCTCCCTGTGTCCTCACAGGGTCGTCCCTCCATGTGTGTCTGTGTCTTCAGCTCCTCTTCTCCTCTTCTTATCAGATGTCTTAGTCCATTGCAGGCTGCTATCACAGAATACCATAGACTGGGTTGCTTATTAACGACAGGCATTGGTCGGGCACGGTGGCTCACACCTGTAATCCCAGTACTTTGGGAGGCCGAGGTGGGTAGATCATGAGGTCAGGAGATCGAGACCATCCTGGCTAACATGGTGAAACCCTGTCTCTACTAAAAAATAGAAAAATAAATTAGCCGGGCGCGGTGGCGGGTGCCTGTAGTCCCAGCTACTTGGGAGGCTGAGGCAGGAGAATGGCATGAACCCAGGAGGCAGAGCTTGCAGTGAGCCCAGATCGCGCCACTGCACTACAGCCTGGGTGACACAGCGAGACTCCATCTCAAAAACAAACAAACAAAACAAAACAAAACAAACAAACAAACAAAAAACAGGCATTGGCTGGGCACAGTGGCTCATGCCTGTAATTCCAGCATTTTGGGAGGCTGAAGTGGGCGGATCACCTGAGGTCGGGAGTTCAAGACCAGCCTGGCAAACATGGAGAAACCCCATCTCTACTAAAAAATACAAAAAATTAGCCAGGTGTGGTGGCGGTCCCAGATACTCGGGAGGCTGAGGCAGGAAAGCCACTTGAACCTGAGAGGTGGAGGTTGCAGTGAGCCAAGATCGTGCCACTGTACTCCAGTCTGGGCGACAGAGCAAGAGTCAGTCTAAAAAAAAAAAAAAAAAGCAAAGAAAAATCTGAAAGTCACGGAAGGGCACATTGAGAGCAGGAGGAGGCTGCAGTAGTCAGGGCTCCAGAGCAGTTAAACCTCTGCCTGCTGGGGTTTCAATGATGTGGCCGTAATGGAGAACTTATAGGGATAAATACAGGCATGTTAAAGGCTGCTGGACCCCATCTCTGGTTAGCACTCCTTCTGGAATGCTGGTATGGGGGACTGAGTTGATTCGTGCCTCCCCATAGATATGTCCACCTGGTGAATGGCACCTTATTTGGAAATAGGGTCCTCACATGTGCAATTAGTTCATGATTTCAAGATATCATGCTGGATTAAGGTGGACCCTAAGTCCAATGACAGGTGTCCTTGTAAGAGACAGAAGAGGAGACACAGACACAGAGGAGAAGGCCACGTGGAGATGGAGGCAGAGACTGCAGTGATGCGGCCACAAGCCCAGGGATGCCTGGAGCCCCCAGGAGCTGGAAGAGGCAGGAAGCACCCTCCCCTAGAGCCTCCAGAAGGAAGCAAACACAATTGCAATGGTTTAGATGGTGAGCTCCAAACCATATGTCCATGTCCTAAGCCCCAGAGCCTGGGAATGGGACCTCATTTGGAAAAAGGATCTTTGCAGATATGATTAACAATCTGGAGATGAGATCATCCTGGAGAAGGACGGGCCCTAAACACAATGACAGGTGTCCTTGTAAGAGACAGAAGAGGAGACACAGACACAGAGAAACCCACGTAGAGACGGAGGCAGAGACTAGAGTGATGCGGCCACAAGCCCAGGGATGCCTGGAGCCCCCAGGAGCGGGAGAGGCAGGAAGGACCCTCCCCTAGAGCCTTCGGAGGGAGCGTGGCCCTGCCTATTCCTTGATTTCAGATGTCTGGGCTCCAGAGCTGTAATACAATTAAGTTTTGCTGTTTTAAGCCCCAGGGTTTTGAGTGACAGTTACCAGCAACCCCCACTGTAGGTCACTAAACCCTCCAGCTTTGCCTGTACCCGTGTAGGAAGAGGCAGCCTTCACTTCATCTTCTATAGAGAATTACTGTAATTTCCTTTGCTATTTTTCTTTATGTTTAATATCTCACCCGCAGCTGGGCCCGGTGGCTCACACCTGTAATCCCAGCACTTTGGGAGGCTGAGTCGGGTGGATCACCTGAGGTCAGGACTTCGAGACCAGCCTGGCCAACACAGCGAAACCCCATCTCTATTAAAAGTACAAAAATTAGCTCGATGTGATGGCAGGTGCCTGTAATCCTAGCTACTCAGGAGGCTGAGGCAGGAGAATCGCTTGAACCTGGGAGGCGGAGGTTGCAGTGAGCCGAGATTGCACCATTGCACTCCAGCCTGGGCGACACAGTGAGACTCGGTCTCAAAAAACAAAGAAAGAAACAAACAGAAAAGAAAGAAACAAACAAACAAAAACCTTCACCTGCATGGAGTTTATGTTATATGCAGTACAGTTTATAAACTTATGATTCCTTCTATCGCTTCAAAACGAAGAAAGTTACTTCTCCAAAATTCTGAAATGTGAATCTATGTGCTTTTTAAAATTTTTTTTCAAAAACTCACAATATTGAAAATCAGACATCACATGGTTTAGATGCTTTTTTCCTCTCTTTTATTTGGCTCTTCTGTGACTTCTCTGACTACAGTTTTTCGTTTTCTCCGTAATGTGTTGGACACCCTCGGATGTCATTCCACAGTTAACAAAATTAACTGTAGGATTCCATTTTCTGCATCTACACATCACTGGCATAGGCTCTGGGTATATTATTATTTTTGACATTTTATTTTAAAATCTTTTGAGTCACAAAGGCTGGGGAAACAGTGCCCGGAGTCTCCACGCCACGCTGGGTTTATGTGGAGCAGGTGCGGCTGGGCTCTGGGGTTTAAGAAAAATCCTCGCACAGCTCACGCGCGCCCCCTGCAGCCTGCGGCGCGCAAGGGACCCGCTGCCCTGGAGGTGGGCTCCGTTTAGGGAGGGAAGGCACAGCCGGGCGTCCCCCACCTCACAGCGCCCGCCCTGGTCCCATCCCTGCGCCCCCAGCACCGCGCCCCCAGGGGGTCCCCACGCCGCGCCCATCACCACGCCCGCGCGGATCCCCAGTGTCCACGCCCCTCCCACAAGGACCCCCACCTTCTCCACGCCCCTCCCACCAGGCACGCGGGGACCCCCCCCCCACCCATCTCCCCGCCCTTCCCACCCGGCCCGCGGGGACCCCCATATCCATACCCCTCCGAGCATTCTCGCGGGGACCCTCATCTCCAAACCCCTCCCACCATCCCCGCGGGGATCCCCATCTCCACGCCCCTCCCACCAGGCCCGTGGACACCCCCATCTCCACGCCCCTCCCACCAGGCCCGTGGACACCCCCATCTCCACGCCCCTCCCACCAGGCCCGTGGACACCCCCATCTCCACGCCCCTCCCACCAGGCCCGTGGACACCCCCATCTCCACGCCCCTCCCACCAGGCCCGTGGACACCCCCATCTCCACGCCCCTCCCACCAGGCCCGTGGACACCCCCATCTCCACTCCCCTCCCACCAGGCACGAGGACATCCCCATCCCCACGCCACTCGCACCGGGTCCGCGGGGAACCCCCTATCTCTACCTTCCCCGACGCGGCTCCCACAAGACCCCCATCTCTGCGCCGGGCCCCTCCACGTGCGGGTAAGAACCCCCCACCCCCACAACTGCCCACAACCGCAGCTGCGGAAACCCAGCATTTCCACTCCCCACGCCGCGCCTGCAAGGAACCCCAAGTATCCACGCCAGCCTTTCCTCCCCGGGACCCCGCAGCTGCCTGCGCCATTGCAGGTCTTGGCGCCGCAGGCGGGGTGGGGAGGGGCGGGGCGAGCGCCGGGGGCGGGGACGGGGCCCGGGAGGCGGAGCTGGGGGCGGTGCTTCACCAAGCGGCCGGGGCGGTGCCCGGGGGGGAGGCGGGCGGGGGTGTGGCCTGGGCGTGGCCTCACGGGGAGCTCAATGGCGGCGTGGCATGGGCGTGGCCTGGCGGAGAGGGCAAGGAGGTGTGGCCTGGGCGTGGCCTGGCGGAGCGGTCAATGGCGGCGTGACATGGGCGTGGCCTGGCGGAGAGGGCAATGGAGGTGTGGCCTGGGCGTGGCCTGACGGAGAGGGCAATGGAGGCGTGGTCTGGGCGTGGTCTCAGGGGAGATCAATGGGGCGTGACATGGGCGTGGCCTGGTGGAGAGGGCAATGGAGGTGTGGCCTGGGCGAGGCCTGACGGAGTGTTCAATGGAGGCGTGGCCTGGGCGCGGTCTCGCGGGGAGGCCACTGAAGGCGCGGACTGGGCGTGGCCTCGCGGAGGCGGGCGGGGGCGTGGCCTCGCGGAGGCGGGACTCTGGCCGCCTGTTTTTTTTGCAGCCGCGCTGCGCGCACCGCGGGCTCCGGGCTCAGAAGTGCGGACGCCCGGCTCCCGGCGTGGACGCCATGGTGCTGTGCCCGGTGATTGGGAAGCTGCTGCACAAGCGCGTGGTGCTGGCCAGCGCCTCCCCACGCCGTCAGGAGATCCTCAGCAACGCGGTACGGCCTGGGCCTGGGCGGGGCAGGGGACCGGGGACGGAGGGGCTGAACCCCGGAGGGCCCAGCGACTCAGGAACTCTAGGGATAGGGATGGGAGAGTGACCCGAGACCCTTAGGGATGGGGGAGGGGAGAGTGTCCCGGGACCTCCAGGGATAGGGTTGGGGAGAGTGACCCGGAACCTCTAGGGATGGGGGAGGGGAGAGTAACCCGGAACCCCCTAGGCATGGGGGTGGGGAGTGACCTGGGTCCCCATAGGGATGGGGGAGGGGATCGTAACCCGGGACCCCTAGGAATGGGGAGGGTAGAGTGACCCAGGACCGCTAGGGATGGGGACAGCAGAGTGACCCCGGAGCCCCATGGATGGGGATGAGGAGAGTAACCCGGGACCCCCAGGCATGGGGATGGGGAGAGTAACCCGGGACCTCCAGGGTTGGGGATGGGGAGAGTAAGCCGAGACCCCCCCTAGGGATGGGGGTGGGGGAGTAACCCGGGACCCCTAGGGATGGGGGAGAGGAGAGTAACCCGGGACCCCCAGGCATGGGGATGGGGAGAGTAAGCCGAGACCCCCAGGAATGGGGTTGGGGAGAATAACCCGGGACCCCTAGGGATGGGGTTGGGGAGAGTGACCCAGGACCCCCTAGGGATGGGGGAGGGGAGAGTAACCCGGGACCCCCCTAGGGGTGGGGGAGGGGAGAGAAACCCGGGACACCTTAGGGATGGGGTTGGAGAGAGTAACCTGTAACCTGGGACCCCCTAGCGATGGGGGTGGGGAGAGTAACCCAGGACGCCCTAGGCATGTGGTTGGGGAGAGTGACCCGGGACCCCCTAGGGATGGGGAGGGAGGAGTGACCCAGGACCGCTAGGGATGGGGACAGCAGAGTGACCCCGGAGCCCCATGGATGGGGATGGGGAGAGTAACCCGGGACCCCCAGGCATGGGGATGGGGAGAGTAACCCGGGACCTCCAGGGTTGGGGATAGGGAGAGTAAGCCGAGACCCCCCTAGGGATGGGGGTGGGGAGAGTAACCCGGGACCCCTAGGGATGGGGGAGAGGAGAGTAACCCGGGACCCCTAGGAATGGGGAGGTCAAGTGACCCGGGACCCCCCTAGGGATGGGGGTGGGGAGAGTGACCCGAAACCCCTAGGCATGGGGTTGCAGGGAGTGACCCAGAACCCCCTAGGAATGGGGATGGGAGAGTAACCTGGGACCCCCTAGGGATGGGGGAGGGGAGAGTAAGCCGGGATCCCCCTAGGGATGGGGGTAGGGAGAGTAACCCGGGACCCAAAAGGATGAGGGAGGGGAGAGTGACCTGGAACCCCTAGGCATGGGGTTGGGGAGAGTGACCCAGGACCCCCTAGGGATGGGGGAGGGAAGGGTGACCCGGGACCCCCAAGGAATGGGGAGGGGAGAGTGACCCAGGACCACCTAGGGATGGGGAAGGGGAGAGTAACCCAGGACCCCCTAGGGATGGGGGTGGGGAGAGTAACCCAGGACGCCCTAGGCATGGGGTTGGGGAGAGTGACCTGGGACCCCCTTAGGGATGGGGAGGGAGGAGTGTCCCAGGACCCCCTAGGGATGGGGAGGGAGGAGTGTCCCAGGACCCCCTAGGAATGGGGAGGGGAGAGTGATCCAGGACCGCCTAGGGATGGGGGAGGGGAGAGTGATCCGGAATCCCTAGGTATGGGGGAGGGGAGAGTGACCCAGGACCCCCTAGGAATGGAGAAAGCAGAGTGACCCGGGACCCCTAGGGATGGGGGAGGGGAGAATAACCCAGGACCCCTAGGGATGGGGGAGGGGAGAGTGAGCCAGGACCCCCTAGGAATGGGGAGGGCAGAGTGACCCGGGACCCATAGGGATGGGGGAGGGCAGAGTGACCCGGGACCCCTAGGGATGGGGGAGGGGAGAGTGATCCAGTACCGCCTAGGGATGTGGGTGGGGAAAGTAACCTGGGACCCCTAGGGTTGGGGGAGGGGAGAGTAACCCGGGAACCCTAGGGATGGGGGAGGGGAGAGTAACCCAGAACCCCTAGGGATGGGGTTGGGGAGTGTGACCCGGAACCCCCTAGGGATGGGGGAGGGGAGAGTGACCCAGAACCCCTAGGGATGGGGGAGGGGAGAGTGACCCAGAACCCCTAGGGATGGGGGAGGGGAGAGTGACCCAGAGCCCCTAGGGATGGGGGAGGGGAGAGTGACCCAGGATGCCCTAGTGATGGGGGAGGGGAGTGTGATCCAGGACCTCCTAGGGATAAGGGAGGGGAGAGTAATCCAAGACCCCTAGGAATGGGGGAGGGGAGAGTAACCCGGGACCCCCTAGGGGTGGGGGAGGGGAGTGACCTGGGACCCCTAGGGATTGGGGAGGTGAGTGACTCAGGACTTCTAGGGATGGAGTGGGCCCTGTGACTGATGGTTGGACTTTGTAGCTGGGGTATGGGAAGTGTTTCCTGGTGCCCCCATGAGGATCTTATTCCGGGTGGTAGGACGCCTAGGTAGTGGGTGTCTGCCTCTCTCTGGAGCCCTAATCACATGGAGGAGACGGTCTAGTGATGAAGGGATAGTTACTTGTGATGGGGGGTAGTTACTGGTGACAGGCGGATAGTTATAGGTGATGTGGGATAGTTACTGGTAATGGGGTGATAGTTACTGGTGATGGGATAGTTACTGGTGATGGGGGCATAGTTACTGGTGATGGAAGGATAGTTACTGGTGATGGGGGATAGTTACTGGTGATGGGAGATAGTTACTGGTGATGGGGCGTAGTTACCGGTGATGAGGGATAGTTACTGGTGATGATGGGGCATATTTACTGGTGGTGGGGGTTAGTTACTGGTGATGGTGGGATAGTTACTGGGTTTGATGATGGGGCATAGTTATTGGTGATGGGGGTAGTTACTGGTGATGTGGGGATAGTTACTGGTGATGGGAGGATAGTTACTGTTGATGGGAGATAGTTACTGGTGATGGGGGGATAGTTACTGGTGATGATGGGGCATAGTTACTGGTGATGGGGGATAGTTACTGGTGATGGTGGATAGTTACTGGTGATGGGGGGTAGTTACTGGGTTTGATGATGGGGCATAGTTACTGGTGATGGGGGGTAGTTACTGGTGATGTGAGGTAGTTACTGGTGATGGCAGAGAAGTTACTGGTGATGGTAGGGTAGTTACTGGTTGCCTATGGATGGTGCAGTGGGGCAGGAGTCTACTCTTGGGGACTACGGACTGGAGGTCTGGTACCCTGGGAGGGGGGACACCACATGCCTGGTCCTAGTGACGGGGATGAGAGTGGTCAGGGTGCCTCACAGAAGGCATGGGTCTCCATGATTGGGGGTGACAGGGCATAGGGCAGGGGTCTATATGATCTGGGGTTGAGATCTGCAGGGCAGGTCCAGGGCTTGGTGACTGGTGCCCTGAAGACCAGGATGGGCGTCAGGGCCAGGATCTGGGGGCACCTTCAAGAGGTGAGGAGCGCTGAGGAGTGTAGAAGAGTGGAAGAAAGACGAAAAAAGAAAAGCAGCTTCACAGTCAAAGACGGGTTTATTTTGGAGAACAAGCCTGAGCGGGGCTTCTGGCTGAGTTAGGTCAGGAGTGTTCTCTCTTACAGACTAAGGGTATTTAAGGGTTTAGGAAGGGGAATCTTATCGCAGGCTCGGAATGTTTCCCTGTGAGGCAAAGTTGACTGAGGTGTTAGAATGTCTCTGGTCTGAAGGAGGTTATCTTGGGCTTGGGATGTTTCTGGTCAGAGGCGGTTTATTTCAGGCTTTGACTGTTTCTGGTCATGCTGACATTAGCCATTAGGCTGATGTTTTGGGGCTGGTTTTAGGCAGTTTTTAATCACGGGAACTTAAAATGGCAATGCTTGTCCAAGATGGCGGTGTGTGTCCAAGATGGTGGTGTGTGTCAAAGATGACCATGCATGTCCAAGATGGCAGTGCTTGTCCAAGATGGTGGTGCTTATCCAAGATGGCGGTGTGTGTCCAAGATGGTGGTGCTTATCCAAGATGGTGGTGTGTGTCCCAGATGGTGTGTGTCCAAGATGGTGGTGCTTCTCCAAGATGGCAGTGTGTGTCCAAGATGGTGTGTCTCCAAGATGGTGGTGCTTATCCAAGATGGCGGTGTGTGTCCAAGATGGTGGTGCTTATCCAAGATGGCCGTGTGTGTCCAAGATGGTGTGTGTCCAAGATGGTGGTGCTTATCCAAGATGGCAGTGTGTGTCCAAGATGGCGGCATGTGTCCAAGATGGTGGTGCTTATCCAAGATGGCAGTGTGTGTCCAAGATGTTGTGTGTCCAAGATGGTGGTGCTTTTCCAAGATGGTGGTGTGTATCCAAGATGGTGGCGTGTCCAAGATGGCGGTGTGTCCAAGATGGTGGTGCTTGTCCAAGATGGTGTTATGGGTCCAAGATGGCAGTGTGTGTCCCAGATGGTGTGTGTCCAAGATGGTGGTGCTTATCCAAGATGGCGGTGTGTGTCCAAGATGTTGTGTGTCCAAGATGGTGGTGCTTATCCAAGATGGCAGTGTGTGTCCAAGATGGTGTGTGTCCAAGATGGTGGTGCTTATCCAAGATGGCGGTGTGTGTCCAAGATGGTGGTGCTTATCCAAGATGGCGGTGTGTGTCCAAGATGGTGTGTGTCCAAGATGGTGGTGCTTATCCAAGATGGCTGTGTGTGTCCAAGATGGTGTGTGTCCAAGATGGTGGTTCTTATCCAAGATGGCGGTGTGTGTCCAAGATGGTGTGTGTCCAAGATGGTGGTTCTTATCCAAGATGGCGGTGTGTGTCCAAGATGGTGGTGCTTTTCCAAGATGGTGTTGTGTATCCAAGATGGCGGTGTGTCCAAGATGGCGGTGCTTGTCCAAGATGGTGTTATGGGTCCAAGATGGCAGTGTGTGTCCCAGATGGTGTGTGTCCAAGATGGTAGTGCTTATCCAAGATAGCTGTGTGTGTCCAAGATGGTGGTGCTTATCCAAGATGGCGGTGTGTGTCCAAGATGGTGGTGTGTGTCAAAGATGGCCATGCATGTCCAAGATGGCAGTGCTTGTCCAAGATGGTGTGTGTCCAAGATGGTGGTGCTTCTCCAAGATGGCGGTGTGTGTCCAAGATGGTGTGTCTCCAAGATGGTGGTGCTTATCCAAGATGGCGGTGTGTGTCCAAGATGGTGTGTCTCCAAGATGGTGGTGCTTATCCAAGATGGCCGTGTGTGTCCAAGATGGTGTGTGTCCAAGATGGTGGTGCTTCTCCCAGATGGCGGTGTGTGTCCAAGATGGTGGTGCTTCTCCAACATGGCCGTGTGTGTCCAAGATGGTGTGTGTCCAAGATGGTGGTGCTTATCCAAGATGGCAGTGTGTGTCCAAGATGGTGGTGCTTCTCCAAGATGGCCATGTGTGTCCAAGATGTTGTGTGTCCAAGATGGTGGTGCTTATCCAAGATGGCGGTGTGTGTCCAAGATGGTGTAATGGGTCCAAGATGGCAGTGTGTGTCGAAGATGGCAATGCTCCTGCTCTGTGAATCCAGACCCTCTAGTTATAACAGGACGAGGGGTGGTGTGTTCTTTCTGGCCACTTCCTGCTGAGGGAGGTGGTTATTACGGGTCACCAAACACAGCCCTGGAGGGGAAGAGGTTGATTTGTTCCTGGTAGCACTCTTTAGGGGCCTTCCAAGCAGCACCCGTTGAAACATCTAGCTTTTAGTTCACAGGGCTTTAAGAAAGCAGAACTTGGGTTTCAGAGGTTTTCAGTTAGGAAAAATTGGAGAAAAAGAAAAAGGAAAAGAATGCAAAACATTATCTTGGAGACATGTAGCCAGAAAAATTAGAATTTAATTCAAACCGTAGAAAAGAATAAAAACTGAAAACCATTAGGCAAGACTAGAATTTCACGACAGGGGTAACTATAGTTTTTCAAACACGATTTTTCTTTTTCCAGTTTTCCCACTTTTATTAAAAGACAAATTATGGGCTGGGCATGGTGGCTCATGCCTGTAATCCCAGCAGTTTGGGAGGCCGAGGTTGGCGGATCACGAGGTCAGGAGATCGAGACCATCCTGGCTAACATGGTGAAACCCCGTCTCTACTAAAATTACAAAAAATTAGCCGGGCGTGGTGGCGGGCGCCTGCAGTCCCAGCTACTTGGGAGGCTGAGGCAGGAGAATCGCTTGAACCTGGGAGGCAGAGGTTGCAGTGAACCGAGATGGCACCACTGCACTCCAGCCTGGGCGACAGAGCAAGACTCCGTCTCAAAAAAAAAAAAAAAAATGTCATGAGATGTAGGGACCAGCCCCACAGGGTCAGTGGATCTCTCCCTGTGTGCGGAGGCATGAGAGTGTAGAAATAAAGACACAAGACAAAGAGATAAAAGAAAAGGCAGCTGGGCCCGGGGGACCACTACCACCAAGACGCGGAGACTGGTGGTGGTCCCGAATGCCAGGCTGCGCTGATATTTATTGGATACAAGACAAAGGAGCAGGGTAAGGAGTGTGAGCCATCTCCAATGATAGGTAAGGTCACGTGAGTCACGTGTCCACTGGACAGGGGGCCCTTCCCTGCCTGGCCGCCGAGGCAGAGAGAGAGAGGAGAAGGAGAGAAACAGCTTACGCCATTATTTCTGCTTATCAGACACTTTTAGTACTTTCACTAATTTGCTCCTGCTAACTAAAGGCAGAGCCAGGTGTACAGGATGGAACATGAAGGCGGACTAGGAGCGTGTGACCACTGAAGCAAAGCACCACAGGGAGAGGGTTAGGCCTCCGGATAACTGCGGGCGGGTCTGACTGATGTCAGGTCCTCCACAGGAGGTGGAGGAGCAGAGTCTTCTCTAAACCCCCCCAGGGAAAGGGAGACTCCCTTTGGTGACCCCGTCTGGGCATAACAGAAGGCTCGCGCTCGTCTTCTGGTCGCACCTCACCATGTCCCCTCAGCTCCTATCTCTGTATGGCCTGGCTTTTCCTACATTATGATTCTAGAGCAAGGATTATTATAAGATTGGTATAAAGAGTAATTACTACCAACTAATGATTAATGATATTCATATATAACCATATCTAAGATCTATATCTGGTATAACTTTCTCGTTTTATATTTTATCATATACCGGAAGAGCTCGTGTCCTCGGTCTCTTGCCTCAGCACCTGGGTGTCTTGCCGCCCACAATGAGAGGTGCAACTTGACATAGGGAGGGTAGAAGATAGCCTGAGTATAGGGAACCTCTTGCCATTTCCTGGTGATAAAGTTGTCAAGGTCCCTGAGAATTTGCAAGTTAAAGGTGCTATGTTCGGGCCATCTGCTGTCATTATGTAGTTTGTATTGATGCCAGACTATTGCAATAAAAAATTCAACACTCTGGCTTTAGGTTCCTCTGTAAGCCAAGTTTGGCCAGGTTGGAAAGGAGACATCCCAGAGAGGAGGACATAGGAATGTCGGGTTGTTTGGCACCCACGTGGGCTGGTAAAAGGAAGCCGAGAGTGTCTGTTTGTGTTTTAGGCAACCCCAGACAAAAGACAGAGACCCAGAATCCTCTTTATAAGGAGGACGGCCAAGCTGAGAAGATACTGGGCATCCCTCAAGATCGCTTCTAGCTTAGTGCCGCTGGTCCTCCGAGGACTGGGATGGCCGACCTGACTTTTCCTGGGTACCAAAAGTCAGAGGAGGGCAGATCTTACCAGACGGCTGGATTTGTGTCTGATGTTGGATGTTCCTGTTGGAATTGGCAAAGGGGCTCCCAAACTGGAGCCGCGCAGGGAAGACAGAGAGAGAGAGAGAAGAGGGAAGAAGACGGACGAAGAGAGAGGAAGACGAAGCAAGGGTTAGGGAGCGAAATACCTGTTGCAGGGGGTCAGAGGTGGATTTCTGAGACCTGAGGGTTTTGAGAACCCTCCAGCTTGAGCCTCTAAGTCCCCTTTACATGAGTTGTCTTCCTCACACAAATTGCTTGGAAGGTGAATGGAGAGAAAAGATGGGAGGGGTGGCCAGAGACCCTCACGATCCAGGAGTTAGCCCAGGATGAGCTGCTGCTGCCCACAGCTTCCTGGGTTGCAAGAGAACCTCCACTCCCAACACTCAAAGAGGGAGAGAGAGAAAGGACAGGGTCAGAGGGCCAGAGGCTCTAAAGGATCCAGGAGTTAGCCCGGGACAGGCTGCCCCTGCCCACTGCATCCTGGGTTGCAAAAGGGCCTCTGTCCGTAACACCTGTCCTGGGTTTCGGCACCAAATGTAAGAGTTTAAGAAGGAGGAAACAAATATAGAAAGTGAGCCTGGGCGCAGAGGCTCACATCTGTAATCCCAGCACTTTGGGAGGCCGAGGCGGGCGGATCACCTGAGGTCAGGAGTTCGACACCAGCCTGACCAACATGGTGAAACCCCATCTCTATTAAAAATACAAAAATTAGCCGGGTGTGGTGGCGCCCACCTGCAATCCCAGCTACTCGGGAGACTGAGGCAGGAGAATCGCTTGATCCTGGGAGATGGAGCTTGCAGTGAGCCGAGATGGCATCACTGCCCCTCCAGCCTGGGCGACACAGCGAGACTCCGTTTCAAAAAAAAAAAAAAAAATACAAAAAGTGGCTCAGCAAAGGGTTTTGGAAAAGGGGGCTTCTCGCAGGCTCGGAATGTTTCTGTGTGAGGGAAAATTGATTGCGGGGTTGGACTGTCTCTGGTCGGAGGGGAGGTTTCTGGTCACAGAGGGGTTTATCCCACGGCTGGAATGTTTCTGGTCATGCTGACATTAGCCATTAGGCTGATGTTTGGGGGCTGGATTTAGGCAGTTTTTAATCAAGGGAACTTAAAATGGAAGTGTGTGTCCAACATGGCAGTGTCTGTCCAAGACGGGGGTGTCTGTCCAAGATGGCGGTGTGTGTCCATGATGGGGGTGTCTGTCCACGACGGCGGTGTCTGTCCACGATGGTGGTGTGTGTCCTCGATGGCCAAAATGGCGGTGTGTGTCCACGATGGTGTCTGTCCACGATGGGGGTGTGTGTCCACGATGGCCAAGATGGCAGTGTGTGTCCACGATGATGTCTGTCCACGATGGGGGTGTGTGTCCACGATGGCCAAGATGGCAGTGTGTGTCCACGATGGCGGTGTGTGTCCATGATGGCGGTGTGTGTCCATGATGGCGGTGTCTGTCCACGATGGCGGTGTCTGTCCACGATGGCGGTGTCTGTCCAAGATGGCGGTGTGTGTCCATGATGGCGGTGTGTGTCCAAGATGGAGGTGTCTGTCCAAGATGGCGGTGTGTGTCCACAATGACACTGTGTCCATGATGGCCAAGATGGCGGCATGTGTCCACGATGGTGGTGTGTGTCCAAGATGGCGGTGTCTGTCCAAGATGGCGGTGTGTGTCCAAGATGGCGGCGTGTGTCCAAGATGGCGGCGTGTGTCCATGATGGTGGTGTGTGTCCAAGATGGCGGTGTCTGTCCAAGATGGCGGTGTGTGTCCAAGATGGCGGTGTGTGTCCAAGATGGCGGTGTGTGTCCATGATGGCGGTGTGTGTCCAAGACGGCGGCGTGTGTCCACGACGGCGGTGTGTGTGCACGACGACGGTGTGTGTCCCAGATGGCAGTGTGTGTCCACGATGGCGGTGTGTGTCCACGATGGCGGTGTGTGTCCAAGATGGCGGCGTGTGTCCACGACGGCGGTGTGTGTCCACGACGACGGTGTGTGTCCCAGATGGCAGTGTGTGTCCACGACGACGGTGTGTGTCCACGATGGTGGTATGCGTCCAAGATGGTGGTGTCTCTCCAAGATGGCGGTGTGTGTCCAAGATGGCGATGCTTTTGCTCTGTCAGAGGGGAGATGGTCAGAGGGGAGATGCGGAGTTCCCTGCACCCTGGCAGGGTGTGGCAGCCAGGGGCTCCCCCACTGGAGGCATTTACCACCATCATTCCTGACCCCACGGTCTCTGCAGGGGTCACTACCTCTAGGCCAGGCCTCCCCAGGGGCGGTGTTGTCTCTTCCTGGGTACCAGGGATTGACGTAGAGCCATCATTGTCTCCCTTCCCACAGCCATCATTGCTGGCGTTTTTCCTGAATTTCCTGTGGGCAGGTTGGGTTTTGTACTCTGCCCCAACCTTCAGGTCTCTGGGAATCCTCGGACACTGTTGGCTCGTGGGTTCAAGGCCCGAGTCAATACCTCCCTGCTGGCCTCTTTGTTCCTGGCTTCTTCCTTTGCCAATCTCTTCCCTCGAGAGCCAAGAAGGCCCCTGGTCAGTCCCTGAAGGCCCCTGGTCAGTCCGCGGCCCACTAACCACACTTAGGGAAAGCCCTGGTCAGTCCCCGGCTCCCCAGCCACACTTAGGGAAAGCTTGGCGGATGGATGAGCTCACCTGGGACAGGGTCGGGGAGTGTAGCAAACGCTATGTGCGTCCTGCAAATCTTGCATGTCCCATTCACTTTTCATAGGGTCTTTCATTGACCCTTCTGACCCCTTTTCTACTGTTGCAGGGTCTCAGGTTTGAGGTGGTCCCCTCCAAGTTTAAAGAGAAGCTGGACAAAGCCTCCTTCGCTACTCCGTATGGGTACGCCATGGAGACCGCCAAGCAGAAGGCCCTGGAGGTGGCCAACCGGCTGTACCAGGCAAGGGGCCCCTGCCCTTCGGCCCTTATGAAAATTCCTTTGCTGTGATGAGGGGATTTGCGGGTGGTAAATATACATGACACAAATAAACGTCATTCAAAAGATGCAGTTGGTGGCACAGCTTAGCTATTGCTATGTTATAATGTAATGCACTATTGCAGTAACCTAATAATACCATTAATGATACAGAATTAATGGAGCTTATCTGTTACTGTGTGTTATAATATTCTCTTGCAATTGATACAGTATCATTGATGATATACAATTAATGTAGCTTATCTGTTACTATGTGTTATAATAATTTCTCGCAATTGATACAGTATCATTTATGATATACAATTAATGTAGCTTATCTATTACTATGTGTTATAATATCCTCTTGCAATTGATATCATAGTATCATTGATGATACAGAATTAATGTAGCTTATCTATTACTATGTGTTATAATATTGTCACAATTGATATCACAGTATCATTTATGATATAGAATTAATGTAGATTATCTGTTACTATGTGTTATAATATTCTCTTGCAATTGATTTCATAGTATCATTTATGATATAGAATTAATGTAGCTTATCTATTACTATGTATTATAATCTCTTGTGGCCGGTCGCGGTGGCTCATACCTATAATCCTAGCACTTTGGGAGGCCAAGGCGGACAGATCACCTGAGGTCAGGAATTCGAGACCAGCCTGACCAACAGGGTGAAACCCCGTCTCTACTAAACATACAAAAATTAGCTGGGCGTGGTGGCGGGTGCCTGTAATCCCAGCTACTCAGGAGGCTGAGGCAGGAGAATTGCGTGAACCTGGGAGACGGAAGTTGCAGTGAGCCGAGATCATCCCACTGCACTCCAACTTAGGCAACAGAGCAAGACTTCGTCTCCAAAAAATAAAAAATTAAAACAAAAATTATCTTGCAATCAATATAATAGTCTCGTTGATGATATACAATTAATGTAGCTTATCTATTACTATGTGTTATAATATTCTCTTGCAATTAATATAATAGTATCATTTATGATATAGAATTATGTAGCTTATTACCATGCCACTAAGTAATATCGGATTTTAATTAAAATAATATCATTTATAATATAGAATTATGCAGTTTATCTGTTGCTGTATGCTACAATGCAATATACAATTATAATTAATATACTACTATCATTTAAGATTTAAGATTCATGTAGCTTGTTACTATGTTTGAATATAATATTGCAATTAATATAGTAATATCAGTTACGATATAGAATTAACATCCATTACTATGTGTTGTGATACATAGAATTAATATGTTACTGTGTGATACTATGTAATATACTATGACAATTAATATAATTGTATCATAATGTAGAATTATGTCATTTATCTGTTACTATATGCTCCTATGTAATACATATTATTTTAGTAGAGATGGGGCTTCACCATGTTGGCCAGGCTGGTCTCCAACTCCTGACCTCAGGTGATCCACCCGCCTCGGCCTCCCGGAGTGTTGGGATTACAGGCGTGAGCCACCGCACCCCACCGTAATACACTATTATAATTAATACACTACTGTCATTTAGGATGTACAATTAATGTAGCTTATCAATTACTATATGTTATATATGACTCTAACATAATGTCAGTCACAGTATATAAAATTAACATAGCTATTACTGTGTGTTTTAACTTGCTGTTACAATGAATATAATGCTATCATTTAGGATATAGAGTTAATGTAGCTTCCCTGCTGCTGTGTGTTACCACACAATATACCATTACTGTTAATATAAGAAATACATTCGGGGCCGGGTGCAGTGGCTCACACCTGTCATCCCAGCACTTTGGGAGGCCGAGGCGGGCGGATCACGAGGTCAGGAGTTCAAGACCATCCTGGCTCACACGGTGAAACCCCGTCTGTACTAAAAACACACACAAAATATTGGCTGGGCGCGGTGGCGGGCGCCTGTAGTCCCAGCTACTCGGGAGGCTGAGGCGGGAGAATGGCGTGAACCCGGGAGGCGGAGCTTGCAGTGAGCCGAGGTCGCGCCACTGCCCTCCAGCCTGGGCGACAGAGCGAGACTCCATCTCAAAAAAAAAAAAAAAGAAAGAAAGAAATACATTAGAGGTAAGGCTGTTGTGAGTCGTGCTATCAAGACAGGAGTATTGATTGTGGGTTTTGGCAGTGCACAGCTTAGGGAGGCCAGTGCGGGGCTGAGCTAAGGTCAAAGCTGCACACAGATGTCCTGTGACTGCCTGTTGCTCTGAGGCTGAATTTTCAACCTGGATTTGTTTTATCGTCCTAAGTACCTTTTTCTTTTTCTTTCTTTTCCTTGTTTTTTTTTTTCTTTTTTTTTTTGGAGACTGAGTCTCACTCTGTCACCCAGGCTGGAGTGCAGGTGCGCAACCTTGGCTCACTGCAACCTCCGCCTCCTAGGTTCAAGCGATTCTGCTGCCTCAGCCTCCTGAGTAGCTGAGATTACAGGTGCCCGACTGATATTTTGTATTTTTAGTAGAGACGGGGTTTCACCATGTTGGCCAGGCTGGTCTCGAACTCCTGACCTCAGGAGATGCGCCCGCCTCGGCCTCCCAGAGTGCTGGGATGACAGGCGTGAGCCACCGCGCCCAGCCCTAAGTAGCTTTTTCTGAAATTACATTGAACGGATCAAAAACCTTTTGGCCTTAATTCTGGGTAACTCAGGGAGGTTTGGGGCCCCTGAATCAAACCTTACCTGCCGCCCGGAAGAACAAAAGCTTACGGAACAGGCATTGCGTTTCCCGTAGTGCCCGTGAGATGCTCCGTGAGTGCCTGACCCCTGATCACGCAGCCCCCGTGGGCCCCGGCCTCACCCACGTTCCAGCCCCTGCAGGGCGACCACCGGCGGGACCCACTTGTGTCCTTGCTCGTGACCTTGAGCACCCCCAGCCTTCACTTCCAAAGTCGGCCTGGCTTCGCCCCTGCGGTGCTCTTTCACGCCCGTACCGACGGGAAAACTTCTCTGTGAGACCCACGGCACGTCACCGGTAAACCGGAATCTGGTTTTCTTACAGAAAGACCTGCGGGCCCCCGACGTGGTCATTGGAGCGGACACGATCGTGGTGAGTGCGGCCAGGGTGCCTCGTTTCTAATGTCCGATGTGGTTTTCCTGTGCTTGGTGATTCTGCCTCTTGTGGATGTTGTACATTCCCCTTAAGACAGCAGTGGACTCGCTTCCAGAAACTCCCATCACAAACTACCAGCAGATGAGGGGCCTAAGGGCACGGGAAGGGGCCAGGCGCCGTGGCTCACCCCTGTCATCCCAGCATTTTGGGAGGCCGAGGTGGGCGGATCACCTTAGGTCATGGGTTCGAGATCAGCCCGACCAACACGGTAAAACCCCATCTCTACTAAAAATACAAAAATTAGCCAGACGTGGTGGCTAATTGATAGTATCATAAGTGATACTATATGATATCAATTGCAAGAGAATATTATAACACATAGTAACAGATAAGCTACATTAATTCTATATCATCAATGATACAGAATACAGACTCCGCCTGTAATCGCAGCTACTCGGGAGGCTGAGGCAGGGGAATCGCTCGAACCCAGGAGGCGGGGTTGCAGTGAGCCGAGATCGCGCCACTGCACTCCAGCCTGGGTGACAAGAGCGAGACTCCGTCTCAAAAGGCACAGGAAGGTACGCAGTTCTAGAGGCCAGCAACCACAAATCACGGTGTCTGTAGGGTTTCTTCCTTCCAGAGGTACTGAGGAGAAGTTGGTCTTGGTCTTTCTCCAGCTCCTAGAGGCTGTTGGCAACCCATTGTCTCCTTTGGCTCATGGCCCTGTGGTTCCTATCTGTGCCTCCATCTCCATGTGGCCTTCTCCCCTCTGGGTGTCTGTGGCCAAATTTCCCTCTTCTTTTTTTTTTTTGAGAGAGAGTCTCACTGTGTTGCCCAGGCTGGATTACAGTGGCGTGATCTCGGCTCACCGGGACCTCCGCCTCCCGGGTTCAAGCGATTCTCCTGCCTCCTGAGTAGCTGGGATCACAGGCACCCGCCACCACGCCCGGCTGATTTTTGTATTTTTAGTAGAGACGGGGTTTCACCATGTTGGCCAGGCTGGTCTCAAACTCCCGACCTCAAGTGATCTGCCCACCTTAGCCTCCCACAGTGCTGGGATGACAGGCGTGAGCCACCGCGCCCGGCTGAAATTTTCCCCTTCTTTTAACAACACCACTCATAAAATGCGCATCCTAATTCTGTCCAACCGCATCTTAATTACCTAGGCAAAGACCCATTTCTCCTTTTTTTTTTTTTTGAGATGGAGTCTCACTCTGTCGCCAGGCTGGACTGTAGTGGCATGATCTCAGCTCATTGCAACCTCCGCCTCCCGGGTTTCAATGATTCTCCTGCCTCAGCCTCCCGAGTAGCGGGGACTACAGGTGCGCGCGACCACGTGTGGCTAATTTTTTGTATTTTTAGTAGAGACGGGGTTTCACCATGTTGGCCAGGATGGTCTCGATCTCCTGACCTTGTGATCCACCCGCCTCGGCATCCCAAAGTGCTAGGATTACAGGCGTGAGCCACCACGCCCGGCCCATGTCTTTTGTTCATAAGCCACCCAGTCTATGGTATTCTGTGATAGCAGCCTGAAATGGACTAAGACATCTCATAAGAAGAGGAGATGAGGACACAGACACACACAGAGGGACGACCCTGTGAGGACACAGGGGGAAGACGGCGTCTCCAAGCCCAGGAGAGAGGCCTCAGGAGGAACCAGCCCTGCCCACACCTGGATCTCAGACTTCCAGACTCCAGGATTATGGAAGAATCAATGTCTGCTGTTTATAAGCCACCCAGTCTATAGTATTGTTTTAGCAGCCTGAAATGGACTAAGACACCTCATAAGAAGAGCAGATAAGGACACAGACACACACAGAGGGATGACCCTGTGAGGACACAGGGAGAAGACGGCGTCTACAAGCCTAGGAGAGAGGCCTCAGGAGGAACCAGCCCTGCCCACACCTGGATCTCAGACCTCCAGCCTCCAGGGCTGTGGGAGAATCACTGCCTGTTGTTTATAAGCCACCCAGTCTGTGGTATTCTGTGACAGCAGCCTGAGATGGACTAAAGCATCTCATAAGAAGAGGAGATGAGGACACAGATACAGAGGGACGAGTCTGTGAGGACACAGGGAGAAGATGGCATCTCCAAGCCCAGGAGAGAGGCTTCAGGAGGAACCAGCCCTGCCCACACCTGGATCTCGCCCTTCCAGTCTCCACGACGATGGGAGAATCAATGTCTGTAGTTTAAGCCACCTGGGTTGTAGGACTTTGCTATGGTGGCCCAGTCAGACTAATACATCTACTCTTGTATGTACCCAAAAGGATTCAAAACAGGTGTTCCACCAAAACCTTCTACATGAATGTTCACAGCAGCACTATTCACAACAGCTAAAAGGCAGAAACAGCTCAAGTGTCTGTCAGTGGGTAAATGGGAAATTACAACATGGTCCATCCACACACAGTGGAATATTATGCAGCCATGAACAGGAATGAGGCTGGCCGGGTGCGGTGGCTCACCCCTGTCATCCCAGCACTTTGGGAGGCCGAGGCGGGTGGATCACAAGGTCAGGAGATCGAGACCATCCTGGCCAACATGGTGAAACCCCGTCTCTACTAAAAATACAAAAAATTAGCCGGGTGTGGTGGCGGGCGCCTGTAGTCCCAGCTACTCGGGAGGCTGAGGCAGGAGAATGGCGTGAACCCGGGAGGCGGAGCTTGCAGTGAGCCGAGATCGCGCCACTGCACTCCAGCCTGGGTGATAGAGCGAGACTCTGTCTCAAAAAATAAATAAATAAAAAATAACAAAAATTAGCCAGGCATGGTGGTGTGCACCTGTATTCCCAGCAACTCGGGAGGCTGAGGCAGGAGAATCACTTGAACCCCGGAGGCGGAGGTTGCAGTGAGCCAAGACCGTGCCACTGCACTCCAGCCTGGGCGACAGAGTGAGACTCCATCTCAAGAAAAGGAAAGGAACGAGGCTGTGAAACAGGCTGCAACATGGATGAATGTTGAGGACATCACGGTCAGTGACAGAAACCAGCCCCGGAGGACCACACGTTGCAGGATTCCATGACTACACCACGTCCGCAACAGGCAAACGCACGGTGAAAGAAAGAGGATGGGCGGTTACCAGGATCTGGGGAGGCGCACTGGGGAGGGACAGCTGCGTGGGGACAGGGTCTCCTTCTGGAGTGAAGAGAACATCCTGGAACCAGGCAGGTAGTGGTGGTACAACATGGCAACTCTGGTTAGTTGTTTGAAATGGCGACTCTCAGGACGTGTCAGCTTCATTTCCATAAAACAAGTGACTTCTGCGAATGGGACCGTGGGACTTGCACAGGCCTGACCCAGCCGGTGGGAACCAACTCCCTCTGTCCCTTCCTCTCACAGACAGTCGGGGGGCTGATTCTGGAGAAGCCGGTGGACAAGCAGGACGCCTACAGGATGCTGTCCCGGTAAGCACCATGTTGGCCTCTGAGCCCTCTCGGGTTCTGAGCCACAGAGTAGCTGTGGTATCTGGCCGGGTGTCCTGGGGAGCAGGGTGGATCTCTGTCAGCTCTGCCGTCTGAGCTGTGCTGTCTGAGCTGTGCTGTCTGAGCTATGCAGGGAGGCAGGCACTATCCCTCCATGCTCATCCTTGTCTAGGATTCTGCAGCACTGATCCCAGAATGTCTCATGCCCACTGCAGACTGTTGGGGTCATGAGAAGTTGGCAGTGTCCTGTCCTTCCCACTGGGCATCCTGGACCTGAGCCCGTAGCCTGGGACGTCATCCCCATCCCAGGACGTGGAAGAGATGCACCCCCTGCCCGCCATAGGCCCAGCTGAGAGCTGCCTGGCCTGGCGCCTCCCGTCAGGGCCACTGCTGGTGGGATTTGTGACCCCTTCCCTCGGCCTCTCCGTAAAGGTTTCCCTGGAGACCCCACAGCGGGACGATCGGGGAGAAGATGCTGGGGACGGATCCAGGATTAAGGACGCCTCGCTGCCTCCCCTGGTTTTGAGAAACTCGCTTTGTAGCTCCCACGGGTCACAGCATGGTCACGTGGTCACCCGTTGTTGTCTTACAGGTTGAGTGGGAGAGAACACAGCGTGTTCACAGGTGTCGCGATCGTCCACTGCTCCAGCAAAGGTAACCGCGGCCCAGGTTTCGGGGTAGCCCCAGAGGCCGAGACAAGGACCCGGGACATTCTCGGGACCCTTGGCTTGAGGGAGGAGGACGGTTGCTCACCCCCACCTGTGGAGGGGTTTGTGCCTATGTCCTGCTTGGGAAAGTTGTCCGCCGATTTGGAAGTCTGCAGGACAAAGGAAAACGTGTGGTTTTATCTTTTTCTTTTTCTTTCTTTTTTTTTTTTTTTTGAGATGGAGTCTCGCTCTCTTACCCAGGCTGGAGGGCAGTGGCACGATCTCAGCTCACTGCAACCTCCGCCTCCCAAGTTCAAGTGATCCTTCTGCCTCAGTAGCTGGGATTACAGGTGCCCACCACCATGCCCGGCTAATTTTTGTATTTTTAGTAGAGACGGGGTTTCACCATGTTGGCCAGGCTGGTCTCGAACTCCTGACCTCAGGTGATCCACCCGCCTCAGCCTCCCAAAGTGCTGGGATTACAGGTGTGAGCTACTGCACCCGGCCTTTCTCTTTCTTTCTTTCTTTTTTTTTTTTTTGAGACAGGGTCTCCCTCTGTCACCCAGGCTGGAGTGCAGTGGTGTGATCATAGCTCACTGCAGCCTCGACCTCCTGAGCTCCAGCGATCCTCCCGCCTCAGCCCCTACAGTCACAGAAACTACAGGCACACGCCACCACACCTGGCTCATTTTTGTATTTTTTATAGAGGTGCGGTCTTGCTATGTTGCCCAGACTGGTCTCGAACTCCTGGGCTGAAGAAATCCTCCCATCTCAGCCTCCCAAAGTGCTGGGACTGCAGGTGTTCACCATATTGCTGGGACTGCAGGTGTGCACCACGGTGCCCGGCCCAGGCAGTTGTATCACCATATTGCTGGGTTCTTCCTGCACCAACCCATTCCCAGCTTGTTGGCGGACACCAGGAGGCATCGTAGAATTCAGTCAGTTCTGACAGTAGCCGTCGGAGTTAGCGCAGATCCCACAGGTGAAGGGCCGGGTCCCATGGGACCTCCACGCACAATCCCAGCCCCATATCCCTGGTCACACCTGTAGTTTTCTCACCCACCTGCCGCTCACTGCTGGCTCCTGCAAGCACCTGCTCAGGTTGGGTCATTTGCTCGAGGGGCTCACAGAACTCGGGACAGCACTTTCCTTCCCAGCTTGGGGTTTTGTTATGAAGGAGCAGGTCAGGAAGTGCCAGACAGAAGCCAGGCACAGCGCAGGGTGCTGGGTGCAGGATGTATGGAGCCTCCATGCCCGCCGTGGCACAGCTCTGCCAACACCCTGATGTGTTCACCCACCAGAAGCTCCCTGAACCCTGTCCTTCTGGGTCTCTTTTTTTTTTCTTTTTTGTGACAGAGTCTCGCTTTATCGCCCAGGCTAGAGTGCACTTGCGCCATCTCGGCTCACTGCAAGCTCCGCCTCCCGGGTTCACGCCCTTCTCCTGCCTCAGCCTCCCGAGTAGCTGGGACGACGGGCCCGCCACCACGCCCGGCTAATTTTTTCTATTTTTTTTTTTTTTTTTTTTTTAGTAGAGACGGGGTTTCACCGTGGTAGCCAGGAGGGTCTCGATCTCCTGACCTTGTGATCCGCCCGCCTCGGCCTCCCAAAGTGCTGGGATGACAGGCGTGAGCCACCGCGCGCGGTCCCTTCTGGGTCTCTTAAAAGGCCAGGATTAACGACATCATCCGCCACTGGGGAGCAAACTCCATCTCCAGCCCCCTCCCCCTGTTCCCATGACAACCAAAGCCTGCCCTTTCCAAAAGGCCCCTCATTAACATAAGGTCCCCTGCGGATGAAAGGGGCTTGTCACCACATAGCAAAACGCCTGCTTTCGCTCCTGTCACTCAACAGATTCCCCGGGATTCAGGGGCTCTGTGTCCGGACCCTGAGGCACAGACCAAACATCTGTTTCTTTTATTATTTATTTATTTGAGACAGAGTCTCGCTCTGTCGCCCAGGCTGCAGTACAGTGGCGTGATCTTGGCTCACTGCAACCTCCGCCTCCCGGGTTCAAGCGATTCTCCTGCCTCAGCCTCCCGAGTAGCTGGGATGACAGGTGCATGCCACCACGCCCGGCTAATTTTTGTATTTTTAGTAGAGACGGGGTTTCGCCATGTTGGCCAGGCTGGTCTCGAACCCCTGGCCTCTGGTGATCCATCCGCCTCGGCCGCCCAAACTGCTGTTTCTTTTGTTTTTTTTAGAGACGGAGTCTCGCTCTGTGGCCCAGGCTGGAATGCAGGGGCGCGATCTCGGCTCACTGCAACCTGCACCTCCCGGGTTCAAGCGATTCTCCTGCCTCAGCCTCCCGAGTAGCTGGGACTACAGGCACCTACTACCAGGCCTGGCTAATTTTTTGTATTTTTAGTAGAGACGGGGTTTCACCGTGTTAGCCAGGATGGTCTCGAACTCCTGACCTCGTGATCCACCCGCCTCGGCCTCCCAAGGTGCTGGGATGACAGGCGTGAGCCACCGCGCCCGGCCCCTTTCTCCCTTTTCTTGTCCGAAATGAACCTTATTCTCCCATGAAGCATCCATATCTGAACTGTGCGCTGCGCTCGAGTACACACCTCCACAGCACAGCCACGCAGCTGTCAGGGCACGGAGGTGACAAGCTGGCGTCCACGCTCACCCCCACGGCTGTGTCCTTGCAGACCATCAGCTGGACACCAGGGTCTCGGAATTCTACGAGGAAACGAAGGTGAAGTTCTCGGAGCTGTCCGAGGAGCTGCTCTGGGAATACGTCCACAGCGGGGAGCCCATGTGAGTCTCGGGGGCGGTGGGGGGACGGGGGACACGTGTGGAAGCCTGGCCACCCTCACACGTGGGGTGTCCCACCCAGCCTTTGGGAAAGAAGGAGGCCCCGCTCCGGGGGCCGTGTGGCACAGGGAGAGCCGCCCGGCTCAGAAGCACAAACCCTTCACGACCACACTGACCCATGGAGGCTCAAAGAGGCAAACTCCCAGGACAGAGAGGGGCAGGGTGGGAGCCAACGCTGGGCTGCGGTGGGGACTGGGGAGGCGCTGGGCAGGGGTAGAGGAGTTCACGTGGTGGGAGGAGGAGACCCCAGAGGTCTGTGCCCAGGACGCTGGCTGCAATTAACACGAATAAACTCTGTGATCCAAAGTCACCCTAAGAGGTGATTCTACCTGTCGTCCCGTCCACAGATTGGTGAGCACGGGAAGTATGCGTGCACCAATCAGCTTCACTTCATCACCCACCATTTGCGTTTATATGTATTATATTTATCTACATCATATGTCATATAATGTCTACATAATTATACATTATATAATGTAACATGATATATATTTACAATTATATATAATTTATGTATTCCACATTATATATTCTATTAATTATATATAATCTACATTATACAAATTATATAATATATATTTATAATATATTGTATTATATACTATAATAGATTATACTGTAATATGTATACTATATTACATATAGATATTATAATATAGATTATATATTAACACTTTTGATTGAAATTTAATGATTTTTAATGATTAATTTTAATAAGTAGTGATTAATATTAATGTAATATATACCATCTATTATAATATATACTGTTATAATAGATTATATGATAGGTTATATAACTGTTAAAATAGATTATATAATAGGTAGTTATAATCGATTATAATTATATATAAATTATATAATTTATATTTATAATTATTTATAATTATATATAAAATATATAATTTTATATATTTTATATATTTAATTTTATTTATATATAAATATATAATTACATATATTTATAATTATATATAAATATAATTTATAATTATATATAATTAATTATAAATGATATATAATTATATATAATTATAAACAATTATATAAATATAAATTATATATAATTATATATATAATTATAAAATGATTATATATTATAAAATATAATTATATATTTATATAATATAGAAATATATGAATATATGGATAATATGTAATATGTATTAAATATGATTAATATATGTAACTGCATATTAATACATATTACATAATAATATAAAGTGTGATTATATGTAAATTATATATTAATTAAATATATGTAATACATATTAGTTATATATAATATATAATGTATTATGTGTTATATAAATATATAATTATATAAAATATATTTTTATATTATAAAAGTATATAAATATATAAATATATGTATATAAATACATTTGTATAAAATATATGTTTATTTTATATATTTATATAAATAATTTTATTTATTTTTTTGAGACACGGTCTCACTCTGTCACCCAGGCTGGAGTGCAGTGGTACAGTCATAGCTCACTGCAGCGTCAGCCTCTTGAGTCAAAATGATCCTCTCACCTCAGCCCCACTAGTGGCTGGGTCTGCAGACGCATACCACCACGCCTGGCTAATTTTTTCTATTTTTTGTAGCAATGGGGTCTCACTATGTTGCCCAGGCTGGTCTTGAACTCCTGGGCTCAGGCGATCCTTCCACCAAAGCCTCCTGAGTAGGTGGGACCACAGGACACGCACCAACACACGCGGCCGATTTTATTGTTAGTTTTTGTAGAGATGGAGTCTGCGTAATATATATGTATATTAACCTAGAGGATTTTACATCAATTGAAATAAGCCCGGCAGAAGAAGACACATACCACAGGATCTCACTTATATGGAATATAAAACAGTTGCACTTGGTCAAAGGATACAAGATTTAAATCAGGGCCAGGCATGGTGGCTCACGCCTGTCATCCCAATACTTTGGGAGGCCGAGGCAGGCGGATCACCTGAGGTCAGAAGTTCAAGACCAGCCTGGATATGGCAAATCCCAATCTCTACTAAAAATACAAAAATTAGCCCGGTGTGGTGGCAGGTGCCTGTAATCCCAGCTACCCAGGAGGCTGAGACAGGAGAATCGCTTGAACCCAGCAGGTGGAGGTTGCAGTGAGCCGAGATCGCGCCACTGCACTCCAGCCTGGGCAACAGAGCGAGACTCCGTCTTTTAAAAAAAAAAAATTAAGTGAGACGGGAGAAGTTCAAGGCTCTTTACAGCCTAGTGACTGTGGTTTACAGGAACAGTGTCTTACTGGAAAATTGCCAGCACACTACATCTGAAGTCTTCTCCCCACACACACAGAATAGGTACATGAGGTGCTCGATGGGATAATTGGCTTGATTTAATGATGTCACATGTATACATATATCAAAACATCCCATTTAACACATGAAATTTTTTTTGAGACGGAGTCTTCCTCCGTCACCCAGGCTGGAGTGCAGTGGCGCGATCTTGGCTCACTGCAACCTCCACCTTCCAGTTTCAAACGATTCTCCTGCCTCAGCTTCCCAAGTAGCTGGGACTACAGGCACCCACCGCCACGCCTGGCGAATTTTTTATTTTTAGTAGAGAAGGGGTTTTGCCATGTTGGCCAGGCTGGTCTCGAACTCCTGACCTCAGGTGATCTGCCTGCCTCAGCCTCCCGAAGTGCTGGGAGCCACCGCGCCCAGCCCAACACCTGCACTTTCATACATACTTTAATGTTTACATACATTTAAAGAAAGACAGGCCGGGCACAGTAGCTCAAGCCAAGACGGGAGGATCACTTCATCCCAGGAGTTCGAGACCAGCCTGGGCAACAGAGTGAAACCCCATCTTTATAAAAAATGATAAAACTAGCTGAGTGTGTCCCTGCTACGTGGGAGGCTGAGATTACAGCATCATTTGAGCCCAGAATTTTGAGGGAGCAGAGAACCAAGAATGTACCACTGCACTTCAGCCTGAGCAACCGAGTGAGACCCTGTCTTGAAAAAAAAAAATAGATAAAATAAGAAAGAGAAAAGAGGGCCAGACGTGGTGGTTCACACCTGTAATCCCAGCACTTTGGGGGGCCGAGGCAGGCGCATCACCTGAGGTCAGGAGTTCGAGACCATCGTGGCCAACATGGTGAAACCCCGTCTCTACTAAATACAAAAATTAGCCGGGTGTGTTGGCAGGTGCCTGTCATCCCAGCTACCCGGGAGGCTGAGGCAGGAGAATCGCTTGAACCCAGGAGGCGGAGGTTGCAGGGAGCCGAGATCGCGCCACTGCACTCCAGCCTGGGCGACAGAGCGAGACTCTGTCTTTAAAAAATAAAAATAAAAAATAAAAAAGTGAGACAGGAGGAAGAAGTTCAAGGCTCTTTACAGCCTGTGACTGTGGTTTATAGGAACAGTGTCTTACTGGTAAATTGCCAGCACACTAGATCTGAAGTCTTCTCCCCACACACACACACACAATTCGTAGATGAGATGCTGAATGGGATAATTGGCTTGATTTAATGATGACGCATGTATACATATGTCAAAACATCCCATTTAACACATGAAATTTTATTTATTTATTTATTTATTTGAGACGGAGTCTTCCTCTGCCGCCCAGGCTGGAGTGCAGTGGCACGATCTCGGCTCACTGCAACCTCCTCCTCCTGGGTTCAAGTGATTCTCCTGTCTCAGCCTCCTGGGTAGCTGGGATTACAGGCGTGTGCCACCACACCACACCCGGCTAATTTTTGTATTTTTAGTAGAGATGGGGTTTCACCGTGTTGGCCAGGCTGGTCTTGAACTTCTGACCTCAAGTAATCCACCCGTCTCGGCCTCCCAAAGTGCTGGGATTACAGCCGTGAGCCATTGCGCCCAGCCTTGCTGTGAAATTGTTTTTCTTTTTTTTTTTTTTTTTGAGATGCCAAAGGCGCCTGCCCCCACGCCTGGCTAATTTTTTGTATTTTTTTTAGTAGAGACAGGGTTTCACTGTGTTAGCCAGGATGGCCTCGATCTCCCGACCTCGTGATCCACCCACCTCCGCCTCCCAGCCGTGAAATGTTCAGACCCAGGAACTTTTCTCCTCCTTGTCACCTCTTACCTTCCCCTGCCCACCCAGGGACAAAGCTGGCGGCTACGGGATCCAGGCCCTGGGCGGCATGCTGGTGGAGTCCGTACACGGGGACTTTCTGAACGTGGTGGGATTCCCGCTGAACCACTTCTGCAAGCAGCTGGTGAAGCTCTACTACCCGCCCCGTCCGGAGGACCTGCGGCGGAGTGTCAAGCACGACTCCATCCCGGCCGCGGACACCTTCGAAGACCTCAGTGACGTGGAGGGGGGCGGCTCGGAGCCCACTCAGAGGGACGCGGGCAGCCGCGATGAGAAGGCCGAGGCGGGAGAGGCGGGACAGGCCACGGCAGAGGCTGAGTGTCACAGGACTCGGGAGACCCTGCCTCCGTTCCCGACACGCCTCCTGGAGCTGATTGAGGGCTTTATGCTATCCAAGGTACCTGTGTCTGTCTCCTCAGGCCACATTTCACAAATGAGCCTACACACTCGGCTTAAATCAAAGGGAATTTACTTCTCACTGTCCTGGAGGCTGGCAGTCTGAGGTCAGGTTGTCTCAGGGCCATGCTTTCTCCGAAGGTTCTAGGAGAGGGTCCTTCCTGCCTCTCCCAGCTCCTGACAGCTCCAGGCATCCCTGGGCTTGTGGCCGCATCACTCCAGTCTCTGCCACGTCCTCCACGTGGCCTCATCCACTGTGTCTGTGTCTCCTCCTCTGTCTCTTAGAAGGACACCTGTCATTGGACTTGGAGTCCACCCTTCTTCGTGATGATTTCCTCTTGAGATTCTTAATTACATCTGCCAAGACCCCTTTTTAAAACAAGGTCCCATTCACAGATTCTGGGGATCAGGATATGGACAGATCTTTCAGGAGGACCACAGTTCAGTCCACTACAGATGTATCCAGTTCCTTCTGGAGGCCCCAGGGGAGGGTCCTTCCTGCCTCTCCCAGCTCCTGGGGGCTCCAGGCATCCCTGGGCTTGTGGCCGTATCACTCCAGTCTCTGCCTTTGTCTCCACGTGGCCTTCTCCTCTGTGTCTGTGTCTCTTCTGTCTCTTAGAAGGACACCTGTCATTGGATTTTGAGGTCTCCCTAATCCACTGACTCCAACTCATCTGAAGTCCCCTAGCTTACTTACGTCTGCAAAGACCCTTTTTTCTTTTTCTCTTTTTTTTGTTTTTGTTTTTGTTTTTGAGACAGAGTCTGGCTCTGTCATCCAGGCTGGAGTGCAGTGGCATGATCTCGGCTCACTGCAACCTCTGCCTCCCGGGTTCAAGCGATTCTCCTGCCTCAGCCTCCTAACTGTGGTCCTCCTGAAAGATCTGTTCATAGCCTGATCCCCAGAATCTGTGAATGGGACCTTGTTTTAAAAAGGGGTCTTAGCAGATGTAATTAAGAATCTCAAGAGGAGATCCTGAGTAGCCTCAGGAGTAGCCTCCTGATTACAGGCGCCCACCACCAAGCCCGGCTAATTTTTGTACTTTTAGTAGAGACAGGGTTTCGCTATGTTGGCCAGGATGGTCTCGAACTCCTGACCTCAGCTGATCCACCCGCCTCGGCCTCCTAAAGTGCTGGGATTACAGGCGTGAGCCAGCGCGCCCGGCCTGAGGCCCCATCTTTCAGCTGTTCTGTTCAGGGGCCCCTCACGGTGGCAGCCTAGAAGGGATGCAGCCCTCCCAACACCAGGGGTCCCTCACAGGGCGTCCTCCGGGAAGCAGAGGTGGGGATGTCGGGTGCAGGAGGGACGCAGGCTTTGGGAGACAGGGAGACGGGCTGATGACACCTCCTGCCATTCATCATCAGGAGAGAGAACATGCAGTGAAT